>NC_000011.10:122323939-122626970 GCF_000001405.40 Homo sapiens | reverse complement strand
CACTGCACTCCAGCCTGGGTGACAGAGTGAGACTCCATCTCAAAACAAACAAACAAACAAACAAAACTGACACTAGCTTTGAATGGTTCTCTATTCTTACTTCTCAGGGAATGAACCTTAATAAGTCAATTGGCTTCAGAGTCTCACCTTGGTGGAGGTACGGGACTATGAGGGGATGTTGCCAATTCCTCTTTCCCCTCTGTTCCAGAAAGTCACAGAAATGGGGCAGTGGAACAGGTTCTCCTCAAATAGGTTCTTACTAGAGATTCCCTTAGTGAAGTGTTTGGGACTTTGGAAAAAGTAAGAGAAGACTCTAGCTTCTTGCAGCAAAATAAGAACAAATGCAGTATGGAAAACAGAGGGGCAGGTCACTTTTGCGTGTGAAAGCAGATGTCTAAACCATCTGTAGCCTTTCCAAAGCCTGGCACCTTTGCACCCTGTAATGTGAGGTGGAGTTTCTGGAATACTTAGTGCTGGAAGGTGGCAATCTGTAAAGAGGCAGAAAACTACTCTCTCCAGCTGGGAGCTGGAGCCCTGGCTCGTGCTGGACTCTGATGTGGCTGCTGATATGGGCAGGAGAAGGAGCATGCCTAGCTGGCTGGAGCTTAAGGTCCAGCTGTTAACCTTGAGCCAAACTGTATGAAGAGTACCAACCTTCAGGCCATAGAGTCTCAAAGGAAGTTCCTCAGAGTCAGGAAGAGACTACCCCGAGCATGTTATGCTTGAGGTGGGAGGTGTCTGAGGCTCAGAAATAGGACTTTCATGGAGACGGATGTGTGCTGCTCCAGCGCGCTGGGCGCTGGAGCAACACTCTCACAGCTCAACACTCTCCAGCACATGGGAGTGAGCACTTCTGGGGTCAAGGCTCATTAAAGTGACACAGGGGACTCTGGTTAAAAGACTGTCTATCTCTCTACTTTTTTTTTTTTTTTGAGACAGGGTCTCATTCTGTCACCCAGGATGGAGTGCAGTGGCACCATCTCGGTTCACTGCAACCTCCGCCTCCTGGGTTCAGGTGATTCTCCTGCCTCAGCCTTCCAAGTAGCTGGGATTACAGGCGCCTGCCACCACACCTGGCTAATTTTTATATTTTTAATAGAGACGGGGTTTCACCGTGTTGCCCAGGCTGGTCTTGAACTCCTGACCTCAGGCAATCCGCCCACCTCAGCCTCCCAAAGTGCTAGGATTACAGGTATGAGCCATTGCGCCCGGCCCCATCTCTCTACTTGAGGAGGCAGAATTCTACTTTTCTTTTTTTGATGGCTTCGTAAACCCATAGAGCTTTTATTTTTCTAATAGAGTATTTTTTTAGAACAGTTTTAAATTCACAGCAACGTTGAACAGAAAGTACAGAGAGTTCCCACAGATCCCCCACCCACCCACACAGCCTCCCCCACCATCAACATCATTACAATAGGTGAACTAACATGGATTGACACATCATTATCAACCAAAGCTCATAGTTTACATTAGGGTTCACTCTTGGTGGTGTACATTCCTTTTTTTTTTTTTTTTTGACAGAGTCTCTCTCTGTCACCCAGGCTGGAGTGCAGTGGCACAATCTCGGCTCACTGCAAACTCTACCTCCCAGGTTCAAGCTATTCTCCTGCCTCAGCCTCCCAAGTAGCTGAGACTGCAGGCACGCACCACCATTCCCGGCTAATTTTTTGTATTTTTTTGTAGAGACAGGGTTTCACCATGTTGGCCAGGCTGGTCTCGAACTCCTGACCTCAAGTGATCCACCCACTTTGGCCTCCCAAAGTGCTGGGATTACAGGGGTAAGCCACTGTGCCCAGCCCATTCCATAGGTTTTGCCAAATGTGTGATGACATGCATCCACCATTGTAATAGTATACAGAATAATTTCACTACCCTAAAAATCCCCCCAGCCCCCATGGAACTTTTTTAAAGGAAGGATTTCTGGGTATCTCCTAAGATCTATGGAACTGGAATCCTTACAGGCAAGACCCAGGAATTTGCATATTAATGTTTCCCCCACCTACCTCCATACAGAGGGTGAAATTTAGACAGCTAATCCAAGCCATGGTCAATGTACAGAAACTTCTAGATGATACAATATCTAAGGCCTCTTCTCATTTTAAAATTGTGCGATGTATTGGCTTAGCCTGGAAATTCACTCCCAGTTGACTTCAGAAAGAATCAAGTGGTTCTCAGGGGACCCCAGAGGCCACCCATGAGTGGCTGGTTTGGAAGGGTCCTCCTCCCACTGCAAGTCTTTTCTTCCTATTAGATGGGGGATTGGGTTCTCGGACGTCTTGCCTTCCACTAAGGACACTCAGCAGAATTCCACGTGAATTTTTTCACATTTTCATGTGGTGGATGATGGCCAAAGTTTGGAACAAAACAAAGTGAAAGAAAGCCGGGTGTGGTGGCTCATGCCTGTAATCCCATCACTTTGGGAGGCCGAGGCAGGTGGATCACCTGAGGTTGGGAGTTTGAGACCAGCCTGACCAACATGGTCAAACCCTGTCTCTACTAAAACTAAAAAATTAGCCAGGTGTGGTGGTGCATGCCTGTCATCCCAGCTACTTGGGAGGTTGAGGCAGGAGAATCGCTTGAACCCGGGAGGCAGAGGTTGCAGTGAGCCGGGATCACGTCATTGTACTCCAGCCTGGGCAACAAGAGTGAAACTCTGTTTCATAAAACAAAACAAAGGGAAAGAACAAAAAACACGTATATTTTCTGGAGTTAGTACCCTCCGTCTTTGCTGTATAATAAGATTCCCACAGTACTACAGCAGCTTCCTTTACACTCAAGAAAGCACACTTTATGCATTAATGCATGTGGCTCTTACCATGAGAAGACAGGATTCTTAGGCAAAAGGGGGCACCTTTGGAAGAGGCTCAGATATTGCTTTGTGGAGGAAATGTAGAGAAGATACACAGTTGAGTTATAGTCACCTGCCCTTGGCCTAGGATTGTGACACGTGGGTTCATGCCTAGAGGACTGGGGGCTTGACCCGCAGGGACGTGTTTGCATGAGAGGCTGAGGAACCTCCTGAGAAAGAACTTCTCCTGAGGGAGCAGGGTGGCAGGCAGACAGATGGAGAAGTGGGCCACCATTCTAACTGTCCTCTCCCTACCCCATGGATTCCATATCCTAGGAGGGGACCAGAGGAGTGGACAGGACCTGCAGGTGAAGCAACACAGAAAGAGCAGTTTTATCAGAAACTCTGAAAATGGCCGGGTGCGGTGGCTCACGCCTGTAATCCCAGCACTTTGGGAGGCTGAGGCGGGCGGATCATTTGAGGTCAGGAGTTCGAGACCAGCCTGACCAACATGGTGAAACCCCGTCTCTACTAAAACACACACACAAAATTAGCCGGGCGTGGTGGCGGTCACCTGTAATAGCAGCTACTTGTGAGGCTGAGGCAGGAGAATTGCTTGAATCCAGGAGGCAGAGGTTTTAGTGAGCCAAGATGGCACCACTGCACTCCAGCCTGGGTGACAGAGCTCAGAGCAAGACTCCCTCTCAAACAAAAACAAAAACAAACACAAAAACAACTCTGAAAATGTTTGGAGCATAAGGGTATTGGAACCCTTGGTCTTAAAGAGTAGCAAAGTGAAGAAAGGACACTTCTTACTTTAGCATGGTACTGCCATGTCCCCTCTCAGGAGCTCTGTCAACTGCCAAACCAGCAGTCTCTCCATCTCCCTGAGCTGCCTCTTAAAATGACCCTTAAAACCCAGATCGTCTTTATTTTCCTATTCGGCGAGATGCGTATAGAGGGAAAGCCTTCTCTGTGCTTTGTCCAGCTCTCATGAACTCTCACAGGTACCTGCTGGCTTCCTCCTGTGGGGAGCAGCGTAAGAGACCCATGTTTTCAGTTGCTGCCCTTGAAACCCCGTTGCCATATATGTGGGAAACTCTCTCACCACTGATGGGAGTGTTGGGAGATACTAACTAAAGCAGATCCCTTTCTGGAAGACCTGGGGTTCTTTTGTCTGCTGATTGGCTCAAGGCCTCTGGATGGTCTTGTTGAAACTTCCCTTAACTGCATGGCAGTTTAGGACATTTCTACCCAAACTTCTCTCCCTCTCTGTGTGTTTTTTTTTTTTTGGTTTTTGGGTTTTTTTCCTTCTTTCTTTCTTTCTTTCTCTTTCTTTCTCTTCCTTCCTTCTTATTTTTTCAGTCTCGCTTGGTCACCCAGGCTGGAGTGCAGTGGTGCAATCTCAGCTCACTGCAACCTCTGCCTGCCTGGTTCAAACAATTCTCCTGCCTCAGCCTCCTGAGTAGCTGGAATTACAGGTACCCACCACTATTCCCGGCTAATTTTTGTATTTTTAGTTAGTAGAGAAGGGGTTTTGTCATGTTGGCCAGGTTGATTTCAAACTCCTGACCTCAGATGATTCGCCTGCCTCAGCCTCCTAAAGTGCTGGGATTACAGGTGTGAGCCACCGTGCCCCAACTTCTCTCTGTTTCTTTTGCTTTTTTTTTTTTTTGAGACGGAGTCTCACTCTTGCCCAGGCTGGAGTGCAGTGATGCCGTCTTGGCTCACTGCAACCTCCGCCTCCTGGGTTCAAGCAATTCTCCTGCCTCAGCCTCCCGAGTAGCTGGGACTACAGGCACCTGCCACCACGCCCGGCTAATTTTTGTATTTTTAGTAGAGACGGGGTTTCACAACGTTGGCCAGGCTGGTCTCAAACTCCTGGCTTCAGGTGATCCACCCACCTCGGCCTCCCAAAGTGCTGGGATTACAGGCAGGGGCCACCGTGCCCTGCTCTCTCTGTTTCTTAAATCATGATCTGACTGTGTTACTAGCCTTCTCCAGCTGCCCTTCCTCTCCCCACTGCTGTTTTCTTTACAAGTATTGCCCTTAAAACAAAAACAAAAACCTTTATAGGTTTAATCGTGTCTTGGCATCTGCTTCTTGCAGATTGGACTAACAATTCTTTCCTACCTGGGCTTGAGATCATTAGCTTAGGTCAGCTATGATTCTGAGAGAGTAGACCTAGATCTTTGTTTATCTCTCTGAATGCAAGGCCTCAGGTTAGAATCAGTGTGCTGGGGAGAGGACAATTCTTCACCAATTTATAGCCCTTGTGTGGGTATGTTAGAATTGAATATTGAGATAATAATTTCTTTTCTTCCCAGAAAATTTTATTTCCTCCACTCTAAGCAGGAAGACAGGGACTCCATGGCATGCAGAGGCTGCCTGAAAATATCTTTTCATCCTGTCCTTTGGGAAAATCTTGACTCATTATGCTAGGTGCCTCTGAGAGAGAGAGAGAAGCAGTGTTTTAGAGAGGGAAGGGCAAGCAGAGGACATCTCAAGCCCAGGAGCAGAGAGTGGTCCATTGCTTCTCATAGAATGGAGACTTGAGACCTTCCTTATCTTGGGGGTTGTGGAGTTGTAAGGAACTCAGAGCAGGATGGGGATGCACTGTGGGCTGTAGCATAGACACTAGGGTCCCAAGATGGTCCTAGATTCCCACCCCCAGGTACAGCATGTAAGTATGAGAGCCAGAAGACTTCAAAGTATGGTAGGGGTTGGGACAATGAAGACATTAACAGCCATGTTATAAACTGAATACAGAAGTTTCTTTCTTGGTCTATGTCAGCTTTCTGGATTCTTGGGGACCTTAAGGGGGAGGAAGGAGTCCTAAGAATGCCTGAGATTGAGGCCAAGTGCGGTGGCTCACTTCTGTAATCCCAGCACTTTGGGAGGCCGGGGTGGGTGGATCACTTGAGATCAGGAGTTCGAGACCAGCCTGGCCAACATGGTGAAACCCCCTCTCTACTAAAAATACAAAAAATTAGCCAGGCGTCGTAGCAGGTGCCTGTAATCCCAGCTACTCAGGAGGCTGAGGCAGGAGAATCGCTTGAACTTGGGAGGCAGAGGTTGCAGTGAGCCAAGATCGGGCCATTGCACTCCTGCCTGGGCAACAAGAGCAAGACTCTGTCTCAAAAAAACAAACAAACAAAAAAAGAATGCCTGAGATTGAATGCACACCAGCCTAGTGAGATGGGAATTCAGAGTCAGATTTGACCTGATTTATTTCTCATCCAGTTTTTTCGGTTATAATTCACATATTATAAAATTCATTCTTTTATTATTATTATTTTTAGAGACAGGGGCTCACTCTGTTGCCCAGACTGGAGTGCACTGGCATGAGTGTGGCTCACTGTAGACTTGGCCTCCTGGGCTCAAGTGATCCTCCCACCTCACTTCCTGAGTAGCTGGGACAACAGGCATGTTTCACCCAGCTGAATTATTTTTGTTTTTGATAAAGACGAGGTCTCACCATGTTGCCCAGGCTGGTCTTGAACTCCTGGTCTCAAGGAATCCTCCCATCTAGCTTCTCAAAGTGCTGGCATTACAGGTGTGAGCCACCACACCTGGCCAAAATTCATGCTTTTAAAGTATACAGTTTGGTAGTTTTTAGTTCTATATGTGCACAGAACTGTGCAACCATTAACACTAGTTAATACTAGAACACATTCATTATTCCAAAAGAAATCCCATACACATCAGTGTTCACTCTCCAGTCTTCTCTTCCCCCCAACCCCTGGCAAACACTAATCTACCTCCTGTTTCTATACATTTGCCTATTCTAGACATTTCATATAAATTGAATTATGTAATATGTAACCTTTAATGTCCGGCTTCTTTCACTTGGCATAATGTTTTCAACGTTCATCTGCCTTGTAGCATGTATCAGTACGAGTTTATTATGCCTAATCTGAAAATCTGAAATCTAAAATGCTTCAAAATCTGAAGCTTTTTGAGTGCTGAAATGACGCTCACAGGAGATGCTCATTGGAGCATTTTGGATTTTGGATTTTGGGATTAGAGATGCTCAACCGTAAGTATAATGCAAATATTCTAAAATTTGAAAAAATCTGAAATCTGAAATACTTCTGGTCCCAAGCATTTTGAATAAGGGATAACTTAACCTGTACTTCATTCCTTTTTATGGCTGAATAATATTTCATTGTATGGATATACCACATTTTATTTATCAGTTTATCAATTGATGAACCTTTGAGTCATTTCCGCATTTTGGTATAATGAATAATGCTGTAATGAACATGCCTGAATAAGTTTTTGTGTGGATATAGGTTTTCAGTGCTTTTGGGTATATACTTAAGAGTGGAATTGCTGGGCCATATGGTAACTCTACGTTTAACTTTTGAAGAAGCTGCAAAACTATTTTTCAAAGAGGCTATACCACTTCACTTTCCTACCAGTAATGTATGAGGGTTCCAATTTGTCTATATCCTTGTCAACGCTTATTATTGTGTGTCTTTTTTGATTATAGCTGTCTTGGTGCTTATGAAGAAATATCTCATAGTGGTTTTGATTTGCATTTCCCTGATGAGTAATGTTGTTGCATGTCTTTTAATGCAATTTCAGCTGACTGTATACCTTCCTTGGAGAAATATCTATTCAAAATTTTTGCCCATTTCAAACTAAGATTATTTGTCTTTGTTGCTGAGTTGTAAGAGTTTATAGATTCTGGATGCAAGTCTTTTTTTTTTTTAAAGGGTATGTGAACAGAAACACATTTATTACAAAAAAAAAGAAAACCCAAAATGAAAAACAAATTCACATTGTATTGAGCTACAATATGGCAGCAGATTAAAGAAAAATATTTTTAGACAGTTTAGGATAACTCCTAACAGAACATAGCCTTGTTGCCACGTGACAGGACACAGGATTCCAAGTACTCGGTAGCGGCGAGTGAAGCGGGCATTGATGGGCCTGCTCCCCCTGCTCGGGCCTCCGAACCCGCCTTGCATACCACCGTGTGGGATGGGGTGGCCCCGGGAGGCCCCGCCTGAGGCAAAGCTGCCGAGCCCTGACATCCCTTCTCAGTTCATCATGTGGCCAGGCCCGGAGTGACCGGACATGCTTCTCTCACCACCTTGCCATCTCTTGTGATCCCTGTCCATCATGCCCCCATCAGCTGTGCCCTGCCAT
Source organism: Homo sapiens (assembly GCF_000001405.40). Taxonomy (NCBI): domain Eukaryota; kingdom Metazoa; phylum Chordata; class Mammalia; order Primates; family Hominidae; genus Homo; species Homo sapiens. Next base: position 122,619,025 of record NC_000011.10, on the reverse strand, counting down.
GCTCAGTCATCCTCTCTTCAGCCACGGTCCCCCGAGTAGTCATGTCTGCCCCTGGGGGGAGGAGGCAGCCCCCGGCCCTCGCTCATCCTCCTGTCGGAGCCACAGCCCCCCCAGCCATCACGGGAGTCCCGGCTGTGGCGCTCTGGTCCTGCATGGCGTTCTGGGTAATGCTGGACATCACAGGGCCAGAGGGAAAAAAGAGCTTCAGTGTCAGCCCCCAGACCCCAAGGCTTTTCAGGCAACACGCTAACGATGACAACGACAGTCACTCTGGACAGAATTGTTGGCAGGCCGTATTGGTTCACATGACACAGCTGCCTCCCTGAAATCTGTAGGCCAGAGGCCCTGTGCCCTAGGCTCACGGCCTGGTACACAAAAGGTACCAGTACCAAGGCATCTCCAAGGCAGGTCCCCATGGCACCACCAGAGCTGGGAGGACCACCAGGAGTCACCCACTAAAGATGATGCTTACTAGAGAGATTCCCTGGGTCCCACAGCCCAAATGGTTAGTGCCCAGAGCCAATAGTATTCTCTTGTTAAGTGTCTTCTACTAAGGAAAGTTCAGGTTTATAAACTTTAAATGTGTGCATATTCTGGAAATAGTTTTTACAAATTTCTTCCTTCCACACTGAAGGAAGTATCAAACGTAGCCCTTCATCTGACCAATTGCTAGGCAAGCATCCTTCCTCATAGTCAAGTTTCTCAGAAGTTTCTGCTGGGTGCCCGGTACAGGGCCTTGCACCTTGCTCTGCTCAGGACACAGGACACTCAGAGATAAACGGCTGGAAGACAGCCGTACCCTTGGCCAGTCCCACCATTCCCTCCTCTGTGTCATTGTTTTTGTGAGCCACGTGGCTGACACAGACCAGGAGTTCTTCACCCTGCTATTTGAGGGAAGACCAAGAGAGGGCGAGTCATACTCTATGCCCACTTCTTTGATGGCCACGGTTAATATTTACACCCACAGCCTGTTTCTGTGGCTGGAAGCACTTTCCAGCCTGACTTTCACAAAAGCTAGTGAGGTAGCTTTGGCTCTACAGTCCTGTTCTTTCTCTTTCCACAAATACAGTATGTGGCCTCTGGGGTTTTTGCCCCATGACCATATTGCAAGAGAAAAGAAACGAGAAAGGAGTCCTGGTAAGGAAACCCCCTTGACGGAGCCTGGTCGTTGTCCATGTCCAAGTTCACCTCCCCATTAAACGGAGAGGTCGGCCAGGGCGAAGGCAAAGATGGCGGCATGCTCCACCACGTGCAAGATGTACTGCGTGACCACTGCCTGCTTCCCTGGCCTATTCTCCCAGTGTGTGCTCTGACGCCTCCCCTCAACAACGTAAGAAAAGGGACTCGTGAAATAAGAGCTCCTTAGTATTTGAAAATTGAACCAACATTTTTCTGTCCAACCAACCCAGCTAACAGTTCAATGAGGCCCATAAGTTCTGTGCTAGTTTTCCCTGTAGGGAGATATCACCATTTGCCTTTGGGGTAACTCTGATGACTCATTTATGACTGTGTGTGTGAGAAGAAAGGATCAAACCACCTTCCACTGTTAGGAGAGCGTATCTGACACCTGCATGAAAGCAGCTTGTGGCCAGGTGTGCTGGCTCACATCTGTAATCCTAGCACTTTGGGAGGCCGAGGCAGGAGAATCACTTGAGTTCAGGAGTTCAAAACTGGCCTGGACAACACAGTGAGACCCCGTGTCTATTAAAAAAAAAAGTGGCTGGCAATGATAAACACGTTTGTACAGACACGCACCCGCCTCATGTAAACTCCCCACCACCCCACCCTCTGTAGGAGGAATATTACCCTCCTTTCACTGCTGGGGAGACAGACTCAGCAGGAAGGGGTGATACCAGGGTGTGACCCCAGTTCTGTCTGATTCTGGAGGCTGGACATGGAACCATTGGTCTATGCTCCTCCACCAAAGAAAATCCACAAGACTAGTTCTAGGTTTTGTTGCATATAATTTGCCTCCAGGAGCAGGGAAAAAGGAACCCCACCAGGCTGATGGAATTCCTGAGAATCCCGAGACAGAGCCAAGTACTTGGCTATGCTCAGCCACATTAAGGAACCAAGGGGGACAGAAACAGGAAGCTTATGCTGGAGTCCAGGAAATGCTGGCAGGAGGAGGAAGGGCTCATGAGAGGAGTCCTCAGAGAGGAGGCATCTTCCACACAGCAACGTGCTGCCCCCAAGTTTATAGTGAAAGCCACTAGAGGTCCAAGGCTCTCCTGGGAAGTCTCAGTCTCAATGTAAGATGGAAGGAGAAAATGGGGCTTATTGTTCTAACGTGCGAGCCCCACAAGGAGAACGAGCACAGACCAGAGACCTAGTTGTTTTCCAAGGCTAAGTGGGGCCCTGGGCTGATGGAGGATGTCCTTATTTTCCAAAGAGGGCAGGCACTAGGGGACAGACACAGCAACCACAGCCTCCCCAGATGCACCTGTCTGAGTCAGCTGTGCAGCTCACTAGACACTTCCCAGCAGAGCCTGGATACAAGTCTTAATTTGATTTTGATAGAGGATGGCAAGTCAGCATTTCTTCTACTCTCAACTATGTGGACTAAGGGTTATACTTATTTCATTGATTATCTATTCCCATAGCACCCTTTCTGCAACACACTGTATAATTGTTGGCTCAATATTGGTCTCTCTACTTAGACTATCAGCTATATGGATCTCTGTTTTCTTCCTTATAACTGCTTTTCCAGACCCTTGGACAAAGTAGACATGCAATATTTATTGAAATAAATGGAAATAAATAAACTGATTGGTTGAATGAATGAATGCCTGACCAGGTGCTCATTGTTAGTAAGGACCTTCAGTAGAAGGAAGTTCTGTTCCTTTTTGCTGTGTGTCCTCTGAGTAGTAACCTCTCTGCAGTCCTACCTGCTCATCCAGCAGCAGGGCCAATCCCTTGCTTTCTCAGAACCCAGGAGGCTCAGCTGGGCAGGTATGCAGGTCTCTCTCTGGAACTGGGGGCCCCTTGTCTGTGTTTTGAAATTACCTGATCATCAGTTAGCTGATGCCTGTGTTTCAGGCTGCATAACTCAAATTCATTTACGCTTCCTCCATTTTTCCCTTCTTCTAAACACAGTTTAAATTCACCTCCTCCAGGGGACCTCCCCAAACCACTCCAGACTGTAGGAAGCATCTCTTCTCTCTTTCTCCCTCTCTCAATCAAATAATAAAGACACATAGTAAAAAGACATAGGTGAGTCTTTTACCCCTGACTCGTGGATCACCTCACCACTTCTTAAAGTCAATCACAATAACTGGTTCTTTTTTCATTCCTTCCATAGATATTTCTTATGAATATAGATAAGCACATATATGCTGCCCCCTTTTACATAAATGGTACTATTTTGCACAGTCTGTATTTTTTTCCTTGAAATTACACCTTTAAAATCTTTCCATGGCCATATTTATAGTACCACCTTATTCTTTCAAAGAGCTATACAGTCCTTCCTTCCCTCCCTCCCTCCCTTCCTTCTTTCTTTCCCTCCCTCCCTCTCTCCCTTTCTCCCCTCCCTCCCTCCCTCTCTCTCTCTTTTTCTCTCCTTCCTTCCTTCCTTCCTTCCTTCCTTCCTTCCTTCCTTCTAACAGGGTCTCACACTGTCTTCCAGGTTGTAGTGCAGTGTTGAAATCTCAGCTCACTGCAACCTCTGCCTCCTGGGTTCAGATGATTCTCCTGCCTTAGCCTCTCAAGTAGTAGGAATACAGGAATGCACCACCAAGTCCCTCTAATTTTTGTATTTTTGGTAGAGATGGGGTTTTACCATGTTGGCCAGGCTGGTCGCAAACTCCTGGCCTTGAGTGATCTGCTGGCTTTGGCCTCCCAAAATGCTGGGATTACAGGCATAAGCCACCACACCCAGCCTAAGAGCTGTATAGTAGTTCATCGTATGGTTGTATCACAGTTTATATAACTATTTCTAGTCTTTTATATTACAAAAGATGCTTTAATTAGTATTCTTGTACATATATATGAGCACATATATTTGTGAGGGGTAAAAGCCTAGAATTGAAATAGCTAGTTGGGCGTAGTGACACACACCTGTAATCCCAGCGCTTTGAGAGGCTGCGGCAGGCGGATCACCTGAGGTCAGGAGTTCGAGACCAGCCTGACCAACACATAGTGAAATCCTGTCTCTACTAAAAATGCAACAATTAGCTGGGTGTAGTGGCGCACACCTGTAGTCCCAGCTACTTGGGAAGCTGAGGCAGAAGAATCACTTGAATCCGGGAGACGGAGGTTGCAGTGAGCTGAGATTGCGCCATTGTGCTGCAGCCTGGGTGACAGAGCCATACTCTGTCTTTCAAAAAAAAGAGAGAGAGAGTCAAGAGTGGGAAAAGAGTGGAGTGTGTGAGCAGTACAGCAGCCTCCTCTCCTCTCCTCACCTCGTTCTCACGGACTACTTTTACCGTCCCCGCCTGCTCGACGCCCAGAACACCTTCCACCATGACCACCTCAGCAAGTTCCCACTTAAATAAACGCATCAAGCATCAAGCAGGTGTGCATGTCCCTGCCTCAGGGTGACAAAGTCCAGGCCATGTATATCTGGATCGATGGTACTGGAGAAGGACTGTGCTGCAAGACCCGGATCCTGGACAGTGAGCCCAAGTGTGTGGAACAGTTGCCTGAGGGGAATTTCGATGGCTCTAGTACTTTTACAGTCTGAACAGTGACATGTATCTCGTGCCTGCTGCCATGTTTCAGGACCCCTTCCATAAGGACCCTAACAAGCTGGTGTTGTGTGATGTTTTCAAGTACAATCGAAAGCCTGCAGAGACCAATTTGAGGCACACCTGTAAATGGATAATGGACATGGTGAGGAACAAGCACCCCTGGTTTGCCATGGAGCAGGAATATACCCTCATGGGGACAGATGGGCACCCCTTTGGTTGGCCTTCAATGGCTTCCCGGGACCCCAGGATCCATATTACTGCAGTGTGGGAGCAGACAGAGCCTACAGCAGGGACATCGTGGAGGCCCATTACGGGGCCTGCTTGTAAGCTGGAGTCAAGATTGCAGGGACTAATGCCAAGGTCTTGCCTGCCCAGTGGGAATTTCAAATTGGATCGTGTGAAGGAATCAGCATGGGAGATCATCTCTGGGTGGCCCATTTCATCTTGCATCCTGTATGTGAAGACTTTGGAGTGATAGCAACTTTTGATCATAAGCCCATTCCTGGGAACTGAAAGGGTGCAGGCTGCCACACCAACTTCAGCACCAAGGCCATGCGGAAGGATAATGATCTGAAGTACATTGAGAAGGCCATCAAGAAACTAAGCAAGTGGCAACAGTACCACATCCACGCCCATGATCCCAAGGGAGGCCTGGACAATGCCCGACGCCTAACTGGATTCCATGAAACCTCCAACATCCATGACTTTTCTGCTGGTATAGCCAATCGTAGTGCCAGCATAAACATTCCCCAGACTCTCGGCCAGGAGAAGAAAGGCTACTTTGAAGACCATTGCCCCTCTGCCAACTGCAACCCCTTTTTGGTGACAGAAGCTCTCATCCGCACGTGTCTTCTCAATGAAACCTGCGATGAGCCCTTCCAGTACAAAAACTAAGCGGACTAGACCTCCAGCTGTCAAGACCCTCCTAGTTCTTCATCCCACTGCAACTCTTCCCCCTCTCCCAGTTGTCCCAGTTGTAACTCGAAGGGTGGAATATCAAGGTTTTTTTTTTTTTTTTTAAAGGAGAGAAAAAAAGAAAAAAGGAAATAGCTGGATCAAGGGACTTTTTTCATTCCCATTTTACAGATGAGATACATGCCTTTAAATCTTTGATAGATATTGGTAAATTTATTTCCAAAGAAGCTGTATCAATTTATACTCTCAACAACAAAGTATAGAAATGCCCATTCATTTGACAATGCATAGTATTATGCAAATTTTTGATATTTGCCAAGCTGACAAATGAAAAAATGGTGTCTTATAACTTTAATTTGCATTTATTTTATTTGGAAAGATGATAATATGATAACAGATAGTTATACAAGCACAGCGCTTCCTGAATACTTTTACTTGTATATATTTAAAGTACTTAAATAAATACAAATACTTAAAAATACTTAAAAGGCATTTGTAGTAATTCTATAATTGTATTCTTGTCCATTGTCCATTTTCTGTTAAGGAAATTAAATTTTTGATGATAAAAATTGAAAATAGTTTTCTCCAGCTATATTTTGCCTTTCAACTTTATGGTATTTTTTGGATGCAGATTTTTTAAAATGTAAAATTTATTATTTTAAAAAAGTTAAATCTCTAGGGATTGATTTTTGCTTAGAAAGATTAAGATGTGACTTCCTATGCTTCTCCAAGTTACCTTTTGTCTCATTTTTGCATATGACTTTGTGACTCATCTAGATTCTATTTTTGTGTACAGTGTGAGATAGAGATTTGTCCTGATTGTTTTTCCAGAGGCTAGCTGTTTTCAACAGCACCTTTTCTTTTCTGATTAGAAATGACACCTTTCTCATGTTCCAGATGACCCAACACATTTAAGTCTGTTTCTATAATTTATACTGTTCTAGTGATCTACTTCCTTATTTAGGTATCAATACCAAATCACTTCATTTACAGTGGTCTTATAGTGTATTTTAATAGGTGGTATTGTTATTTCTCAGGATTTTATGATTATTTTTTCTTTTTTATTTATTTTAATAATTTTATTACTTTATTTAATAAATATATTAATACATTTATTAATTTATTTAATAATACGTCTCCCTGTGTCTCCCAGGGTGGAGTGCAGTGGCAAGATCTAGGCTCACTGCAACCTCCGTCTCCCGGGTTAGCGCAATTCTCTGCCTCAGCCTCCCGAGTAGCTGGAATTACAGGTGCCCGCCACCACGCCTGGCTAATTTTTTTTTTATTTTTAGTAGAGACAGGGTTTCATCATCTTGGCCAGACTGGTCTTGAACTCCTGACCTCATGATCCACTCACCTTGGCCTCCCAAAGTGCTGGGATTACAGGTGTGAGCCACTGTGCTCGGCCTTTTCATGCGAGCTTTGGAATCAGATTGTCTTATATTAACAAAAATGCTCATTGGTATTTTAACATTTATTTAAGTTTATAGATTAATTTCTTAGGGCAGTTTTTGGTTTACAGAAAAGCTGAGCAGAAAGCACAGAGTTTCTATACATTTCCCCCTCCCATACCATAGTTTTCTTTTTCTTTTCTTTCTTTTTTTTTTTTTGAGACAGGGTCTCACTCTATCATCCATCTGGAGTGTAGTGGCGTGATCACGGCTCACTGCATCCTCAGCCTCCTGGGCCCAAATGATCCTTCCACTCCAGCCTCCAGAGTAGCTGGGACCACATGTGTGTGCCACCATGCCTGGCTAATTTTTTAGTTTTTTGTAGAGATGGGGGTCTCCCTATGCTGCCTAGGCTAGGCTTGAACTCCTGAGCTCAAGTGATTCTCCTCTCTCAGCCTTCCAAAGTGTTGGGATTGCAGGCATGAACCACCATTCCTGGCCAGGTTTCCCTATTTTTAATATCCTGTATTTTAATATCTTGTAATTAAAGTTGATGAGCCAGTATTGATATGCTATTGTTAACTGAAGGCCATACTTTACTCCAAAGAGTATTGTATGTGCTTTGGATTGTAAGTGCTAAGAGTTTTGACAAATGCATAATGTCATGTGTCTACCATTGCAATATCATCCAGAATAAGTAGTTTCACTGCCCTAAAAATCCCATGTTTCACCTATCCATCCCGCTCTCCCTGGTCCTCCGCTGAATCCCTGACAGCAGTTGATCTTACTACTATCTTCACAGTTCTGCCTTTTCTAGAATGTCAAATGGTTAGAATCATATAGCCTTTTCATCCCTCACTTAGCGGTTTGCATTTAGGTTTCTGCCATGTCTTTTTGTGGCTTGGTGGCTCATTTCTTTTCATTACCGAATAATATTCCATTATATGAATGTACCACAGTTGATCCATTCAGCTATTGAAGAACATCTTCGTTGCTTCTAATTTTTGGCAATTATAAGTAAAACTGCTATAAACATTTATGTTTGGGATTTTGTGTGAACATAGTTTTCGGCTAATTTGGGTAAACACCTAGGAGCTTGATTATTGGATCATATGGTAAGAAAATATTTAGCTTTCTAAGAAACTGCCAAACTGTTTTCCAAAGTAGCTGCAATGTTTTCTAATCCTACCAGCAATGAAGGAGAGTTCCTGTTGCTCCATTATGGGTATTTTAATTGGATTAGCATTAAATTTATAGATTAATTTAGGAGTAATTGAACATTTCATTATATTTATTGGTATTATCCAAGAATAGGGTAGATCTTCCAAATTATGAAATCTTCATTTATACTCCAAGTACCTTTTTTTTTTTTTTTTTTTTTTTTTGAGATGGAGTCTCACTCTGTTCCCCAGCCTGGAGTGCAGTGACTTGATCTCAGCTCACTGCAACCTCCACCTCCCAGGTTCAAGCAATTATCCTGCCTCAGCCTCCCGAGTAGCTGGGACTACAGGTGTGCACCACCACATCTGGCTAATTTTTTTTTTTTTTTTTTTTTTGGTAGAGACAGGGTTTCGACGTGTTGGCCAGTCTAGTCTTGAACTCCCGATCTCAGATGATCTGCCCACCTCGGCCTCCCAAAGTGCTGGGATTATAGGCGTGAACCACTGCACCTGGCCCCATGTAGCATTTAAAGTTTTCTCTAAGCAGTGTTGGGAGATAATTCTCCAGGGGGCCCTCCTGTTTCTGCATGTCTTGTGTTTTTCTGCCTTTGTTCTAGACTATCTTTTCAAGGACGTAGTGTAGCAAACAGACTTAAAAGATAGAGTTAGCATCTCTCTTAGTGGCAGAGGGCAGGCATGTTTAAGGTCTAGTATAAAATATTCAGATTCCCTGAACTCAGGCCTCTCGTCCTGTAGTGCAGACCACTGCAGGTGCAGGTGTCACCTGGCCCTCTTTTGCCCTGCCTTGCAGAAACTAGAGCTTAGGAAATTGTCACAAGAAAATGCTAATAGTCTGACTACTGTTATTACTGTAACAAAATCCTTTGTTTCTGATGAAGGAGTCTTATGTCTCTGCCAACATCCATGAAACTGTGGCAGACTAAATTTTTAGCTTGCAAGTAGGGAAAGATGATTTTTACTTAGTAGGAAGAAAATATGTTGTTTAGTAGGAAAAAATATGTTGTTGTTGTTTCCATATAATGGAACTATTCTTATTATTTTAAAAGTCTATTTTTAAACTTGAGATGGAGTTTTGCTTTGGTTGCCCAGGCTGGAGTGCAATGGTGCGATCTCAGCTTACTGCAACCTTCGCCTCCCAGGTTCAAGCGATTCTCCTGTCTCAGCCTCCCGAGTAGCTGAGATTACAGGTGCATGCCACCACGCCCGGCTAATTTTCGTATTTTTAGTAGAGACAGGATTTCATCATATTGGTCAGGCTGGTCTCAAACTCCTGACCTCAGGTGATCTGCCCACCTCGGCCTCCCAAAGTGCTGGGATTACAGGCGTGAGCCACTGCGCCTGGCCTGACATTTATTATTATTAAAAGTCTATTTTTTGTTACATAGTCACCTTACTAAATTCTCTTATTACTTCCAATAGTTTTATAGTTAGTTGTCTGTACATAATCATATTAGCTGCAATAAATAACTTGGCTTCTTTCTTTCCAGTATATCTCTTTCTTTTTTCTGTCTTGACCAGTACTTCCAGATATATGCTAAATAGAAGTAACGATAATTAAAAAACTTGTCTAGTTTCTGACTTTAATTGAATTGTTTATCACACTTCACCATTTATCCTGACACTAGGCTTTGGCTTAAGAATTTATATAGCTACAAAAATATGTATAGATAGGCACGGCTGTATGTGCTTGTATTAAGGGAGAATTATTTAAAAATCAAGGAGGAAGGTTTAATTTTTTTTTTTTTTTTTTTAGACAGAGTCTCACTCCATCATCCAGGCTAGAGTGCAGTGGCACCGTCTAGGCTTACTGCAAACTCCGCCTTCCCGGTTCAGGCGAGTCTGGTGCCTCAGCCTCCTGAGTAGCTGGAATTACAGGTGTGTGCCACCATACCCAGCTAATTTTTGTATTTAGTAGAGATGGGGTTTCACCATGTTGGCCAGGCTGGTCTCAAACTCTTGACCTCAAGTGATCTGCCTGTCTTGGCCTCCCAAGTGCTGGGATTACAGGCATGAGCCACCATGCCCAGCTGATGTTTAATTTTATCAAATGATTTTATAGCATCTCTGGATATACAATTTTATTTATGTTTTTACTTTGATCAATTAATAGGCTAAGTTAGTAAATTATGTAAATAGATTCCTTAATATTTAGCTGTTCTTTCCAGGTTCAAATCTATTTTGTTCTGGTATATTATTTTTTAATAAGTTTCTGAATTATATTTATTAATACTTTTTATTTATTATTCTGCACTCATATTCATAAATTATTCCATAAAGTGTGATGTTATTGTGATATATTTATTAAATGTGGTATCAATAAATAATGAATCTATGGAAAGAATTTGGAAACTTTCTTTTTTAATGTTCTGGAATAGTTTACTGATATTGGAAGTTTCTGTTTTTCAAACATTTGTAGTTGTTTGCTTCTAGTGCTTTTCATTAATTTATTTATTTGAATTTTTAAAAATTGTAAGCTTATGAGGTGTATATACATATTTTTTTGTTTTGTTTTGTTTTTGAGACAGAGTCTTGCTCTGTTGCCTAGGCTAGAGTGCAATGGCATGATCTCAGCTCACTGTAACCTCTGCCTCCCGGGTTCAAGCAATTCTCCTGCCTCAGCCTCCCCCAGTAGCTGGGACTATGGGTGTGCACCACCACGCTTGGCTAATTTTTGTATTTTTAGTAGAGACAGAGTTTCGCCATGTTGACAAGTCTGGTCTTGAACTCCTGACCTCAGGTGATCTCCCCACCTTGGCCTCCCAAAGTGTTGGGATTACAGGCATGAGCCACCATGCCTGGCAGAGGTATATGTATTTTTGAGGTACAGGGTGATGTTATGATTTGTAAATACAATGTGGGATCATTCAATCAAGCTAACATATCCATCACCTCAAATTCTTACCATTTTTTTGTGGTGAGAATATTTGAAATTTACTCTTTCGGCAATTTTGAAGTGTGCAATACACTATTATTAACTGTATTCATCATGCTATGCAATGGATCTAAAAAAAAAACCCTTATTCTTCCTGAGATTTTGTACCCTTTGACCATCAACTCCCCATTCCTCACGTACCCCAGCCTCTATAACCACCATTCTACTCTCTGCTTCTTTGAGTTTGATTGTTTTAGGTTCCATATATAAGTGAGAACACGTGGTATTATTTTTCTGTGCCTGGCTCACTTCACATAGCATAAGGTGCTCTAATTCTATCCATGTTGTCTCAAATAACAGGATTCCCTTCTTTTAAAGTCCAAATAGTATTCCATTGTGTATATGTCCACATTTTCTTTATCCATTTATCTATTGATGGGACACTAAGTTTGATCCCATAACTTGGCTATTGGGAATAGTGCTGCAATGAACATGTTTTGTTTTTGTTTCTCTTTGTGTGTGTGTGTGTGTGTGTGTGTGTGGTTTTTTTTTTTAGCTAGAGTCTCTAGAGTCTCTGTCACCCAGGCTGGAGTGCAGTGGCGCAATCTTGCCTCACTGCAACCTCCACCTCTTGGCCTCAAGCCATCCTTCCACCTCAGCCTCCCGAGTAGCTGGGACTACAGGCATATGCCACTATGCCAGGCTCATTTTTGTGTTTTTTTGTAGAGAGAGGGTTTTTCTATGTTCCCCAGGCTGGTCTCAAACTCCTAGGCTCAAGCAATCCACCTACCTGGGCCTCCTGAAGTGTTAGAATTACAGGTGTGAGCCATCACGCCCAGCAATGCAATGACTATGGGAGTGCAGGCAAACTGATTTCAAATCTTTTGGGTAAATACCCAGAAGTGGGATTGCTGGATCATTTGGTAACTCTGTGTTTTTTGAGGAATCTGCATATAGTTTAATGGCTATCCTAATTTACATTCCCACTCATCTACTGCTTTTTAAATGGGAAGCTTTGATAAAATTTTAAATATTTTCTATTGTCTTTTAACTTCTTTTAAGCCACTTATACCTTGTTTCATTTTCATTAGTGCTTGGCTATATGTTAACTTGTACATAGTTAAAATGTTTCATACAGGCTGGGCACAGTGGCTCATGCCTATAATTCCAGCACTGTTACACCTGATGGGTTCTTTTTTGCCCACTGCCCACAAAAATCAATGCACTGAGAACAGCAGATATTGTGGCAAAGAAAGAGTTTCATAACTGCAGGGCCAGCCAAGCCAAAGGATAGGAGGTATTTCCCAAATCTGCCTCTCCGAGATTTTGGAGGCTAGAGTTTTTCAGGGTACTTTGATAAGCAGGGAGCTCAGGAACTGAAACAATTGATTGTCTGGAGATGAAATCACAAGGGTGTCTACACTGTCTTTGTGTAGTTGACTCAGTTCCTGGGATGGGGTCTCAGGATCAGTAGCATCTCTTGGTCTGTTGAAATGTTAAATCTGAAAAATATCTCAAAGACCAGTTCTTTATTTCACAATAGTGATGTTATCTATAGGAGTAGTTGGGGAAATTATAAATTTTGTGACCACCCCCCGCCAGTTATGTGACTCCAGAGCAGCAAACAACGTACGGAAAAGCAAGCTACGAAATGATAGGTCATTGTTTAACTAAGCCTATTCTTTACCAAAGTTCAAGCCCCTACCATAATTCTTATTTATTTATTTTTTATTTTTTGAGACACGATAGGTCGTTGTTTAACTATACTTATTCTTTACCAAAGTTCAAGCCCTACCATAATTCTTCTTATTTATTTATTTTTTATTTTTTGAGACAGAGTCTCACTCTGTTGCCCAGGCTGGAGTGCAGTGGCGCAATCTTGGCTCACTGCAGTCTCCACCTCCCAGGTTCAAGCGGTTCTCCTGCCTCAGGCTCCCGAGTAGCCGGGAGCTAATCTAGTAGACTAGGGCACAGAGACTCAGGAAAAAAAGTTCCCATGGCTCATTAGCCATATCGAAACTCACAAAGTCAGAAGATCACAGGAGTTGTAAAGGATCATAGAGGTCATGAAGGACAACCTCTATGACATTTCTGATGGATGCTCATGTGACTATTTAAATACTTACAGCAATGAAGAACTCATTGCCCTATAAGTTAATTTATAAACATTAGGAACAGATAATTCTTTAGGTTGAGCCAAAAACCACATCTTGGAAATTTCCACCTATTGGCCTGCAAACAAATCCACTTCTACATGATGTCAAGTATGTGCCTTGAGTTTTCATTGTTTCAGGCCAAACACTTCCAATTTCTTTGGCAGCGCTGAGTGGTGATTCAGAACAGAGTCTCTGCAGTTATGCTCAAGGGCAATGATTTACGTAGCCAAGTGGTGGGCAGTCTTTTTCTGTAAATGTCCAGATAGTATAAAGTACTTGAGGCTTTGTGGGCCTTACAGTCTCTGCTGCAACCACTCAATTCTGCAATTGTTGCATGAAAGGAACCACAGACAGCATTTAAATATATAGGTGTATTGCAATAAAACTTTATTTACAACAACAGGGTAGGCTTGGATTTGGGCGGTAGTTTGACGATCTCGGATTTAGCCAGTTCTCACGTGGTTTCTAGGCTTTCATCAGTTGAGAGGATTGATCTGGAGGACAACACTCCAGATGAGGTTGACCAGTATGCATCTAACCGGCTTGTTGCCTCTCATAAGAAGAACAAAGATATAGAAGATGGTACACAGACGATTTAGCAGCAGAGAATGCTAGCTCTGCAACATACTAGCTGTGTGCCTTTGAGCAATTATTCATCTTCTTCTGAGCCTTGGCTTTGGCATTCTTAAGGCCAAGATTCTCATACCTATTCTGTAGAATTGCTTTGCAGATTAGGGATAAAGCATGTAATGTACCTAGCTCAGTGTTGGGCACTTAGAAAGCAGCAATAAATATTAGTTGTTGTACATGATGATGTGCTGTTCGGTTCTATTGTGGCTGAGCTTTCTAAGTCTAACCTGCAGGAAGGAGAAGGAAAATTCCACTCTGTTTGAAATTAGGCTATGGCAGTCAGTTTCTGCCCTACTCACTCTGCTGCTCACTCCACCCTCTGTGCCTCCACCTGTTCCCCAATTAACACCCTATAGTGCTGAACACCTGTGCGGAAGACATTAGCAGGCTCCTTTCCAGCACTGTCATTGCTACCTCACTAACCCTGAACCCCCAGCCCACTGCCGGGTCTTGCAGGTGTTTGCCTGCAGGAAGGCTTTCGGGTTTGCTGAGCTTGCCCTGGGACAAGAAATTAATGTGGTAATTAATGCAAATGTATTTGCAGAAACTTCTCTCCTGGGCCCTAATCAAAAGAGATGGATCTTCACATTCCTTCAACTTTGAAGATATAACTGTTTGTGTGTGGGGGTGTGTTGGGGGCAGTGGAGTGCATTGAGGAAGAAAGAGAAACAAGGAGGAGAGCCAGGGAGAGACGGAGAAAAGCCAATGAGAGGGCAGGGGGAGAAAACCAGCTTTCTTCTCTGTACCAGGTGGTGAGAGGGAAGGAGAGCAACATCAGGTTTTGAAATCTCAACTCTCACCTTCTTAAGTTCAAATTGAGGAAAGTGAGGAGGCCTGGTAATCTCACAATTCTTCCCATAAAATGGACCAACAAGCAACTTTCTAAGTGGCTCCCATGCACCTTGCATGATGCTAAATGCTCTGCAGTTGTTATTTTTTATTTTTATTTATTTATTTTTGAGACAGTGTTTTGTTCTGTTGCCCAGGCTGGAGTGCAGTGGCACGATCTCGGCTCACTGCAACCTCTGCCTCCCAGGTTCAATCAATTCTCCTGCCTCAGCCTCCTGAGTAGGTGGGACTACAGGCACCTGCCACCACGCCTGGCTAATTTTTGTAATTTTAGTAGGACGAGGTTATACTATGTCGGCCAGGCTGGTCTTGAACTCCTGACCTCAAGTGATCCACCCGCCTTGGCCCCCCAAAATGTGCGATTACAGGTGTGAACCACCACGCTCAGCCTCCGCAGTTGTTATAATTGCTTTTTTTGACCCATATATGTAAACACTTGGTGTTCAGGATCCCAGCCATGGGCTTGTTCTAACTACCCCACTTGCCAGCATGAACAGGAAGTTGCACTTATAAAATCATTGTCTTTAGAACCTCAAGAATGTAGGAAGTTCAGAGAAGTTCTTCTCAGCCATAGTGTGTACATGAACCACCTGGTGCCTTTGTTAAAATGCAGATTCTGATTCAGTGCATCTGAGGGAGTGGAGATTCTGCATTTTATTTATTTATGTATTTATTTATTTGAGACAGAGTCTTGCACTGTTACCCAGGCTTGAGTGCAGTGGCGCTATCATAGCTCACTGCAGCCTTGAACTCCTGGGCTCAAGCGATCCTCCTTCCTCAGCCTCCTGAGTAGCTAGGGCTGCAGGTGCACACCACCATGCTAGACTCATTTTTATTTTTATTGTTTTGTAGAGACAGGGGTCTCAGTATGTTGCCCAGGCTGATCTTAAACTCCTGGCTTCAGGTGATCCTCCTGCTTTGGCCTCCCAAAGTACTAGAATTATAGGCATGAGCCACCGCACCTGGCTTTGATTCTGCATGTTAACAAGCTCTCAGGTGACACTTGTGCTGCTGTATCCCAGTTGGGTAGTAAGAATATAGACCAATGCCATTTTGAGTCAGTCTCAAAGACTACTGCTTCCAACATGATGCCGTCTTCTTTTATTGATAGCGATGTTTAGTTGTTTAATAAAGTGTTAGAGGTTCATAAAGGTAAGCATCTGTGGGACCAGGGCTTATTTATGCATTGGGCCTGCTTGCCCAGTCCAGAGTTAGACTCTGAGCCTTCCAGTGTAGTCTATAGACATCGATTCTGACCATGAACCAGTATTGATCCTTGTCTCATACTAGTAAGACTATCCTTTTTTTAAATTAATTAATTAATTATTTCAGATGGACTCTCACTCTGTCGCCCAGGTTGGAGTGCAGTGGTGAGATCTCGGCTTACTGCAGCCTCTGCCTCCTGGGTTCAAGCGATTCTCCTGCCTCAGCCTTCCGAGTAGCTAGGATTGCAGGCACATGCCACCACACTTGGCAAATTTTTGTATTTTTTTTTAGTAGAGACGGGGTTTCATCATGTCGGCCAGGCTGGTCTTGAACTCCTGACCTCATGCAATCTGCCCTCCTCTGCCTCCCAAAGTGCTGGGATTACAGGCGTGAGCCACCACAATGGGCCAAATAAGCCTATTTCATAACTGACAAATCCCAGACCTCAAATCAAGTGGCAAACCCCAAATCAGTTTTTACTGTAAGTTTGGGTAAACCCAAATCAGTTTCTACCCTACGTTTCCTCAGGGTAGAGACTATTATCATTCTGAACTAAAAACGAACAAGAAATGAAGTTGGAAGATTAAAGTTGAATTAGCAGAGATGCTGACATTTACTAGCAAAATATTTAATCCCCCTGGGCATCAGTTTTATCATCTGTCAAATAGGGCGATATGCCATACCATCTATTTTGAAGGATTGATGGATAAGGACCCCAAATCCATAAATAAAGATAATATATGGGCTGGGTGAGATGGCTCACACCTGTAATCCCAGCATTTTGGGAGGCCAAGGTGGGCGGATCACCTGAGGTCAGGACTTCAAAGCCTGGCCAACATGGCGTAACCCCGCAAAAATACAAAAATTAGCCAGGCATGGTGGCGTGTGCCTGGAATCCCAGCTACTTGGGAGGCTGAGGCAGGAGAATCACTTGAACCTGGGAGGCGGAGGCTGCAGTGAGCCAAGATCGCGCCACTGCACTCCAGCCTGGGTGACAGAGTGAGACTCTGTCTCAAAAAAAAAAAAGATAATACATGGCAAAGTGCTCTATAAAGTAACATCGTTTTGAGACAAAAGACATAAATGTTTTACCTTTCCAGAATAAAACCAAAGAACAAGAACTGTGCATATTGTTCTGTTGGAAGCCAAGGATGAATTGCAGAATCTGGTGTTTGGTAAAGGTCTAAAAGATTTATGTCAATAGGACTGTGCTCTCTTGTCTAATTATCAGGGACTACCATTGCACAACTCAAATGTGTTTATGGAGATGACTAAACAGTTAAAATGTGAAATGTCTTAGAAAATCTTAACCTTTGGTTTCTCTATAATTACGCTACCTGTCTGCTCACACATAGATTTCTCTGTCATCAAAAGAGGCATATAATTCCCACAACTTCGAGTTCACTCCAAGAAGCTTATTCAGTTAAGGTTACGGAACTCCAGGGAGCTGCAAATTTCCATGTGTGCCTGGCTCTGCAGCTTCTTGCATTGCTGTTCTGTGAGTCAGATCATGAAATCCATGATCTGAGAGCTGGAAGGGCCTTTCAACATGGTTCAGCCCAAGGTCCTTTTTTTCCAGATGGGAACAGTGTGGCTGTCTGAGACCACCCTGCCTGTCAGTAGAGAGCCAGGACAGGGACTCATGGCTTGGGATCCCTGACCCAGCGCCTTTCTCTACACCAGGTTGTCAATCACTGTTTAGGAACTTGCGATAATGCAGCACAAGCTTTTTTCTCTCTGGGCAGCTGACTGTGCTTGAAACCAAATGACCTTGCATACTCTCGTGGCTGTTCTCAAGGACCACCCAATCACTCAGGCTAATACATCACTTTTCAGCAAAAAGCTTGTGGTATCATCATCAGGAAACCCAGTCAGATACTCCAGGGACCATGGTAGAGATGGAGGAGGTTAATACAAGCATGGAGAGATGCTGTCTAGAAGTCATCATCATTTTCTTGTTTATGGGTAGTATTAGAGCCAAATGAAGTTATGACTGTAAAATTAGTGATAGTAGTGATTTATTAATATGATACTAATAATGTCAGTAGAATTTGATGTCAATTTTGATTTGCCTAAGTCCTTTTCTTCCTTCCTTCCTGCCTGCCTGCCTTCCCTTCCTCCCTGCCTCTTTCCTTCCTTCCTTCCTTCCTTCTTTTTTCTTTTTTCTCTCTTTTTTTTTTTGAGACCAGGTCTTGCTATGTCACCCAGGCTGGAGTACAGTGACACAATCATAGCTCACTGCAACCTTGACCTCCCAGGCTCAAGTGATCCTCCTGCCTCAGTCTCCTGAGTAGCTAGGACTACAGACACATGCCACTAGGCCCAGCTAGTTTTTGTTTATTTTATTTTTTTGTAGAGACGGCATCTCATCATGTTGCCCAGGCTGGTCTCAAACTCCTCCCGCCTTGGCCTTTCAAAGTTCTGGGATTATAGGTATGAACCACCATGCTTGGCTCTGACCATTTTCATAGATCACCTGAATTCTCCTTGGTTTGGGTCCACCATAAACTGACCGTATGACCCTAGGACAAGGCTTCCACCTTCCTGGGCTCCAGCTAGATCACTTTTAGAGTATAGATTCCACTTCTGCCTTCCAGAAGAGGAGCTGTTACAGAGAATGATAGAGTTTTGACTGAAGTTGACATCTCCTGTATATATAATAAATTGGCTTCAAGATTGTGCTTGACAGACTAATGTAATCATTAGTTAAGGTCTTTTTTTTTTTTTTTTTTTTTTTTTTTTGCTGAGCAGCTCAGGGCTCTTTCTAGCTTTTACTTAACCGTGCTTGTTTTTATATTCTCTGCAGGATGACAGTCTGAATTAGAGACTGGCAAAAGGGACAAGGGCTCTGTTCTGAAGGGATCAGCCTGGCTGTGAATCTTAAAAATGGACCTCCATTGACCCCAAATGCCCAGGTCTGCCATTCAGAAGGCCACATCTAATGTGGGTGCCCATGTGAGAAGCAGAACTGCATAGCAGCCCCCCAGATTTGGTGCACATTAGAATCACCCTGGGACCTTTTCGAATTCCTGATGTCCGGGCTGCACCCCTTCCCATCAGACCAGAAAGTCTGGGGTGGGAGTCAGGACCAGGGTTTCCTAAAGATCAAGGTGATTTCAGTGTGCAGCAAGTTTGTGATTCATTGAGACGGAAGACAGGCCCCTTGTTCATAAGCGAAGCAGAATGGTATCTTCAGCCTGTCTTTTACCTCCCCTTTGGATTGATTTTATTGAAGATGATGAAAAAGAGAAAAAAAAAAAAAGCTACAAAAAGTACAAGCCAGGGAAAGCAGAATGAGGAAGGTGGTTAGGATTAGGGAAGACATAAAAGAGGAGGGGGTCATGGGGGGAAACTTAGGGAGGGAAAAAGGAAGGGGAGAACTTCACAGGGGTTTGTTGTAAAAGGGTGCATTTGCCTTCTCAGCTAAAGGACATGTGATGCCATAGAAGGTGGTGGGAGGGATCAGGAGGGGAACAGCATCCCTGAGAAATATGGTGGAATGTGGGTGTGGAGAGGTAAAAATATCCATTGCTACACTGTGGGCATCTCCTGGGGGATGTTTCTGTGCTGGAGGACTCATTCTTTGTAATTAAGAGAAGGGAATCCTTCTGCCACATTGCATGAGTTCCCCAAGTGAAATTTATATGCCAGGTGCAATTTATCAACTTATTAGTAGACAAATAAAAGTTTAAGCATTCAGTGTGCTTAACTATGCCCTTCCCCAGGTACTTGTGTTGCCCAAACCTAGAGACAAAATTGCTTCTTTCTACTTGAAGGCTTATACAACTTGAACTTGAAGCTCTTCTGCAGAGAGGCTCAGAGAGAAGGTTATTAGGTGCTCTGGGGAGATTATCTGAGGTCACACTGGCTTTCTTCCTGAAAGGTTCAGTGTCAATAAGAATGGGAGGCTGTGAAGCCAAGCAGACAACCCCCATGTCTGGGTTGGTTGTTCCCCTATGACTCACAGACACTGTGCCTCCACCAGCACAGCGCTTCCCAAACTCCAGTGTGGCTGTTCCCTTCTCTGTGTCCTTCCTGGGCTATAAGCCCCATGAGTGTGGATATTGCTGTTCTCGTTCATTCTCCACTGACTCTCCGGCACCTACTATGCTGTAGGTGCTGACTCCACATTTGTTCAGTGAATGAATGCTGGTTTTCCAGCTTACTTGTAAATAAACTTGGCTGGGTTGCTAATCTTCTCTAAGCTCCAGCTTTTTTTTTTTTTTTGAGGTGGAGTTTCACTCTTGCTGCCCAAGCTGGAGTGCAATGGCTTGATCTGGGCTCACTGCAACCTCCACCTCCCTGGTTCAAGCGATTCTCCAGCCTCAGCCTCCCAAGGAGCTGGGATTACAGGTGCCTGCCACCACACCCTGCTAATTTTTTGTATTTTTAGTAGAGATGGGGTTTCACTATGTTGGCCAGGCTGGTCTTGAACTCCTGACCTCAGATGATCCACCCGCCTCGGCCTCCCAAGGTGCTGGGATTACAGACATGAGCCACTGCGCCTGGCCTATTTTTTAATATGAAAAATGAGGATAACAATACACCCTTCATATTGGGGGTGTGTAGTGACCATTAGAAACACTCAATGTAAAGTGCTTTAGAGGGTCTTGCTCTAAGTGGGCACTTGGTGTGTGACCACTGTAAGCAGTTCTTGTTCCATGGGTAGGTGGAGTTCACCACCAACCCCGTTCCCTGCAAACCTGCAGTGGTTCCCCTCCACAAGTTTCCATGCATTCCCATGGTCTTCAGCTGAGCTTCCAAACATTTTCCTTTTAAACAAATCACAGTGGAGCTATTTTGACTAAGCTTGGTGTATCATTGTGAGTTTCTCAAACATAAAAACAAGGCACAGGAGGCCAGTAGTCTAGCTATGATTTTTTCTGTGCTAACACTGCTTATGTTTTTATGGGCTAATACTGTTCCTTCGAAAGAAAGAAAAATGTGGCCAGGTGCGGTGGCTCACACCTGTAATCCTAGCACTTTGGGAGGCTGAGGCGGGCGGATTACCTGAGGTCAGGAGTTCGAGACCAGCCTGGACAATATGGTGAAACCCCGTCTCTACTAAAAATACAAAAATTAACCAGACATGGTGGTAATCCCAGCTACTCGGGAGGTTGAGGCAGGAGAATCGCTTGAACACAGGAGGCAGAGATTGCAGTGAGCCGAGATCGTGCCACTGTACTTCAGCCTGGGCGACAGAGCAAGACTCTGTCTCAAAAAAAAAAAAAAAAAAAAAAAAAGAAAAAATGGAAGAATTGTCTGTAATTGCAGGGTGTGTTAGATTGAACTGTGGATAGCATCATATGTGACTTACACTCAAGGCAGGTGGATGGGCCCACTGCCACTTTGGTTCTGGAGCTCACTCTGGCAACAGCACGTGGAGCTGTCAGCAAAGTGTAACCACACTTTCTCAGGCTCATTTTCTTGTTATGAAGATCAATTTCCTGATGGCTTCTAGGCTTGGATTTCACTTCATGTTTTCTATCAGGAAACTAACATAGCTCAGCAGAGACATCTTTGGGGCTCATCTTTCCATCACAGCTGTTGGAAGGAGGACAATTTCTTTCTCTAAGTCTTGGATTTGATGACGGAAGATTTAAATTCTAGCTATGGCTTTGCACAATGATTTCCCCCAATGGGACCCCAATTTTTTCCTCTGTAAAAGAAGTTTGGACTAGAATGACTGGTTTAAAATCTGTATTCTAGAAGACTAAGGAATTATCTAGAAGTTTTGAAGGACTCTATGGAGAAGAAAGTGGAAGCTAGTAAGCCCTCCTCTTCATTTCTTTGGGCAAAGCTACTCCTGTTTTATCTGCTTTACATATTACGTAGCAGCTTCTCTCTCTTTTTCTTTCCTTCCCTCCCTTCCTCCATCCCTCCCTCCATCCCTCCTGCCCTCCCTCCCCGCCTCCCTCCCTTCCTTTCTTCTTCTTTCCCTCCTTCCCTTCCTTCCTTTATTAAACATTATGAGCTTTATAGCTAAATAAAATTTGAAAAATACTAGACTGAGAGAACCTTTGCGGTTCTAATATTCTGTGGTTCTGATTGCCATTATGTTAGTATCGAGCAATATTAATACTTAGAATATATCCAGTAATTAATAAAGAACCCTGATAAATCATCAGAGCAGAAAGCTTTCACGCCTTCCTTCAGACCCTGTGTACTACTGAGCTCCTCCAGAAAAAAGGATATCCGTGACTGGACATTTACATTATACACTTTCTATTGTTCTTCAAGGTACTTTTTTGTCCCTATATATTACTTTTTTCCCTCCAGTTTTTGTTTTTTAATAAATAACCAGCTTCACCTATAATAATGTAGAGGAACTAGGTTTTTTAAAAAATTAATTTATTGGTTACTTCATAAATCTTGGAAGAACAAAGGGCAAGACAAGACCCCTAGACAAAAGAGTAATGAGTACCTCTGTTTCCGCCTCTTTCTTATATGGGTTTGTGTTAGGGTCTCCCAAAACATGACACCTCCTTTGTTTAGTCCAAATCATAATTTGATTATTTTACTGTTAATGAGTTGAAAATGTTAGGACATCAAAATGTAGTGTCAAGAAATAGTTCTGGCCGGGTGCAGTGGCTCCTGTAACCCCAGCACTTTGGGAGGCTGAGGCAGGCATATCACTTGAGGTCAGGAGTTCAAGACCAGCCTGGCCAACATGGTGAAACCCCATCTCTACTAAAAATACAATAAATTAGCTGGGCATGGTGGTGGGTACCTGTAATCCCAGCTACTTGGGAGGCTGAGGCAAAAGAATTGCTTGAACCTGGGAGGTGGAGGTTGCAGTGAGCAGAGATGGCGCCACTGCACTCTAGCCCGAGCGACTCTGTCTCACAAAAAAAAAAAAAAAAAAAAAGAAATACTTCTGTATTATATACATGGTTTCTGCCTTGTTTCTGAAGGCAAATGTCTTTGATCATCCATGTGGTTCAGGACTCCAGAATAAGTTCAATTTACTTAGTCTTTGAAAGCAGATGACAGAGGGGACAGCTGCCAAACCAGATGTCCACCTTAAGGTATTTTTTTTTTTTTGAGATGGAGTCTCCTGTCGCCCAGGCTGGAGTGCAGTGGTGTGAGCTCTGCTTACTGCAACCCCCATCTCCTGGATTCAAGCAGTTCTCTTGCCTCAGCTTCCCAAGTAGCTGGGATTACAGGCGCCTGCCACCATGCCTGGCTGATTTTTGTATTCTTAGTAGAGACAGGGTTTCACCATGTTGGTCAGGCTGGTCTCGAACTCCTGGCCCCAAGTGACTGTCCCTCCCTGGCCTCCCAAATTGCTGGGATTACATATGTGAGCCACCAGACCCAGCCACCTTACAGTGTTCTAACCTCTTTTATTGTCTTTTTCAGTGCAGAAGTTGCAGGATAATTGTATTATTTAAATATAAGTCTCTTACATAATTTGGAACAAATTTTGTAGGGCCATATCATCCCAACTTGCTTTTTAAAAATCTCATTTGGACACTGAGAGACTTTCTCTCTATATTCTTTAATAAAATATCCAGAAAACAAATAAATATCATTTCTGGGCAAAGATGACCTTTTCACAGGAAATTTGAAAACATAGTATGTTCTTTCCTTTGTAGCAAATATGCAACTTCTCTTTTGGAAAATCACACACAGATCCTTCCAGTACTCTCCTTAAGAACAACAGACAATTGTCTCAGTCTGTTCATCTTGCCCGATTCTCATGAGAACAAAGAACTGTTATCCGGTGGTATCACTTGGTCTTCAAGGCTTCCCCCTTCCATGGAGATAGGAGGTACCATTAGGGAGAGCACTGGGGAGTTAATGTAAAATCTTTTGGAAACTATGTGATTCAGGCTGAAATGGAAATCTTACCTAATTTGCACAGAAAGTCATACCAACACAATATCATAATTCTTCTGACTTAATAGAAAGGTATTTTAACTCATCCCAAGGTCCCCAAAGAGCCATAGCAACCAAAACTTTGGTCAGGGATCTTAGTAACCACGATGATGGGTGTCTTAGTCTGTTTGGGCTGCTATAACAAATTGCCCTAAACCATGCAGCTTATAAATCACATTTATTCCTCATAGTTCTAGAGGCTGAGACATCCAAGATCAAGGCACTGGCTGATTCAATGCCAGGTGAAGACATGTTTCCTAGTTAAAAGATGGCACCTTCTTGCTGTAACCTCACGTAAGAGAAAGGGGAAAGAAGCTATTTTTTTTTTTTTTTTTTTTGAGACAGAGTTTCGTTCTTTGTTGCCCAGGCTGGAGTGCAATGGCATGATCTCAGCTCACCTCAGCCTCTGCCTGCTGGGTTCAAGTGATTCTCCTGCCTCAGCCTCCTGAGTAGCTGGGATTACAGGCATGCGCCACCACGCCCGGCTAATTTTGTATTTTTAATGGAGATGGGGTTTCTCCATGTTGGTCAGGCTGGTCTCGAGCTCCTGACCTCAGGTGATCCACCTGCCTTGGCCTCCCAAAGTGCTGAGATTACAGGCATGAGCCACCGCGCCAGGCCGAAAGCAGCTCTTTTGCAAGGGTACATGAGGGCACAGTCCTCATGACCTCATCACCTCCCAAAGGCCCCACCTTCTGAGACCATCATGTTGAGGATTTGGATTTCAACACAGGAATTTGCAGGATGGTGGGGGATACAAACATTCAGACCACAGCAATGCATAATATCTGTCAGTCATCAAATCAAAACCTGTCTATAAGCTTCTTTAGGATCTGACTTAGGGTCTCTAATAAGTTCTTATGCCATTAGAGTGTTTTCAGTTAAAAAGTAAAATGATCACTTGATAAAGTGTTGAAGACTAGATTGAACTGAATTTACTAAGCAGTTAAAATGTATTCAACAAACTGCAAATAAGAAAATATTATGAGTAGAGTTTGCTTGTGTCATAGTGACCAAAGATGGCTCTGTGGTAGAGTGGAAATGCTTGGGCTTTGGTGATGTACAGGTTTTAGTCAGAAACCTGCATCTGCCACTTACTACCGAATTGGGTTTGGGTACGTTTCTAAACCTTTCTCAATGTTACTCTTTTTCTTTGCATATTGGTGAAAAATAATATTTAAGTGCAAAATTACTGTAAGAATAAAGCAAGCAATTCTCATCTTGGCCATAGAATGTGCTCAATAACAATTACTAGACACAGCAATAGTCATGAAGTGATTCTGGCCCATACCTGCTTGTCATTCATTTATACAAATACTCATTTCATTCGTGAAACTCTTGTCAGGAATGACTGGGAAACAACCTGTTTTGATTCTAGTTAAGGTCTTCTGCTCCCACCTCCCCTTTTGTGGACATTCTCTGATTATCTCCCATGTGCTCCAGCAGTACCCAGTTCCCTCTTA
Organism: Homo sapiens; assembly: GCF_000001405.40. Classification (NCBI taxonomy): domain Eukaryota; kingdom Metazoa; phylum Chordata; class Mammalia; order Primates; family Hominidae; genus Homo; species Homo sapiens. Next base: position 122,593,793 of record NC_000011.10, on the reverse strand, counting down.
TTATCACTTCTGGCATACTAATTGCAAAGGGTTCTTGGTTTTTTATCCTGAAACTGCTTCAAGTTCAAGTTCACCCCCGGATTTGCATTTCCCTAGCAGTTTCTGTTCTGATTGCATACTCTGCATAGATGCAAATAGGTTTGTTCCAGCTTCATGTGAATACCCCCTGAGGTTGTGAAGTGAGATTTTCAGAATGTTTGAATTTTGGCAGAGAAAGAACAACTTCCCAGCTGAGTAATTCCTGAGAGATTTTCATCCTATGACAATAAACCCTTTACCCCACAATTGCTTCTTATGTCTCACTCTCAAATATCTATTCCTCTGCCACAGCTGTGCTTAGACATTTTAATTTCTGCCTCCTTACTGCTTTATAATTTAACTATTTCACAAGCACATACATCTAAGTGCACGTGAACCTTGAATTGTCCTTCTGGGAGAAAGGGTGGATTTCTCCTGCTCCTTCCATTACCCTCTACTGCAGACCATATTATTTGCCTACACAACATCCATTTACATTTTCTTATCTGCTGATAAATCCCATTTTTGTTCACAACGGAAATGCATCCAGCCCCAGATGAGATACTCACTTTTGCAACCTCAAGATGCTGAGAAGTGCAATAAGACAGGAAGACAAATGGAAGTCACCTAGGTAAAGTGGTTTATGAATACTGTTACAGGATAACTGTATGGGGAAAATGTTTTGGGCATGGATGGTATTTCAGAAAGATCCATGATTCAGACACCCAGGGGTAGGAGAAACAAGTGCAGAAAGAGACCATGTTAACCTGGCCAAAGTGGGGAACCTGGAGGACAGAAGAATGAAGACCACGTTAGGGCTGTCAGGAGGGTTGCAAAGCCCAGTGCCATCAATATCTAGGCAAATGGGTGTCTGTAGGAATCTGGGCAGTCATTCACACTCCGAACGAGTCAGCGTAATCTCAAACAGTGGGGATCTGACCTCCCCAAGCGTTTTACTAGGCTCCCAGCCCAACAGATAACCCAATCACCTGTCCTGTTTCACATGAACCCTTTAAAACATTTAATTACTTTTTATTTTTAGCAAAGTAATACATATCCATAGTTTAAAAAAATCGAATGATTCTAAAAATATTGTGTCAAAAAGACCAGTCCCCACATGAAAAAGAAAATAAAGACCAACTCCCATTTCCATCCTTCCTTCCCCAAGAGTCCTGCCTATGCCAGGGAAGAAGCTCATTGAACTCTTTCAACTGCTTTTCTATTATTTACATCCGTATTTCTTTTCTTTTCTTTTTTTTTTTTTTTGAGATGGAGTCTTGCTCTGTCGCCAGGCTGGAGTGCAGTGGCGGGATCTCGGCTCACTGCAACCTCCGCCTCCCAGGTTCAAGCGATTCTCCTGCCTCCATCTCCCAAGTAGCTAGGATTACAGGTGCCCACTGCCACACCCAGCTAATTATTATATTTTCAGTAGAGACAGGGTTTCACCATGTTGGCCAGGATGGTCTCAAACTCCTGGCCTCAAGTGATCCACCTGCCTCGGCCTCCCAAAGTGCTGGAATTACAGGCATGAGCTACTGCACCTGGCTGTCTATTACTTGATATACCACTTTTACATAGGATCCATTGAGTTCCATAAATGTTTGATGAAGTCCTCTGTCAAACCTCTAGGTCTGGAGTTCATACTTAAAAAATAAACTTTGACTCCTTCAGTGGTAATTGATCTGTTCAATGACCCATTTGTTATTAAGCTAATTTAGGTAATTAATCTTTTCACAGGAAGTCAACCATTTCATACAGTTTCCCAAAATTGTACGCATAGTCTTGAGCAAAGTAGTTCTATGATACCTTTAATTTCTTCTGTAAGGGTGAAGATTTTTCTCCAGTGATATGTCTAATTTTGTATATTTGTTGCTCACTTAATAAACAAATCAAGTTAGCTAAATGTTTTTGGTGGTGATGTTTTTCAAAGAACCAGGTCTTAGGTTTATTTATCAATTCTATAATTTTTCCCCATTTTATAATTTATTAATTCTTGTTTTCATTTTTTATAAATAATATCTTCTTCTGCTCCTATGTGACATTTTCATTATTGTTATTTTAAAGTGTTTTGTAATTTAGTTATAGTTTCTTCTTTGACCCAAGAGTTAAGAGGATAGGATTTTTTTTCCCTCCTTAGTGTTTTCTGTGATTTATTTTCCCATTTCTTTTTTTCCTTATTTTGTAGTGTATCTTTAATAGAGCATCTATTGGTTTCTTTTTCTTTCTTCTTTTTACTTACCAGTCATCTTTGAATGAGATAAAGTATTCTGATACCAACTATATGAAAGATGAAGTGTGCCCTGTTTCAGGCAGGTTTTCCTTAGAACCCCATGTTGTATTCGAGTGGGTTCTTTCAATGTTAAGTTTCCATAATCAACAGATTAGCAGCTGCAAGCCTGTTTACTGAGTCTCTTCCCTCTATTTTATACAAGTATTTTCAGGTTTTCTTTTTTCTTTTTTGAGACGGAGTTTCGCTCTTGTTGCCCAGGCAGGAGTGCAATGGCTCCATCTCGGCTCACTGCAACCTCCGCCTCCTGGGTTCAATCAATTCTCCTACCTCAGCCTCCCGAGTAGCTGGGATTACAAGCATGCTCAGCTAATTTTTTGTATTTTTAGTAGAGACAGGGTTTCACCATGTTGGCCAGGCTGGTCTCGAACTCCTGACCTCAGTGATGTGCCTGCCTCGGCCTCCCAAAGTGCTGGGATTACAGGAGTGAGCCACCATGCCCGGCCTTCAGGTTTTCTTTTATTAAAAATACTTCACATTCTCTAGTTACCTTTGGATAATTTCCAAGAAGAAAAGAGGGAAATGCATCTTTACTCTAGACCATGTTATAACCAGAAGTCCTGATTTCCTTTATCATTAAAAACAAAAACAAAAACAAAAACAAAAAAACTGGCCAGTGCTTTAGTAATTCTATTGAATTCGTAGCTGTTTACTATGTTCTGAGCACCAGGCCTAGGACTGAGAGCAAGTCAAGAAAGATTAAAACAAAGTATTTTTTATTTTATTTATTTGAGATGGAGTTTCGCTCTTGTTGAGTGGGCTGGAGCGCAACGGCGTGATCTCGGCTCACCGCAACCTCTGCCTCCCGTGTTCAAGCAATTCTCCTGCCTCAGCATCCTGAGTAACTGGGATTACAGGCATGCACCACCATGCCCAGCTAATTTTGTATTTTTAGTAGAGACGGGGTTTCTCTATGTTGGTCAGGCTAGTCTCGAACTCCTGACTGCAGGTGATCCACTCGCCTTGGCTTCCCAAAGTACTGGGATTACAGGCTTGAGCCACCGTGCCCAACCTTTTTTCTTTTCTTTTTTTTTTTGAGATGGAGTCTTGCCAGGCTGGAGTGCAGTGGTGTGATCTCAGCTCGCTGCAACCTCCGCCACCTAGGTTCAAGTGATTCTCCTGCCTCAGCCTCCCGAGTGGCTGGGATTACAGGCGCGTGCCACCATGCCTAGCTAATTTTTGTATGTGTAGTAGAGATGGCGTTTCACCATGTTGGCCAGGATGGGCTCGATTTCTTGACTTCATGATCCGCCCGCCTCAGCCTCCCAAAGTGCTGGGATTGCAGGCGTGAGCCACGATGCCTGGCCAGTATCTTTTATTTTAAGAAGACACTAAAAGTCTAGAGGAGAAGATGGACAGATATTGTAATGTTGGCACAAGTCAACGCTGTGGAAGATCAGAAGAGGGAGAGATTGGCTCTGGTGAGGAGTTCAGAGAAGACATCTCAGAAGGGATATTTGAGCCTGGCCTCCAAGGATCAGCACAATATTTATAAGAATAGGTAGGAAAATGAAGGGAGCAGTGGAAGGCAGTAATTTGCATCCTGAATGCATATCAATATCACTTGGTGCTTAGATAACAGCCAGGGGTGCTAGTTCTGGGTAAGATGGGGTAAACATTTTTTACCCTTCCTCCCATACTGAACATGTCTAAAACCTTGGACATGATGCATGGAATGGCTGTTTAAGGACTCTGAAAACTAAGTAGTGATGGGTGAATTGGGGATGAAGACTAGAATTCGAAGCACCATTGAACCTGCAGTGAATTTGCTATTTTTTTTCTTCCAGTATTCTCTGTCCTGAACACAACATAGCCTCAAGCCCAAAAGTGAGCACGGGACTGCAGAAAGAATTTCAGGAGAAGCATCCTAGTTCTGGTTTGAGGAGCAGGCAACTTAACCAGAGAATGAAGAAATTCCCCCCTGCTTTTTTCTCATCCCTGTTCTCTCAAATTCTAGCACTCAAGTAATCCTGTTTTGGTAATAGCAGCAGCAACAGGAGTCTGTAGAGCCAAAACACTGAGCAAGCAGGACTTTCTTTGGCTGGTGGAGTTGTGGTTCCATGAGGGTGAGGCAAACCCCCATTGCCTTTTTTTCCTCTCTGTTTTCTACTGTTTGCCCAAGATGTAAGCACAGTCACAGAAATATGCAGCTGAGTTAGGTAATTAAACAGCTTGCTTGCTTTCTCTCTCCTTTCTTTCCTTCTTTCTTTCTTTCTTTCTTTCTTTCTTTCTTTCATTTTCTTTTCTTTCTTCTTTTTCTTTTTTTTGGAGTCTCACTCTGTCACCCAGGCTGGAGTGCAGTGGCATGATCTCGGCTCACTGCAACATCCGCCTTACGGGTTCAAGCAATTCTTCTGCCTCAGCCTCCCAAGTAGCTTGGATTACAGGCACCCACCACCATGCCCGGCTAATTTTTTGTATTTTTAGTAGAGATGGGGTTTCACCATGTTGGCCAGGCTGGTCTTGAACTCTTGACCTCAAGTGATCCACCTGCCTCAGTCTCCCAAAATGCTGGGATTACAGGCGTGAGCCACGGCGTCCAGCCTAAACTGCTGGCTTTCTGATCGGTGACTGAGAGCCCAAGAAAACCAGAAAGGACTGGAGAAATCATGGAAAGAGAAAACTTCAGAAGATGACCCCACAAAGTTATTTATGAAGTCCAGGGCTCATTTCCTAGGTGCACATGCATGTTTTTGATCCTAATTAGCACACCAAAGATTTTGAGAATTGAACTAACAGATAAGCCATTGCCCAGGTCTCAGTCACAAAGCAGCCCAAATTATACTAAAGGCTTTGAAAACAGAAACGACATAGGAACCGTAGCCCACAAAGGGCAGATTGGAACTTGTGACCTGAGCCCAACTGGTTTGATTGCCTACAAAAACAAAGATGTCAACTTTCTCCACTTTATTTAAGCAAGACTCAGAGCCTGATAACATAATATCCAAAATGTCGAGGATATAATTTAAAAGTACCTGCTGTGTGAAGAACCAGGAAAATCTCAATGCACAAGGAAAAGACAACAGATGTCAATGCTGAGATGCTGAGAACACAGATGTTGGCATTATCTGACAAAGACTTTAGAGCAGCTTTTACAAAATTGCTTTGACAGCAATCATGGACACTCTTGAAATGAATGAGAAAATAAAAACCCTCTGAAAAGAAATAGAAGACATAACAGGTGCCAAATAGAAATTTTAGAACTGAAAAATATAATAAATGAATTTTAAAAACACTGGATAGATTCAATAGCAGAATGGAGATGATGAATAAAAGAGTCAATAAACGTGAAGATAGATCAATAGAAATTATACAATATGAACAACATAGAGAAAAACATGAAAAAAAAGAACAGAGCTTCAGGGACTTGTGGGACAAGAATAGTCTAACATTTATGTCATTGGTGTCTTAGAAAGACAGAGAAAAAAGTATAGCTTGAAAAAATGTTTGACTTATTAATGGCTGGAAACTTCCCAAATTTGGTGAAGGATGTAAATCTACAGATTCAAGAAACTCAGCCTCAAACACGATAAACCCAAAGAAATGCACATCTAGACAGGCCATGATCAAACTCCTGAAAACTAAAGACAAGAAAAAAACAATTGGCTGGGCATGGTGGCTCATGCCTGTAATCCCAGCACTTTGGGAGACCAAGGCGGGCAGATCACTTGAGGTCAGGAGTTCAAGACCAGCCTGGCCGACATGGTGAAACCCTGTCTCTACTAAAAATAACAAAAATTAGCTGGGTGTGATGGCGGGCACCTGTAATCCCAGCTACTCATGGGACTGAGGCACAAGAATCGTTTGAACCCAGGAGGGGGAGGTTGCAGTGGGCTGAGATCACGCCATTGCACTCCAGCCTGGGCGATAGAGTGAGACTCAGTCTCAAAAAAAAAAAAAAAAAAAAAAAAAGAAAAGAAAAGAAAAAAATAATCTTTGAAAGCGGCCAGAGAAAAACAACATGTTACTATAGAGAAACAACAATTTAAACAACTACAGATTTTTCATCAGAAACCATGGGGCACATGGAAATGATGTGCCATGGGGCACACTTTTAAAGGGCTGAAAGAACTGTAAATCCAGTGATCCAAATCCAGCAAAAGTGCCTTTCAGAAATGAAGATGAAATAAAGGTATTCTCAGACAAAAAATAGGATAGAATAGAATTCATTACCAGCAGACCCACACTAAAAGAATTGCTAAATAAAGTTTGTTAGACAGCAAAACTAAACAAAACTAAACAAGCAAATAAAAAAACCAGAAGAACTTTGGGATCATCAGAAATGAAGGAAGAGGGCCAGGATTAGTGGCTCACACCTGTAATCCCAGCACTTTAAGAGGCCGAGGTGGACGGATCACTTGAGGCCAGGAGTTTGAGACCACCCTGGCCAACAGGGTGAAACCCGTCTCTACTGAAAATACAAAAATTAGCTGGGCATGGTGGTGCATGCCTGTAATCGTAGCTACTCAGAAGGCTGAGGCAGGAGAATTGCTTGAACCAGAAAGGCAGAGATTTCGGTGAGCTGAGATCGCACCACTGCACTCCAGCCTGGGGGACAGAGCGAGACTCCATCTCAAAAAATCAAAACAAAAACAAACAAAAAAAAAAAAACAAAGAAACGAAGGAAGGGGAAATAGAAATGAAGAAATGATAAATATCAGGTAAGTATACGAGAATATTATTCTCCTTTTGAGTTCTTTACGATGTGTTGATGTTTAAAAGCAAAAATCACAAGATTGTTTGATGGAGTTTCAATGCATGTAAATGTAATATATAAGACAAGTATGACCTAAAGGTGTGTGTGTAAAGAGACTTATATTAGTAAACTTCTTTTTTTTTTTTTTTTTTTTGGAGACAGGGTCTCACTCTGTCACCCAGGTTGGAGTGCAGATGTGCAATCATAGCTCACTACAACTTTGAACTCCTGGCCTGAAGCAATCCTCTCATCTCAGCCTCCCAGAGGGTTGGGATTACAGGGGCGAGCCACTGCGCCAGGCCTATGTTGGTAAAATTTAAACAAGAAAGGAACTCGTTAAGAGACTGACAAGTTCTAGACTAGGAGACATATTTGTAAATCACGTATCTGACAAAAGACTTGTATCCAGAATATATAAAGTTTCACTCAAAACTCGTCAGTAAGACAAGCAGATTAAAAAATGGGGAGAAGCTTGAACAGATGTTTCACCAGTGAGGATATATGGGTAGAAAATAAGGTCATGAAAAGCTGTTCAACATCATCATTAAGAAAATGCAAAGTAGGCATTTTCTACTGTGGTGGCTCATGCCTGTAATCCCAGCACTTTGGGAGGCCCAGGTAGGCGGATCACTTGAGGTCAGGAGTTCCAGACTAGCCTGGGCAACATGGGGAAACCCCATCTCTACTAAAAATACAAAAATTAGCCAGGCATGGTGGCATGCACCTGTAATCCTAGCTACTCGGGAGGCTGAGGCAGGAGAATTGCTTGAACCCAGGAGGCAGTGGTTGCAGTGAGCCGAGGTCACGCCACTGCACTCCAGCCTGGGCGACAGAGCAAGATTCCGTCTCGGGGAAAAAAAAAAAAAAAAAGAAAATGCAAAGTAAAACCACAGTGATATATCTCTGTACACGTGCTAGAGAGGCTAAAATTAAAATATGGAAAATACTAGGTGCTGAGAAGGATGTAGAACAACTGGAACGTCTGTACATTGCTAGTAGATGTGAACAATGATATAACCACTCTGGAAAAAGTTTGGAAAATTATTTAACTTTAATTTTAACTTTTTTATAGAGAAGGGATCTCGCTGTGTTTCCCAGGCTGATCTTGATCTTCTGGCCTCAAGCCTTCCTCCTGCCTCTTTTTCTCAGTGCTGAGATTACAGGCATGAGCCACTGTGCCCTGTCTTGAAAATTTCTTGTAAATCATTATACACTCGCCATATGCCCCATAATTCTCACTCCTGGATATTTACCCTAGAAAAATTAAAATGTGTACACAAATCCAGTACACAAATATTTATAGTAATTTTATTTGTAATAGGCAAACCTTGGAAACTACCCACATATTCTTCAACAGGTTTATAGATAAACCGTAGTGCATGCATACAATGGAATATTACTCAGCAAGAGAAAAGAATGAACTGTTGATATAGGTAACAGGTTGTTTGCCATTCTCACACTTGAAACTTAGGCCTGCTCTGTTTCCTTTCATTTGTTATTCATACAGTTTGCACAGTCTTAGATTCACTGGTGTGCATACTCCACACCTGCCTGCCTTTGCTCACGTGGTTTCTCTCTTCCACAAATGTCCTGGTCTTACAAAATAACTGCATACCTACTTATCCTGGATATAGAGACTGGTACCATTCCCTAAGGAGTTCTAAGCCATGAAGCCTGGAAAATGTGAAGACTTTCTGCCACCCACGTGAGATGGGGATAATTAGGAATGGGGAGAGGAGAGGAAATTCGTGCTTATGGGTTCAGAAGTGGACAAGGGGAAGAAGCCAAGGACAATAGGCAGGAATAGAATCCCCAAGGCAGCGTGGAAGGTTGCACATATTCTAGTGCAGTGATCAGTACCCTGCATCTGTCCTCTTCTCATCCGGGCCCTTCTGTGAAATCCTCTGTGGCTCGGGCCATCTGCTTAGTGTCTTCAGGCTTCAGATGAGTCATCTGGAGAATATGGGATTGGAACAAGATAACCTGTATGGGCCACCCCCTTCTAACGTTCAGTAGTTGTACAATTCTTTTTTTTTTTTTTTGAGATGGACTTTTGCTCTTGTCACCCAGGCTGGAGTGCAATGGCTCGATCTCGGCTCACTGCGACTTCTGCCTCCCAGGTTCAAGTGATTCTCCTACCTCAGCCTCCTGAGTAGCTGGGATTACAGCTGCCTGCTACCACGCCCAGCTAATTTTTGTATTGTTTTAGTAGAGACAGGGTTTCACCATGTTGGCCAGGCTGGTCTCAAACTCCTGACCTCAGGTGATCCACCCGCCTTGGTTTCCCAAAGTGCTGGGATTACAGGTGTGAGCCACCATGCCTGGTGGTAGTTCTACAATTGTGATGGGATTATATGACCCTAGGAAGAAGATGCTGTTATTAATCATTTTCATATTACTGTAAATTAATTCAATGAACTAGCTTTCTTGAAAACTGACATAGCCTGGTATTGAAGAAAAGTGAGTTTTGATTGGAATGCAGGAATGGAGCATGCAATTTGGAAGTATGGGGGTATTTTTTATGAAAAGATTAGACTTGAGAGGATGAAGCCCCTCAAGAGGCACTGGTGAGGTTCTAGTATCTTCATGTTAAAGATGAGAAATCAGGTCAAGAAATCTCATCATGTATAATGTCACCCAGCTATCGGGGGAGTTCATCTGAATTTGAACTCAGGATTGTCAAATTCCCCAGTTTAGAAGAGAGGTGCTCTGGGAAGCAGAAGAAAAACACAAGAGGAAGGTGTATTAGACCATTTTCACACTGATAAAGAACTGCCTGAGACTGGGTAATTTATAAAGCAAAGAGGTTTAACTGACTCATAGTTCAGCATGGCTGGGGAGGCCTCAGGAAACTTACAATCATGGTGGAAGGGAAAGGGAAGCAAGGCACCTTCTTCACAAGGCGGCAGGAAGGAGAATGAGTGCAGGAGGAACTACCAAACACTGACAAAGACATCAGATCTCATGAGAACTCACTATCACAAGAACAGCATGGGGGAAACTGCCCCCATGATCCAATTACCTCCACGTGGTCTCTCCCTTGACATGTAAGAATCATGGGGACTACAATTCAAGATGAGATTTGGTATGAGTGAACTCCCATTCACAATTGCTACAAAGAGAATAAAATACCTAGGAATACAACTTACAAGGGACGTGAAGGACCTCTTCAAGGAGAACTACAAACCACTGCTCAAAGAAATAAGAGAGGACACAAACAAATGGAAAACCATTCCATGCTCATGGATAAGAAGAATCAGTATCATGAAAATTACCATACATCCCAAAGTAATTTATAGATTCATTGCTATTCTCATCAAGCTACCATTGACTTTTTTTTTCACAGAATTAGAAAAAACTACTTTACATTTCATATGGAACCAAAAAAGAGCCCAAATAGCCAAGACAATCCTAAGCAAAAAGAACAAAGCTGGAGGCATCACCCTACCTGACTTCAAACTATACTACAAGGCTATAGTAACCAAAACAGCATGGTACTGGTACCAAAACAGATATATACATCAATGGAATAGAATAGAAGCCTCAGAAATAACACCACACATCTACAACCATCTGATCTTTGACAAACCTGACAAAAACAAGCAATGGTGAAATAATTTAATAGGTGTTTTCCCAGCACCTATTTAATAAATGGTGCTGGGAAAACTGGCTAGCTATATGCAGAAAACTGAAACTGGACCCCTTCCTTACACCTTATACAAAAGTTAACTCAAGATGGATTAAAGACTAAAATGTAAAACCTAAAACCATAAAAACCCTAGAAGAAAACCTAGGCAATACCATTCAGGACATAGGCATGGGCAAAGACTTCATGACAAAAACACCAAAAGCAATTGGAACAGAAGCCAAAATTGACATATGGGATCTAATATAACTAAAGACCTTCTGTACAGCAAAAGAAACTATTATCAGAGTGAACAGGCAACCTAGAGAATGGAAGAAAATTTTTGCAATCTATCCATCTGACAAAGGTCTAATATCCAGAATCTACAAGGAACTTAAACAAATTTACAAGAAAAAAACAAACAACCCTATCAAAAAGTGGGCAAAGATATAAATAGACAATTCTCAAAAGAAGACATTTATGCGGCCAACGAACATATGAAAAAAAGCTCATCATCACTGGTCATTTGAGAAATGTAAATTAAAACCACAATGAGATACCATCTCATGCCAGTTAGAATGGTGATCATTAAAAAGTCAGAAAACAACAGATGCTGGTGAGGATATGGAGATACAAAAATGCTTTTACACTGTTGGTGGGAGTGTAAATTAGTTCAACCATTGTGGAAGACAGTGTGGCAATTCCTCAAGGGTCTGGAACAAGGAATACCCTTTGATCCAGCAATCCCACTACTGGGTATATACCCAAAGGATTATATATCATTCTACTATAAAGACACATGCACATGTATGTTTATTGCAGCACTATTTGCAATAGCAAAGACTTGGAACCAACCCAAATGTCCATCAATGATAGACTGGATAAAGAAAATGTGGCACATATATACCATGGAATACTATACAGCCTTAAAAAAGAATGAGTTCATATCCTTTGCAGGGGCATGAATGAAGCTGGAAACCATCATTCTCAGCAAACTAACACAGGAACAGAAAACCAAACAGGGCATCTTCTGACTCATACGTGGGAGCTGAACAATGAGAATACATGGACACAAGGAGGGGAACATCACACACCCATGGCTGTCAGGAGGTGGGGGGCAAGGGGAGGGAGAGCATTAGGACAAATACCTAATGCATGCGGGGCTTAAAACCTAGATGATGGATTGATAGGTGCAGCAAACCACCATGGCACATGTATACCTATGTAACAAACCTGCATGTTCTGCACATGTATCCCAGAACTTAAAGTAAAATAAAAATAAAAAAAAGAGAGAGGTTATACATATCTCTCTGAGTGGCTGAAAAGAAAAAAAAAAAGATGAGATTTGGTTGGGGACACAAAGTCTAACCATATCAGAAGAGAAGAGGATGCTGGAGCTTAGCTCAGTTACTCTGAAAATTTCCTTAGGCCAAGCTGAGGAGGTAGGGGGAAAACAGTACCTCGATATTTCCTTTTTCTGTCCCTGGGTCCTTTCCTAGGCTTTGTGCTCCCGGCCCAGAGGCCAAGACGAGAAAGGAATGGCAGGAAGATTTGGGACTTTTTATGCAGCCAGTCAAGTAAGGTCATTATGAGTCTCTTGCCCAAATAATAGCAGGGCCCTAGGGTAATTCTTTGGTTCCTAGACGCATGAATGGTCTGCTGTATTAACCGGAGCTGGAAGATGGTAAGTTTGGAGAGCAAGTGCTCACATGCTGTGCATCCGGACAAGACTGTGCTTCCGTGACTAAGGTCTATGAATACACCGAGCACGTGGTTGGGCCTGACACCCGTGTCAGGTACTGGTAGGAGCAAGCAGTACTGTGTAATGTAGTTCTTTGAGAGGAAGATCTCAGCCACCATCAGAAGCATAAAAAGAAGGGTTTTGTTTGCATTAAGTCTGGAAAGAAACAGTTCACACCACTGGGTGGCAGTATGGCGCGCCTCTTTGTTTTTCCTGAGTGGCAATACTGTATTTTCCAGACTTACTAAGGAACCATGTTCCTCTCGGCCATATATAACTACCCTTTGCTTCCTGTCCTGCTCCCTGTGTCTCTGTCCCTACGCATTCTGAGCGTCAGCTGTGTGTGTGTGTGTGTGTGTGTGTGTGTGTGTGTGTGTGTGTGGTTGTCGTTGTCAGTGGTGATTTAGGAGAGGAATAAACATTTCCGATCAGTTCCGTCTTCTTTCCACACATTGACTTTCTGTACCTCTGAACTGCTGGGTTAGGTCCTTGTTAAATCTTTATTAATAAAGATTTATAGTGAATAATAATAATTTAAAAAAAAACCGGCAAGCCTACACACAACACTCTTGGGGAAGTTCATCTCTAGACTGAGATGTAAAATACTTCTGCTGAAAATATTCTTTGGGGGAAAAACCCTAAAGACAAGAAGGGACGTATTCTTTGAAAGATGAACTGGCGCTGCTTTCCCAGGGCAGAGGCAGAGGCGGAGGCAGCAGCAGACGGCGCCAGAAGTTACCTGCAGAGCTGCCCTGCCATCTGGTGGACAAAGGGGCACCTGCAGCTTGCAAACCGAATTGCAGGGCTCCCAAGATTTTAACATTTTAAATTTTTTCCACACCTCACCTGGATCAAGATTTTTATGAATTATTAAGCAAAACGAGAGAACTATCAAACTAGCAAGCAAAAAAGCCAATAAAATCCCTGTTATATATAAAGTTTCGGTGCCGCAAAAGAAATAGCACTCGAATATAAAATTTTCTTTTAATTCTCAGCAAGGCAAGGTACTTCTATAGAAGGGTGTGCCCTTACAGACAGAGCAATGGTGAGCGCACACTTGGACAAGGGATGGGAAGGGGTTCTTATCCCGGTCGCACGTGGCCCCTGCTGCTGTGTCCTTCCCCTATTGGCTAGGGTTAGACCGCACAGGCTAAACTAATTCCGATTGGTTAATTTAAAGAGAGTAACGGGGTGAGTGGTTTGGCGGGGAAAAAAAATGGTTATGCAGGGCGGAGAATGAGTCAGAGAGCAGCAGGTAGCAGGTAATCTGAATAAGTCAGGGTGGAGCAGGTGATCGGAATGAGTCAGGGTGGAGTAGATAATCGAAAAAGGTTGCTTTACGAGGAAGTTAAGTTTAAAAGTAGAAGGCAAAGAATTGAACATACTGACATATTGATTCTTTGAAGAGAAATTTAGAACTTATATCTAACAGCCCGAATAAATAAATAAAGACAATGCATGGTTGCCAGCTTTTTCTTTTGCTAATATTTTAAAAAATTGCATCTATGTTTGGCGTCCTCTTACCTCTAAAGGGCAATAACTTCCAAAGAGCTTGTGTATGGAAGCTCCAAAAGCGAACGAGAAAGTGTTGTTTTTTTTTCCCCCTGAGAGAGAGAAAAAAAGGACAACCCTTTTAATTGAATATTTAGCTTAATGGAATGATTATTACATCTTTCTTATTTTTATAATTCTGTTATAAAGGGGTGAAAAATTTATCAAGTTTCGGTAGTGGTCTAAGGATTGATATTTGAGAACCACTGGTCTAAAAGACTTCATGCAAATATTTTATAAATATCTGAGAACTCTGAAATATTTCAGCATAGGGACTTGGAGTTAAAGCACTGTATTCAATGTATTCAAAATGGCCTTTAGGGCCCATTTTAAAGCAAATATTTTATTAAAAATTGCCATTATTTCACTTTTTTCTGAGTCTTGCGGATTCTTACTGGCCTCTCACATTTGTTTCATCTTTTCCTGGCTTGGGAGGCCATTGCCTGATTTCAGCGTCATCACAGCACTTTCCTGAGGGCTGCGTGTTTCTTAGGTTGTCTCTGTTGATTGTACAAATTAAGCTTGGGCACCTACCACTTGGTATGTGTGTCCTTATAAAGTGCATAATGTGCTTCAGCAGCACGTATACTAAAATTGGAACACTACAGAGAAGATTAGCATGGCCCCTGTGCAAGGATGACACACAAATTTGTGAAGCATTCCTTGTTTTTTTTTTTTAACAAATAAAAAGGTACGGCTGGGCACGGTGACTCACGCCTGTAATCCCAGCACTTTGGGAAGCCGAGGCAGGTGGATCACGAGGTCAGGAGTTTGAGACCAGCCTGGCCAACATGGTGAAACCCTGTCTCCTAAAAATACAAAAAATTAGCCAGCCGTGGTGGCGGACGCCTGTAATCCAGCTTGTAATCCAGCTACTCGGGAGGCTGAGGCAGGAGAATCGCTTGAACCTGGGAGGCGGAGGTTGCAGTGAGCCAAGATTGCGCCACTGCACTCCAGCCTGGGCGACAAGAGTGAAACTCCATCTCCAAAAAAAAAAAAAAAAAAAAAAAAAAAAAGATATGAGCTCTGGATCACATTTTTTGAGTTTGAAACCATCTCAATCATTTACTATGTGACCTTGGAAAGGTAATTAATCTTTTTGTGCCCATTTTTTATAAGAATTTGACTGACAATTGCACTTGATTGTGAAAAGAAAGATTCTAAATCCTTGGGTTTCCTGAGCAATAGAAATGTCCTCATTATTCATGAGCCCTTTGGACCATACCTAAATTAATGCCAGTGAGATGACTCAGGTTGGGAGCTGGTCATGTCAGAAAGACCAAACATGAGACTAGAGGGTTTGAGCTGTGAGTGGGGTGATATCCGTTTGACCTCTTCTGAGGAGATTTGAGGGGCTAGAGATTTAGTTTAATCATGTCACCAATGAGTCCATCAATCATGCTATGTAAGGAAATCCCAATAAAATCTCTGGACACTGAGGCTTAGTGGAGCTTCCTGGGTGGTGAACACATCTATGTGCTGGAAGGTAGCACATCCTAATTCCACAGGGAGAGGGCGCAAAAGCTCTGCATTCTGGACCCTTCCAGGTCTTACTCTACGGTCTTTTCATGTGACTGGTCCTGACTTGTATACTTACAATTAAGCTGTAATTACAAATATAGTGTATTTCTGAGTTTTATGAGTGATTCTAGTAAGTTATCAAACCTGAGAAGGTTGTGGGAACCTCTGAATTTGTATTCAGTTGGTCAGAAGTATATGGGTGGCCTGGGGACCACTGAACTTGTGACTGTCATCTGAAGCGAGAGCAGTATTAATGGAATCTGTGCCTCTTAACCCATGGGGTCTGTGATATCGAACTGTAGTACTGTGGTAACTTAGATTCCTCATTTGTAAAATAAGAATTCATGGCCAGGCGCGGTGGCTCACGCTTGTAATCTCAACACTCTGGGAGGCCGAGGCGGGCGGATCACGAGGTCAGGAGATCAAGACCATCCTGGCTAACACGGTGAAACCCAGTCTCTACTAAAAATACAAAAAAATTAGCCAGGCGTAGTGGCGGGCGCCTGTAGTCCCAGCTGCTCGGGAGGCTGAGGCAGGAGAATGGCGTGAACCCGGGAGGCGGAGCTTGCAGTGAGCCGAGATCACGCCACTACACTCCAGCCTGGGAGACTGAGCAAGACTCCGTCTCAAAAAAAAAAAAAAAAAATTCATAATTATATTTTCCTAATAGGATTATTGGGACACTAATTATATTAGTACATGCCTAGCTTTGGAAAACTATATAATGTTTGGATGGCAATTCTTCTAAAATTAACGGATAATCAAAAGCACAAACAATTGTTTTGCACCTCTAAACTTCACCTAACAGAAAAAACAGAAGAAAATATTAAGTATAATTTGAAAAGTGAAGCAATGAAGGGAATTCTTAAGCAGGTAGTAAAACATCGAATGCTACTACATTTAAAACATATATAGAGCTGCCAAAATAGAATAGTGGCACAGAATATAAAATTGCCTTTGCAGAAAAATTATAACTGAGAAAATGATGACAGTGAGAGAAATCTGACATGGCCGACTCCATCTTGCTTCTAGCCTCACAGGTTGGCTGTCTTTGCTCATTCCTGGGTGTGGTTCAAGCTAACTTTGGGAGAAACTTGTTTTATAGCTTAAATGATAATAGCCCTTCCCCAGAACTAATCTGTTCTTGTAAAACTAATGAAAGGCCACCAAGTTAGGATGAGAGGGGCTTGAATTCTAAATAAGTACCAGCCATTATTCTGGAGGTCATAAGATTTGCAACTTCCCCAATTACTCTTCTTTTTTTGAGAGAGAGAGTCTTGCTCTGTTGCCTAGGCTGGAGTGCAGTGACACAATCTTGCCTCACTGCAACCTTTGCCTCCCGGGTTCAAGCAATTCTTATGCCTCAGCCTCCCCAGTAGCTGGGATTACAGGCATGTGCCACCACACCCAGCTAATTTTTGTATTTTTGGTAGAGATGGGTTTCACCATGTTGACCAGGCTGGTCTCGAACTCTTGGCCTCAAGTGATCCACCTGCCTTGGCTTCCTAAAGTGCTGAGATTACAGGTGTTAGCCACAGCACCTGGCCCCAATTACTCTTGAAGATAATATAAGTATTGTAGAACCTAAGACTGGCCTTTTGAGATGTCTTTTCAGGTCTTTGCATTTCTGGCAATTGGATGGGCCAACCTGGATCTGCCAACCAGTCCTGTGGCCCTCACCCAGGAACCTACTCAACAAAAGAAGACAGCTTCAATTGCGTATGATTTCATCTCCAACCCCCTACCCTACTCCCTTGTCCACCAAACTATCTTTGAAAAACCCATAACCTCCAAGTCTTTGGGAAAACTGATTTGAACAATAATAAATCTCTGGTCTTCTGTACAGCTGGCTCTGAGTGAATTTAACTCTTTCTCTATTGTAATTCCCCTGTCTTGATAAATCAACTCTGTCTAGACAGTGGGCAAGGAGAACCCGTCAGGTGGTTACAAATTGAGAGTCCAGAGACAGGCAAGACCCAAAGCACTTACTGTATTTCATTTCATTTTTTTTAGAAACAGAGACTTGCTCTATTGCCCAGGCTGGAGGGCAGTGTTGTGATCATAGCTCACTGCAGCCTTGAACTCCTGGGCTCAAGTGATCTTCCTGCCTTAGCCTCCTGAATAGCTGGGACTATAAGTGTGTACCATTGCACTTGGCACCCAGTGTATTTTAATGGCAGTTTTTCAAATCGTCAGGAAAATATATCCAACAAATGGTGCTAGGACAATTGAATAATGATTTGAATAAAAGCTAAGTGTCTTTAATTCATAGCACTCACCAATAGAAATCCCATTGTTAAAAAGTTAAAAGATTGAAAATAAATCACTAAAAAATTAGAAGGACTGGATGCGGTGGCTTACGCCTATAATTCCAGCACTTTGGGAGGCCAAGGTAGGAGGATTACTTGAGGCCAGGAGTTCAAGACCAGCTTGGGCAACATAGCAAGATCCATCTCTAAAAAAAAAAAAAAAAAATTAGAAGAAAATATGAGTATTTTGCTATCATCAACACAGGTAAGACCTTTCTAGCATAAAAGGAAGGACAAATCATAAATGCACACAAAGATGGAACTGATCTCACAAAAGTAAAAACGTATAGACAGACATTAAGCAATTAACATCAGAAGTGACAAACTGAGAAACATTTACAATATGTATCAGAAATATTTTAAAAACAAGTGTAGTCATCAAGATTGGAAAGATCATAGCATAGACTAGAAATTAGCAAACCTTTTCTGTAAAGAACCAGATGGTCACTGTTTAGGGTTTGTGGGCTGTGCATTCTCTGAGGTGGCTCCTTAGCTCTGCCACTGTGGCATGAAAGTAGCCATAGGCAGCAAATAAACAGACAGGCATAATTGTGTTCCAATTAAACCCTGTTTTTTTTTTTTTTTTGAGACGGAGTCTTGCTCTGTCGCCCAGGCTGGAGTGCAATGGCGCGATCTCGGCTCACTGCAACCTCCGCCTCCCAGGTTCAAGCAATTCTCCTGCCTCAAGCTCCTGAGTAGCTATGACTACAGGTGCATGCCACCACACCTGGATAATTTTTTTTTTTTTTTGAGATGGAGTCTCGCTCTGTTGCCCAGGTTGGAGTGCAGTGGCACAATCTCAGCTCACTGCAAGCTCCACCTCCTGGGTTCAGGCCATCCTCCTGCTTCAGCCTCCCGAGTAGCTGGGACTACAGGTGCCCGCCACCATGCCCAGCTAATTTTTTGTATTTGTAGTTGAGACGGGGTTTCACTGTGTTAGCCAGGATTGTTTCGATCTCCTGACCTCGTGATCCACCCGCCTCGGCCTCCCAAAGTGCTGGGATTACAGGCGTGAGCCACTGCGCCCGGCCAATTTTTTGTATTTTTTAGTAGAGACAGGGTTTCACTGTGTTAGCCAGGATGGTCTCAATCTCCTGACCTCGTGATCCACCTGCCTCAGCCTCCCAAAGTACTGGGATTACAGGCGTGAGCCACCGCGCCGGGCCTAAAACCCTGTTTATAGACAGTGAAACTTGAATTTCACTTAATTTTCATGTGTCACGAAATGGTTTTCTTCTTTTGATTTTTTTCAGCTATTTTAAAATGCAAAAGCCATCCTTTGTTCTGGCAGCAGGCCACTTTGGCCCACAGGCTGTAGTTTGCTGACCTCTGACGAAGACACAGATTCTGAAAGGGGCCTCTGGGTATGAGCAGGTTTGAGAGGATGGGGGCAGGGGTTGCATTTGGCCCTTGACCATAACTCGTCAGAAAATAAATCAGTGGGGATTTAGGACAAAGAGCAGATTGATACTGAGTAGAGAAGGTGGAGCCCCCGGATGTTTTGTGGGTCTGGTCCCGCAAGCAGGCAGGATGGGTTGGAGGGGTGTTTGTTGGGACAATCTCATAATGGAAGAGGGACTTCTCAGCCGCCATAATCACATGAATCAATTCCCCTAATAAACCCTCTTTCATCTATGTATGTGTAGGCCCTAGGAGCCTGCCCCAGAGCAGGAGGATGGAGATGGATACAAGACATGGTGTGGAGATGGAGCTGAATGTTAAGGAAGGTTCAGAATGAAAGTGGAGCCGGGCGCGGTGGCTCACGCCTGTAATCCCAGCACTTTGGGAGGCCAAGGAGGGCGGATCACCTGAGGTCAGGGGTTCGAAACCAGCCTGACCAACATGGAGAAACCCTGTCTCTACTAAAAATACAAAATTAGTTGGGTGTAGTGGCGCGTGCCTGTAATCCCAGCTGCTCGGGAAGCTGAGGCAGGAGAATTGCTGGAACCTGGGAGGCGGAGATTGCAGTGAGCCGAGATCACACCATTGCATTCCAGCCTGGGCAACAAGAGCAAAACTCCGTCTCAAAAAAAAAAAAAAAAAAAAGAAAGTGGACAGAGACTCTGACTTGTCTCACCGGAAGGGAGCTGGGCCCACGAACAGAAATAGTAGAAAGAAGAGGCAGTGGTGGCAGCCAATGAGGAGCTCGGTTATTGCCGTGATTTGAAGTATCAGAAAAAAACTCAGGTGAATAAATGCGAGGGAAAACTGGAGCAAGGTCAGAATAATGATCTCAAAGACATCTCAGGAGTGTCTGCTACAGTCCAGAACTTTGGACAATGCCTAATATTGGAAGCAATGAAAAAGAGGAAAGCTGGTGATCTAGTTCACAGTGGCTCAATCCTGGCTCCATCACCAGCATCAGGAACTTTACAAGGATCAAGTCTCAGAGGAATATTATGAGAATCAAATGAAATCACAGTTGATGAAGTATTTTTCACACCGCCATATTCCTTATATGTGCTGGCTTGAGTTTGGATCATAATCTGGAAAGACAGTCCCGAATGCCTTAATCCCAAATGATGAAATCCCTAAAAATTAAAATTCATAAAATCTAAAATTCCTAGCATCTAAAATCCCCAAAATCACACTTGTGTTATGTTAGGTGGAACTATTACCCTGTTATTGCCTTTATTTGGAAATCAAGTATGGTTGAAGGAGATGCATATGAGTGTCAAGGTGATAAGGGGTGGATTTGTAAACTTGATTTTAGGTGTGAACTTGACTGGAAAAAGGAATACCTAGAAACCTGGTAGAGCATGAGTTGGGGTGTGCCTGTGAGGGTGTTTCCAGAGGAGCTTAGTGTGTGGGTCTGAGTGGATTAGGTGGGGGAAGATCTGCCATCAGTGCTGGCGGGAACCATCCAATTGGCTGTGGGCCCAGAAGGAACAAATACAGAAGGCGAATTTGTCTCTCTCTGAGAGCTGGGACAGACTTTACTGGTGCTGTCTTGGACATCAGAAGTCCAAGTTCACTGGCCTTTGGACTCAAGGACTTACTCCAGGGGACCCCTGGGTACTGAGACTTTCAGCATTGGACCAAGAGTTACACCATTGGCTTCCCTGGTTCTGAGGCCTTTGGACTTCCATCGAGCCATGCTGCCAGTGTTCCAGGGTCTCTAACTTGCAAACAGCCTGTCATGGGACTTCTCAGCCGCCATAATCACATGAATGAATTCCCCTAATAAACCCTCTTTCATCTATCTATGTATATATCCTATTGCTCCTGTCTGTCTGGAGAACCCTGACTCATAGATTTGGTATTGGAGAAGATGAATATTATTCCTTCTGACCGGATTCTTCACTACACAATGATACAGATCTGTGAAATTGTTTCTTTGCAAAAAGTCTGTGATAACTTAAGTGTATGAGGCTCCTTAATGGTGAAAGATAAAAAGCTAATTATTATTGGTGCTACAAAAGCAGAAAATTGCTTACTTGCAATGGCCAAGAATAACCAGCCTTTCAAGTGAACAGCATGTGCTTACAAAATGTGTAGGTCACAACACTCTCCAAATGCAAGTGCAGTGGCATTTTGAAGATCACAGAAGTGAAAATGCAGGCAAAATTTACAAGTTATTATGTCATTTTATAAGCATTTAATGACTAATGGCATTGATGGTACATAACGCCATAAATAGTATGTGGGAAAATACAGATATCAACAGCTCTGAGGTATTCTGAACAGTTGCAGTCTGAACAAGAAATTTAAAAAATATCTTGATTAATTTTGTAGGTTGTTTTTTCCTGTGCTCAAGAGTGATATATGAAATAAATCCATGCTATACCTAAAAGCATCTAAAATGTTTTCTTTAGGATAAGGCCCAAGAATGGCATTAGTAGATGAAAAATATCCACTGAAAAATGTATTTGGGTTGGGGGTGGTAACTCACGCCTAAAATCCCAACACTTTAGGAGGCTGACACAGGTGGACTGCTTGAGCTCAAGAGTTCAGGACCAGCCTGGGCCACAGGGAAAAACCTCATCTCTTTATTAAATTTAATTTTTTTAATTAAAAAAGAAAAACATAAAGAAAAAATTTATTTGGCAATATATTAAAATAGGATTGAATTGAGCATCCCGTCCAAATTCATTTGATTTCTGTAGTGGGCAATGTAATCACTTTGACTTCCTGATCACCTCATTGCTTTATCAGTCATTCATTTATATAGGAAATACATATCAAGTGCTTAATCTGTGCTTGATACTGCAATCAACTAGGAATCCAAAGATGCACACACACAGTACACGCTGTGGGAGCTGATGGGTTAATGACTGGGCAGATAAACCAGTTGCTATAAAAATGTATCCACTGTGGAACAAAGTGTCCTCTAAACACTCCTAGCCCGGAGACTAGGGAGTTCTAGCTTGTCCTGAGTCAGGAGAGGGAGGGACATCTGAGATGCATCTCGATGTTTCAATAGGTGTTAATCAAGTGGAGGGGGACAGAAACAGGAGGGCATTCCCAAGAGGTAATAGTGTGTGTGTGTGTGTGTGTGTGTGTGTGTGTGTGTGTGTGTGTGTAGGGACACAAAGGGGCAAATGACTATGGCACATTCAAAAAAGGGAAGCTGCTGGGTATGGCTAAATTGTAGTGTTTGCATGTGTGTGTATGCGTGTGTGTGTGTGTATCTTCACACAGCAAGACAAAACCTGAAAGGTAGTTTGAAGTCAGAATGGGAAGGGCCTTAGGATGCCTAGAGTCTTAAGAACCTCTGAGGGCTTTAGTTTTGAACACATTTGTCTAACATATATATTCAGCAACCTGAATCAGGGTATGGGTGTGTGGAACCTGATGATTGGGCTGGGGGAGAAAAGAGAGGCATCACTTGATGAAGATGCTTATGGCTCACAAATAAGCTCAATGAATTCTTCAACACTGTTGGAAATGGGCAAGATATACTGCGTGATACTATTTTATAGATAGACAGGTAGATAGATATAAAGTAGTATCACACAATATATCTATATTTTATATAGATATAAAACAGCATCACACAATACAATACAGTATCTATACATATGTATATATGTATAGATACATATATAGATACAGTATCTATACATATATGTATGTATGATATATACTAGCATGAGTTGTGAGCCTTAAAAGAGAAGAATCAGGGAATGTTCTGTGGTTTAATCATGGTGTTAGGTTCATATTACCTATTAATAATGCGACAGTCAGAGTGGCCTAGGCACATGACCAAGCTGACTGGACCAACCAAGCTGACTGGACACTAGGTTGAGAGCATAAGGTCTTAAACTAAAAGACTGCAAACACAGATTCACCTCCAGGTTCAAATTCCCCCAGGATAAGCTAGGCTATTATAGTGGGAACAGATCTTAGTGTACAAACCCAGGTGTGCAAAGCATATCAAATTTCTTAATTTCCTTTAAAAAATTGCATTGGAATCAAAATAACCAATTTGCTGGCAGGAAATTAACCTTCAGTCATTATTGGAGCTCCTGTCTCCAAGAACATACAAAGGCACAAAGGTCACCCGTGCTAAACCACTGGGGAGGACCTTCTGGTCAATGGTTGTCAGCCACTGTCTACTGAGTGGCCTGAGTCCCTATGAATTTGTCCCTTTAGGACCATTACCGTGCTGTGTCCATCCTACCTGCAGAACCTAGGAAGATTTTCCACAACTTTAGACTTCACTGCCTGGGGTCCAGCCTCTGTTGGTTTACCACAATGGGAACACACTAAGAGAGGCATCCAGCACAAAGCTAGAGAATCAGAGAAGCTGTCCTGGAGGATGTACTTTTTCTTTCTTTTTTCTTCGAGACAGAGTCTTGCTCTGTTGCCCGGCTGGAGTGCAATGGTGCGATCTTGGCTCACTGCAACCTCCATCCTCTGGGTTCAAGTGATTCTCTTGCCTCAGCCTCCCGAGTAGCTGGGATTACAGGTGCTCGCCACCACGCCCAGCTAATTTTTTGTGTTTTTTGTAGAGACAGGGTTTTACCACTTTGGCCAGGCTGGTCTCGAACTCCTGACTTCAGGTGATCCACCCGTTTTGGCCTCCCAAAGTGCTGGGATTACAAGCGTGAGCCACCGCACCTGGCCTGATGTGCTCTTTGTGACAAAGCTTTCTGCTTCATCTGTTATTTCAATTTCTTCTGTTGAAACTTCTAGTCAACCAACTTTCCGCTCTTCTCCCCATCCTGTCACACCTGTTTCAGTCCCTGCTGGAGTGGCCTGGCTCACTCCTTTCCCTTGCTTTTTATCTTGTTAAGTCTTTCCCTAAGAGATAAAAGAACCACTGAAACAATGCAACATAGAATGGCCAATGGTGAAAGTGTAACGCAGGAGTTAGGAAGGGGCTTTGGCATGGGTTCTTATTTTTTCTGGACTCTTAGCACATGATCTTCTTCTTTTTGGTCTCAGGTACCTATTTACCTAGAGGTAGATTAGGATTCTTTTTTCTTTTCTTTTTTTTCTTTTTTTTTTTTGAGATGGAGTCTTGCTCTGTTGCCCAGGCTGGAGTGCAGTGGTACAATCTTGGCTCACTGCAACCTCCACCTACCGGGTTCAAGCGATTCTCCTGCCTCAGCCTCCTGAGTAGCTGGGATTACAGGCTCCTGTCACCATGCCCAGCTAATTTTTGTATTTTTAGTAGAGATGGAGCTTCATAATATTGGCCAGGCTGGTCTTGAACTCCTGACCTCAAGTGATCTGCCTGCCTTGGCCTCCCAAAGTGCTGAGATTACAGACGTGAGCCACCACACCCAGCCTAGATTAGGATTCTTACAGAAGGAATGCAAAGGAAAAGAAGAGAGAGAGAGGGCTATGGGAAAGGTAGATTTCTCCTTTTCATTTTCTCTCTCCCCCTTGAGGCTGAGACATCCAAGAATCCCACAGTCTTCACTTCCACCAAGAGATCCAGCAAGCCTCCCCTCCTGCCTCCCCACGGCATGCTCAGATGTCACTACAGAGAGCTGGAGAGGCAGGCAAGAGAATGGCCATTCTGAGGGGTCAGGCATTCAGTTTTCCACATAAAGGCTAAGTGTGTTCTAAAGGACAAGTTACATTACTGTACTGAATTCAACTAAATCTAGGCAGACTTTCCTTCCTACTTAGTCACTGAGTAGGGGCTTGTGAGAACACTGGATCAGTAAGGCATAAAATAAGTGAGCTCACATCTGAGTGTACTGATAGTAGATTTCCAGGTTCATTGCCATACAGAGGAGGGATATAGGAGAGAGAGAAGAAATGTTAGAGGCTGTAGCATAAAGAAAAGCAGAGACGAGGAAGTCTGGGATGTTTGGAGAACAGTGTGCAATCCGATTTGGCTAAAATGTATACGAGGCATATCAGAGTGAGAGATTTGCAAATTCATCAGTGGAGTTGGGCAACATCAAGGGATTAAGAACAGAGGGATGCCATGATAGGACAGCTCCCCACATATGAGGTTGAATATTTGAACAGTTTTGGACATACATATGATTTCACCTAGCATTTAGAGCAGCGACTTTTTTTTTTTTTTTTTTTTTTGAGACGGAGTTTCACTCTGTCACTCTGTCACCCAGGCTGGAGTGCAGTAGCACGATCTCGGCTCACTGCAACCTCTGCTTCCCAGGTTCAAGCAATTCTCGTGCCTCAGCCTGCTGAGTAGCTGGGATTACAGGCATGTGCCACCATGCTCGGCTCAGCTCTGTATTTTTGGTAGAGATGGGGTTTCACCATATTGGCCAGGTTGGTCTTGAACTCCTGGCCTCAAGTAATCTGTCCTTCGCCTCCTGGGTTCAAGTGATTCTCGTGCCTCAACCTCTTGAGTAGCTGGGATTACAGGCACCCACCAAGATGCCTGGCTAATTTTTGTATTTTTAGTAGAGACGGGCTTTCACCATGTTGGCCAAGCAGGTCTCGAACTCCTGGCTTCAAGTGATCCTCCCTACTCGGCCCTGCAAAGTACTGGGATTACAGGTATGAGCCACTGCACCTGGCCAAGGCTAACTTTCATTTGTTGACTCAGGACGTACCAGCAGGAACCTCCTAATGTATAATTTTTAAAATTCACTTAATTATTTGATTATCTGTCCTACCATTTACAACAATTTTATTTTATATTAGGGAGTACATTTGCTTGCTTGTAATATGGGTATTACATGCGTAATGGTGGGGATTGAGCTTCTAATGCACCTATAGCCCAAATATTGAATATTGTACCCAGCAGGTAATTTTTCAACCCTCACTTCCCTCCCAACCTCCCCTCTTTTGGAATTCTCAGTGTCTATTATCTCCATCTTTATGTCCATGTGTACCTGTTGTGTTTTTTGTTTGTTTGTTTGTTTTTTAAATGGGTTCTCACTCTGTTGCCCAGGTTGGAGTGCAGTGGTAACATCACGGCTCGCTGCAGCCTCAACCTTCCGGGCTCAAGTGGCCCTCTCACCTCAGCCTTCCGAGTAGCTGGGACTACAGGCATGCGCTACCACTCCTGGTGAATTTTTGTATTTTTTTGTAGAGACAGGGTCCCACTATGTTGCCCAGCCTGGTCTCAAGCTTCTGGGCTCAAGTGATCCTCCCACTCGGCCTCCCAAAGTGTTGGGATTACAGGTATGGGTCACCACACCCGGCCTGTAATCACTGCTTAAGTGAGAATCATTGTATAAGTGAGAACATGTGATATTTGATTTTCTGCTTCTGAATTAGTTCATCTAGGATAATGGCCTCAGCTCCACCCATGTTTCTGAAAAGGACATGATTTCATTCTCTTCTTTTTTTTTTTTTGGGGGGACGGAGTCTCGCTCTGTCGCCCAGGCTGGAGTGCAGTGGCGCGATCTCAGCTCACCTCAAGCTCTGCCTCCCGGGTTCACACCATTCTCCTGCCTCAGCCTCCCGAGTAGCTGGGACTATAGGCACCCGCCACCATACCCGGCTAATTTTGTTTTCGTATTTTTAGTAGAGACGGGGTTTCACCATGTTAGCCAGGATGGTCTCGATCTCCTGACCTCGTGATTCACCTGCCTCGGCTTCCCAAAGTGCTGGGATTACAGGTGTGAGCCACCACGCCAGGTTGATTTCATTCTTTTTTAATGGTTGTGTAATATTCCATGGTGTATACATACCACATTGTCTTTATCCAGTCAGCCATTGGTGGACACTTAGGAAGGTTCCAAGACTGTGCTATGGTGTTTAGTGCTGCAATAAACGTCTTGAGTGCAGATGTCTGTTTTATATAATGCTTTCCTTTTCTTTGGGTAGGTGGCCAGTAGTGGGATTGGTGGATCAAACAGTAGTTCTATTCTTAGTTCTTTGAGATACTTCCACACAGTTTTTCATAGAAATTGAACTAATTTACATTCCCACCAACAGTGTATAAGTGTTCCTTTTTCTTTTTCTACCATATGCTAATTTCCTTAGTTATTATTATTTGTTTAATTCCTGGGGTTTTAAAAAATTGACTCATAATAATCGCACATCTTTATGGGGTACGTGGTGATGTTTCAACACACATACTGTATGTTGATCAGATCACAGTAATTAGCGTATCTATCATCTCAAACATTTATCATTTGTTTGTGTTGGGAACGTTCAGTATCACCCTTCTAGCAATTTGAAACTATGAAACATATTATTGTTAGCTATAATCATCCTACAATGGTAGAGAACACTAGAATGTGTTCCTCCTGTCGGTAATTTTGTATCCTTTAACAAGCATCTCCAAATCCTCCCCTCCCTACTATCTTTCCCAGTCTTTAGTATCCTGTTCTACCTATTGCTTCTATGAGGTCAACTTTAAAAAATTCCATATATGAGTGAAAACATATCTTTAACTTGCTCTTCCTGGTTATTTTGTTTAACATAATGTCTTCCAGTTTCATCCATGTTTCTGTGAATGATAAGATTTTCTTATTTTTAAAGGCTGAATAGTATTCTATTGTGTGTATATATACCACATTTTCTTTATCCACCTATTTGTTCTCAAATACCTAGTTTGATTCCAAATCTTGGCTATTGTGACTAGTGCTATAATAAACATGGGGATGCAGTTGTCTTTTCAATGTAGTGATTTTCTTTCCTTTAGATAAATGCCCATTAATGGGATTGCTGGGTTATATGGCTGTTCTATTTGTAGTTTTTTTAAGGAACCTCTATTCTGTTCTCCATAGTGGCTATGCTAGTTTACATTCCCACCAACAGTGTATAAGCATTCTCTTCTCTCAGAATCTTGCCAGTATTTGTTGTTTTTTTTGTCTTTTTGATAACAGCCATCCTAACTGGGGTGAGATGATAACTCTTTGCGGTTTTGATTTGCATCTCCATGATGATTAGATATGTTGAACATTTTTTCATATGCCTGTTGGCCATATATATATCTTCTTTTGAGAAATGTCTGTTCAGGTCATTTGTTCATTTTAAAATCAGATTATTTGAGTGTATACTGCTTGGGTGATGGGTGCACCAAAATCTCAGAAATCACCACTAAAGAATTTATTCATGAAACCAAATACCTCCAATCCCTCAAAAACCTATGGAAATAAAAAAATTTTTTAAAGTAAGAACCAGTTTTAAAATGGTAAAAAAAAAAATTAAAAAAATCAGTTTTTTTTTCTGTTGAAATGTTTGAGTTTCTTTTATATGCTGAACATTAATCCTCTGTCAGATAGGTAGTTTGTGCAAATATTTTCTCCCATTCTGTAGGTTGTCTTTTCACTCTGTTGACTGTTTCCTTTGCTGCACAGAAGCTTTTTAGTTTGATATAATCTCATTTGTTTATTTTTGCTTTTATTGCCTGTGCTGCTGCTTCTTTTTTTAGGGTTCAAAATGATGTGCCTTTTAAAATTTTAAATTTATTTTTAATTTAATTTTTATTGAGGTAAAATGTACATATAAGATTTACCATTTTTTTTTTTTACCATTTTAAGTACACAGTTCAGTGGTAATAATTATATTTATATTCTTTTTTCTTCCCTTCATCTTCTCCACTACTCTACTTTTCCCAGCCTCTGGTAACCACCAATCTACTATCTTTATAAGAGCTACATTTTTAGGTCCCACATATGAGTGAGACCATGTGATATTTGTCTTTCCGTGCCTGGCTTATTTCTCTTAATATAATGTCCTCCAGCTCCATCCATGCTGTTGCAAAGGACATGATCTCATTGCTTCTTATGGTTGGATAGTATTCCATGTTGTATATGTACAACTTTTTCTTTATCCAGTCCAGTACTGATGGGCACTGAGTTGATTTCATGTTATTGCTATTGTGAATAGTGCTGTGAGGAACATATGAGCCAGCACCATTTATTGAAAAAAACTGTTCTTTTCTTATTGTATGTTATTAGTGTCTTTGTTGAAGATGAGTTGGCTATAAATGTTTGGATTTATATCTGGATTCTCCATTCTGTTCAGTTGGTCTATGTTTCTTTTTTATGTCAGTATCATGCTGTTTTGATTACTATAGCTTTGTAGTAAATGTTGGAAAGAAGTTTGTTGATTTTCTTTATTTTTTAAAAAGTAGGTTTTTCTTTAATTGGTCTTTTGTATTTTTTTAGTGTAAATTTTGTTTATTGTTTTCTCTTATATTTATTATTTCATTTCTTCTACTAATTTGGGTTTGGCTTGTTCTTACTTTTCGAGGTTTTTTTTTTTTTTTTTTTTTTTGAGACAAAGTCTCACTCTATCTCCCAGGCTGGACTGCGATAGCCCTATCTTGGCTCACTGCAACCTCCACCTCCCAGGTTCAAGCAATTCTCTCACTTCAGCCTCCCAAGTAAATGGGATTACAGGCACCTCCCACCACACCCAGCTAAGTTTTGTATTTTTAGTAGAGATGGGGTTTTGTCATGTTGGCCAGGCTGGTCTCGAACTCCTCACCTCAGGTGATCTGCCCACCTTGGCCTCCCAAAGTGTTGGTATTATAGGCATGAGCCACCACACCCGGCCTTGTTTCTATTTTCATTTATTTCAAGAAATTTATTTCAGCCCCAGTGCTGGAGTGGTGCAGTGGCTACTGATCCCCCGAGCAGGTACACTCCAGCAATGACTCTAGCTTCAAGATGGTGCCATGCTGCAGCGGCTTGGCTCACAGTGGGTGGGTGAGGTAATCTGTGGCAATTCAGCTGTGTGAATTCTGGCAGCTCTCAAAACTGGGTCAGGGCTTGTGAGAACTCTGGGATTCTTTTGTTGTAAGGACTGCAGGTAAAGTGTCAATGGGGTCTGGTGGGGATCTCCTCTTATCTTTTCCTCACAATGGGAAGTCCTTCCTGACTCTGGAAAGATCTGATCTGGTACTGGGTGATGGGACTGCAGAGGCTGGGTGCCTCCATGCTGCCCTCCTGGACTTCCACTCACCACAGGTGTGCCTCCACTCCCCCACTGCACTTCAGCATGCTCCCTTCGACACTCCAGTCAAATCTTAGTAATTTCTTCATTGTCTTAGTCCTTTCTTGTGTGGAGGCCTCTCAAAGTGCTGGGATGACAGGCGTAAGCACCACGTTCAGCCTTTTCTAGTTTTTTGAGGTGTATGATTAGGTTGTTTATTTGAAACCTTTCTAGCTTATTGATGTAGGCATTTTTTTTATAATCTTGCCTCTTAGTACTGCTTAGTGCCAGACATTTCTAGTCAACCATCTTTCTGATGTCACTTCAGTTATTTTTTCATAAACATATTTTATTTCCTACATGATACCATTGAAAGTCATTGTCAAATGCTTTGATAAAATCTGTTGAAGTTCAGTGACCCTGTCAGTGAAAAACTCAAGGTTAGTCTGACATGTCATGCTCTTGGTGAACCAGTTTTAGTTCTGAGTTATCATCATTTCCTCCTTTTAGCGTTTCTTTTTTGATTTTTTAGTATTTTCATAGTTTTGGGGGCACAGGTGGTTTTCGGTTACATGGATAAGTTCTTAGTGGTGATTTCTGAAATTTTAGTGCACCTGTCACCTGAGCAGTGTACACTGGATCCAATATGTCTTCTTTTATCCTTCACCCTCTCCTGTCAGTATTTCTAAATAGCCATGTAAATGCCCCTTCTTTGATTTTGTCTATGTTTTTCTGAAAATTTTCCTACTTTCTACAACAGAATATTTTACCACGTGAAAATGAAAATATTACTGAGCCTCAAAACTTTTCAGAGTTTATGGTTCTATATAATTTGACCTGTGAGAAGAACTGATACAATTTTCAGGTATCATTTCAAGAGGAGAAATTTATAACTAATGTTTTTAAGTAAGAAATTGATACTTTAGAGTGAATGTTTATAAAGAAAGGAGGATAAAGGCACAAAATTATAATATATGTAAAATTCCCCTGAATAAGTTGCATTCCAACTAAATATCGGAGCTGTATTATATTGTGAGCTTATGTAATAATTATAAACTTTCTGGAGGAATATATATTGTTAAAATGAATTATTACTGTATGTTGGTGATACATTTTAGTTATTCACACAAAAACAACCATAGGACTGGAACTTTAAAGTGTATGAGAATTTATTCCCAGTCCTAAATGGAATATATTTTTAATGTTATCAATACTTGGGGTGAATGAAGGTGAGTTGGTGGTACCCATTAAATATCAAGGTTAGGAGTGGTGGCTGGAAAATCAACCCTGGTGGAAGTTTAGGAATACCACGGTTCAATTATGTACATTTCTGTCTGTGAGTTATGGAGCAATAAGACTTAAAACAAGACTTAGGCTGGGCACAGTGGCTGACGCCTATAATCCCAACACTTTGGGGGACCGAGGTGGGCGGATCATCTGAGGTCGGGAGTTCGAGACCAGCCTGATCAACATGGAGAAACCCCGTCTCTACCAAAAACACAAAATCAGCTGGGCGTGGTGGCGCATGCCTGTAATCCCAGCTGCTCAGTAAGGCTGAGGCAGGAGAATTGCTTGAACCTCGGATGTGGAGGTTGCGGTGAGTCGAGATGGCGCCACTGCACTCCAGCCTGGGCGACGAGAGTGAAACTTGGTCTCAAAAAAAAAAAAAAAAAAAAAAAAAAAGACTTAAAACGTAAGACAAGTCTTTGATAAGACTCAAAACAAGATGGAGCAATGACTTAAAATAAGGGATACATTGTATAGAAATGAAGAGATATAATTTAATACTATCTCATTAAAGTCAGTGGGGTTCAGTGGAAACAGCCCAGGCAGGGGAATCAGAGGTCTCAGGTCTGTGTTCTGGCTCTGTTACTTACTAGCTGTGTGTCTTTGCACAAATTATTTGATTCCCATACGCTTCAGGTCTTCCCCCTATAAAATTCAGATACGAATTCTTACCCTGCCTACCTCCCAGGTGATTATTAGCAGCACATGGAATAACACATTTTAAAACATTTATAAATATCAGAATACTATGGAATAACAAACATAGGGCTTTATTTTTATTTTGAAAGTTATGTGGTTGAAAAAGTGTCAACCAGCACCCTTCTGGGTTTCTTGTTTTTTTTTAGGTGCTCGGGAAACCTAAATCCAAAGGACTGACACTAAATTGAATTAGGAAATTAAATTTGTTCCAAAAAATTATACTGTATCACAAAGTTCTATCACTAGTACTATGGCAAAGTACTGTTTATCATATTAGCCTCTCTATAAATGTATACAATTACTCATATCTTTTTCTCTTTTCTTCTAGAGTTCTCGAAGTGTGGTCCCTGTACCCATAGCATCAGCACCACCTGAGAACTTGTAAAAAATGCAAAGTTAGAAACTCTGGGGGTTTCTCCAATTTTTCTTTTTTCTGAGATGGGGTCTCTCTCTGTCGCCCAGGTTGGAGTGCAGTGGCACGATCTCAACTCACTGTAACCTCTGGCTCCCGGGTTCAAGCAATTCTCCTGCCTCAGCCTCCCAAGTAGCTGGGACTACAGGCACGTGCCACCATGCCCGGGTAATTTTTGTAGAGAAAAGTTTCGCCATGTTGGCCAGGCTGGTCTTGAACTCCTGACCCCAGGTGATCTGCCCACCTCGGCCTCCCAAAGTACTGAGACTACAGGAGTGAGCCACTGCGCTCGGCCTGTTTCTCTATTTGTTTTAACAAACTCTCTAGGTAATTCTGCTGCACAATAAAATTTGAGAATTATCATTCTAAAGAAATCCTAACTTATGTGACATAGACCTCTAAACAAATGTAATCTTTAATTACTTTAATTAAAAATGTATTGACTGGATACACACAAACATAAAGATGGGAATAATAGATTTCAAATTCTGAGATTCCAAAAAGGGGGAGGGAGGGAGTAAGGATTGAAAAGCTACTTGGGTGATGGAATCATTAGAAGCCCAAACCTCAGCATCATGTAATATACTCATGTAACAAACCTGCACGTGTACTCCCGAATCTAAAATTTTTTAAATGTATTGATTAACTGTTAAATGCCATGTGTTCTGTATATGAACCTTTCTATTTAGTTTTCTTTTCAAACTTTTAATTTAAACATTTTAATTTATTTTAATTTTAAAATTATTTTAGGTTTTTAATGAAACACATAATAATTGTACATATTTATGGGAAATGTGATGATTTGATACATATATATCGCATAATAATCAAATCAGGGTAATTAGCATATCCATCACTTAAAACATTTATCATTTGTTTGTGTTGGGAACATTCAAAATCCTCTTTTCTAGGTAGTTTGATATATAATACTTTATTGTTGACCATACTGTTACCCTACTGTGCAACAGAACACCAAAATATGTGATATTATTACCCTGCTGTGCAATAGAACACCAAAACTTATTCTAATTGTAACTTTACAGAACACCAAAATATGTGATATTATTACCCTGCTGTGCAATAGAACACCAAAACTTATTCTAATTGCAACTTTGTACCCATTGACCAACTTTTTTTTTTTTTTCTTTTCTTTTTAAGAAGGAGTTTCACTCTTTTTGCCTAAGCTGGAGTGCAATGGCATGATCTCTGCTAACTGCAACCTCCGCTTGCCTCTAATTTTTCTTATTTTATTTTTTTTAAGATGGAGTTTCACTCTTTTTGCCTAAGCTGGAGTGCAATGGTGTGATCTCGGCTAAGTGCAACCTCCGCTCGCCTCCCAGCCTAAAAACAAACGCCATCGCCTGAACAGGGACTTGAACCCTGGACCCTCAGATTAAAAGTCTGATGCTCTACCAACTGAGCTATCCAGGCTACCCATTACTCAGTTTCTCCCCATTCTCCCTTTCCCCTAATCTCCCTGCCTCTGGTGGCCACTGTCGTACTCACCACTTCTACAAGACCAACTCTCTAGATTCCCGTGAGTGAGATCGTGCTGTATTTGTCTTTCTGTGTTTGGCTTATTTCACTTAACATAATGCCCTCCAGATTCATCCATGTTGTTGCAAATGACAGGATTCCATTCTCTTTTATGGCTGAATAGTATTCCACTGTGTATATATACCACATTTTCTTTTTCTTTGTTTTTGAGACGGAGTTTCGCTCTTATTGCCCAGGCTGGAATGCCATGGCATGATCTCGGCTCACCGCAACCTCCATCTCCTGGGTTCAAGCGATTCTCCTGCCTCAGCCATCTGAGTAGCTGGGATTACAGGCATGTGCCATCATGCCTGGCTAATTTTATATTTTTAGTAGAGATGGGGTTTATCCATGTTGGGCAGGCTGACCTCGAACTCCTGATCTCAGGTGATCTGCCCGCCTCAGCCTCCCAAAGTGTTGGGATTACAGGCATGAGCCACCGCGCCCTGCCATATATCACATTTTCTTTAACCATTCATCTGTTATTGAACACTTAGCTTGATTCTATATCTTGGCTATTGTAAATAATGCTGCGATAAACATGAAAGTACAGTTACCTTTTCAACGTACTGTTTTCATTTCATACCTAGTAGGCTGGGAGCGGCAGCTCATGCCTGTAATCCCAGTGCTTTGGGAGGCCGAGGCGGGTGGATCATGAGGTCAGGAGTTCAAGACCAGCCTGACCAATATGGTGAAACCCCGTTTCTACTAAAAATACAAAAATTAGCCGGGCGTGGTGATGCATGCCTGTAATCTCAGCTACTCGGGAGGCTGAGGCAGGGGAATGGCTTGAACCCAGGAGGCGGAGGTTGCAGTAAGCCAAGATCACGCTACTGCACTCCAATCTGGGCAACAGAGTGAGACCCTATCTCAAAAAAAAAAAAAAAAAAAAACAAAAAAACTATGTATCTACATATATCTATATATATAGTGGGATTGCTGGATCATATGGTAGTTCTATTTTTAATTTTTGGTAGAACCTCCATATTATTTTCCAAAATGGCTGTAATGGTTCTTTTTTCTCCACATCCTCAACAATAATTTGGTCTTTTTGATAATAGCCATTTGAAATGGAGTGAGGTGATATCTCATTGTGGTTTTGATTTGCATTTCCCTAATTAATGATGTTAAGCATTTTTCCATATGTCTGTTAGCCATCTGTATGTTTTCTTTTGAAAGAATATCTATTAAATATTTTTACCCATTTGCTTTTTTTTGAGCCAGAGTCTCACTCCGTTGCCTATGCTGGGAATCAGTGGCAAGAACATGACTCGCTGCAGTCTAGACCTCCTGGGTTCAAGCGATTCTGCCACTTGAGTCCCCCAAGTAGTTGGGACTACAGGCATCTACACCATGCCTGACTAATTTTTGTAGCGATGGGGTTTCACTATGTTGCCCAGGCTGGTCTTGAGCTCTTGGGCTCCAGTGATTCAACTGTCTTGCCTCCCAAAGTGCTGGGATTACAGGTGTGAGCCCAGCCATTTTGCCCATGTTTAAATAGCATGATGATGATTATTTTGCCTTTGAGTTGAGTTCCTTATCTATTCCAGATATTAACTCCATGTAAGATGTATAGTATGCAAATATTTTCTCCCATTTTATAGGTTGTCTTTTCCCTCTGTTGTTTTCTTTGCTTGCTTTTTAGCTTGATATGATTCCATTTGTTTATTTTTGCTTTCAATCCTTCTGCTTTTGAGGTCTTATCTACAAAACCATGAAAACACACTGCCCAGTTTAATGTCATGATTGTTTCTCCTATGTTCTCTTCTGCTAGTTTTTTTTTTTTTTTTTTTTTTTTTTTTTTTTTTTTTTTTTTTTTTTGGAGATGGAGTCTCGCTCTGTTACCCAAGCTAAAGTGCAGTGGCGCAATCTTGGCTCACTACAACCTCCAGTTCCTGGTTTCAAGTGATTCTCCTGCCTCAGCCTCCCGAGTAGCTAGGATTACAGACATGTGCCACCACTCCTGGCTAAAATTTTTGTATTTTTAGTAGAGATGGAGTTTCACCATGTTGGCCAGGCTGGTCTCGAACTCCTGACCTCAGGTGATCCTCTTGTGTCTGGAATTGGTGGGTTCTTGGTCTCGCTGACTTCAAGAATGAAGCCGCAGACCCTCGCAGTGAGTGTTACAGTTCTTAAAGATGGTGTGTCCGGAGTTTGTTCCTTCAGATGTTCAGATGTGTCCGGAGTTTCTTCTTTCTGGTGGGTTCCTGGTCTCGCTGGCTTCAGCAGTGAAGCTGCAGACCTTTGCGGTGAGTGTTACAGCTCATAAAGGCAGTGCAGACCCAAAGAGTGAGCAGCAGCAAGATTTATTGCTAAGAGCGAAAGAAGAAAGCTTCCACAACGTGGAACAGGACCAAACAGGTTGCTGCTGCTGGCTCGTGTGGCCTGCTTTTATTCCCTTATCTGGGCCCACCTACATTCTGCTGATTGGTCCATTTTACAGAGAGCTGATTGGTCCATTTTGACAGAGTGCTGATTGGTGTGTTTACAATCCTTTAGCTAGACACAGAGTGCCGAATGGTGCCTTCACAATCCTTTAGCTAGACACAAAAGTTCTCCAAGTCCCCACTAGATTAGCTAGATCCAGAGCGCTGATTGGTGTGTTTACAATCCTTTAGCTAGACACAGAGTGCTGAATGGCACGTTTACAATCCTTTAGCTAGACACAAAAGTTCTCCAAGTCCCCACCAGATTAGCTAGACACAGAGGGCTGGTTGGTGCATCTACAAACCTTTAGCTAGACACAGAATGCTGATTGGTACGTTTACAATCCTTTAGCTAGACAGAAAAGTTCTCCAAGTCCCCACCCGACCCAGAAGCCCAGCCGGCTTCACCTCTCAATGGCACTTGCAGTGGGACTTTGCGGCACCTGGCCCCGGCTCTCCAGCAGCCCAAAGGGAGCTCGTCCCCCTGATCAAGCCCATCAGGCGCCGGCCGCCGCGCGAAGTGCGGCCCGCTGAGCCCGCGCCCACCCAGAAACCGAGCCAGCTGGCGAGTGCGGCACGCAGCTCCGGCTCCCGCTCGCGCCTCCCACTCCACACCTCCCCGCCAGCAGAGGGAGCCGGCTTCGGCCTCAGCCAGCCCCAGAGAGGGGCCCCCACAGCGCAGCGGCGGGTTGAAGGGCTCCTCGAGGGCGGCCAGAGCCGACGCTGAGGAGGGGCAGAGAGCGAGCGATGGCTGCTAGCACGTTGTCACCTCTCACTCTCACCTCAGCTTCCCAAAGTGCTGGTATTACATGCATGAGCCACTGTACCCGGCCATCTTCTACTAGTTTTATAGTATAAGATTTTGTGTTTAAGTCTTTAATCCAGATGATCATGCCACTGTACTATGGCCTGGGCGACACAGCAATGTTTTTAAAATAAATAAACAAAATGAAGAGGACCCTCTGAAGGAAGCAGATTGCTCCCACAGGATATGGGAGACACCCCAAATACTGTAAGTGCCTAAACTGTGGAGGTGGGAAAGGGAGATTCTCAGCCACCAAACACACACCCCAAATGGGGAAACCGAAAGTCTAGTTTACACAAGAAGATTCTGAACTTACCTGGAGCTGAGTCAGTTTAGAGAACCAAGCAACATACGAGGGTAGAGGAAGCAGTGGGAAAGGCCCTGGGATCTCTCTGGGTCCCCAGAGAGACCATTCCTGCCTGGCATCACAGGGATCCTTTGGGAGGGTGGCCAGAGGCATGGGGGAAAATGCCACAGGGAGAAGGGAATCTACAGCTGAACTTTGTAACAATTTGAACTGGTTGAGAAGCCTCCTGGCCAGAACTCGGGGAGGGCGTGAATCCGGCAGGCAGACCCCACAGGTGGGGGAAGAATTAAAGCCCTACCTTCCTTTGCAGCTGGGAGGCAGGTGGCCTGGGGTAAGTTCTCAGTCCTGCTTGACCACTGCCTGGAAACAGACTCAGTGCTGTTAGGGGTGGCATGGCGGGAGTGAGACTGGCCCTTCACATTGCGTCGGAGCTGGGTGAGGCCTGTGACTGCCAGCTTCCCCAACTTCCCTAACAACCTGCATGACTCAGCAGAGGCAGCCATAATCCTCCTAGGTACATAACTTCATTGACCTGGAACCCTCACCTCTATTTCCCACAGCAGCTGCAGCAAGACCCACCCAAGGAGAGAGTCTGAGCTCAAAGACACCTAGCCCTGCTCCCACCTAATGGTCCTTCCCTACCCACTCTGGTCACAGAACACAAAGGGCATATATTCTTGAGAGTTCTAGGGCCTTGACTTTCATGCGCATCCGGGTGAAGAGACCACCAAACAGGCTTTGGGTGAGCAATAAAGCGTTTAATCACCAGGGTGCAGGCGGGTTGAGTCCGAAAAGACAGTCAGTGAAGGGAGATAAGTGTGGGGCCGTTTTATAGGATTTGGGTAGATAAAGGAAAATTACAGTCAAAGGGGATTTGTTCTCTGGTGGGCAGGAGTGGGGGTCGCAAGGTGCTCAGTGGGGGAGCTTTTTGAGCCAGGATGAGCCAGGAAAAGGACTTTCACAAGGTAATGTCATCAGTTAAGGCAAGGACCGGCCATTTTCACTTCTTTTGTGGTGGAATGTCATCAGTTAAGGCGGGGCAGGGCATTTTCACTTCTTTAGTGATTCTTCAGTTACTTCAAGCCATCTGGGCGTATGTGTGCAAGTCACAGGGGATGTGATGGCTTGGCTTGGGCTCAGAGGCCTGACATTCTTGCCTTCTTCTATTAATAAGAAAAATAAAACAAAATAGTGTTGAAGTGTTGGGGTGGCGAAAATTTTTGGGGGGTGGTATGGAGAGAGAGAATGGGCGATGTTTCTCAGGGCTGCTTCAAGCGGGATTAGGGACGGCGTGGGAACCTAGATTGGGAGAGATTAAGCTGAAGGGAGATCTTGTGGTAAAGGGTGATATTGTGGGGTTGTTAGAAGAAACATTTGTCATATAGAATGATTGGTGATGGCCTGGATACGGTTTTGGATGAATTGAGAAACTAAACAGAAGATACAAGGTCAGAATAAAAGAAGGAGAAAAATGAGTATTAAAGGACTAAGAATTGGGAGGACCCAGGACATCCAATTAGAGAGTGCCCAAGGGGGTTCTGCATAATTACTTGCTTGGTTGGCAAGTTTTTGGGCTCTATCCTTGAGTTTTTTTATGTTGTCATACACCAGGCCAGATAGATTTAGGTAAAAACAACACTCTTCATTTAAGAATATACAGAGTCCTCCTTTTTCAGCAGTAAGTTAAGGCCTCAGCGGTTTTGGAGGACAACTGCAGTTAAAGAGTCAACTTGGGCCTGGAGGACTGATGAAGTTTGTGATATGTCTGTGATGCTAGGAGAGAAGTCATTAGACAGGCTACAGAAGGTCGTGACAGAGGTTGAAATGCCTGCTATTCCAGTACCGAGAGCAGTAGTGGAGGCAGAAAGTCCTAAACTGACCAGCAAGGGAACTAGTGGAATAACTCTTTTTTGTTGTGTCAGTGTCATGAGGGGAACAGGGAGCTCTTTGGTCCTATTTGCAAATTGAATTTTGGGGGTAAGGAAAACTAGTGTGCATGTGCCTGTCTGATTAGCAGGTAGACACATGTAGGTAGAGGATCCACAGAGGAAGAAGAGACCTTGTGTGAGGCAAAACTGGAGGTGCAAAGTAAAAAGGTGAGAAGGAGTGCTGAAAGGGGTGTCTTGTACCCAGACTCCTGGGGTTGCAGCTAGGGCGGCAGCCGTCAGAGGTTGTAATGGGGACTGATGGGGTAACTGCACAGAGGGGGAGGTTTGATTTTCATGGTGTATGAGAAAACGTTGAGTAACTACGAGCAACCTTTCATTGTTATTTTCAGAGCTGGGTATAAGTAAACAAGAAGAGGGCCTGGGAGGAGAGTCTGACGAGCAAAGGGAAGGTAGCCAAGGATGGAGTGAAATACAGGGTAAGTGTCTTCCTAAGCAATAGTTACTGCTAACGTTTTTAAGTTTGTCAGTATTGATAGAGGGCTTGTCTGTAATATGGAGCTGGAAGACTCCAATTGTTTCAGTGATGTGTGTAGTTGGGCTTTGGAGATGAAGAGTAAAGGAACATCGAGAAGGTGAAAGATTACCTAGGGGAATTCCAGTGGGTCTTTGCCGAGAGATACATAAAGGAGCGGCCACAGGAATAGTAGTTTGTGTTGTGAGAGGTCCAAATATGGGGGGAGTGGAGTTAATATAAGGAGAAACGTTTTTTAAATAAGTGGAGAGGAGGGTGGCAGTTTGCTGATGTGAAATGTCTGGGGAAGTCTTGCTGGACCTGTCTAGAAAGTAAATGAGTTCTTCAGGAGGGTAAAGGTGAGGGCTCTTAAAGGAAGTTCAGAGGTGTAAGGAGACAGGAGATGTTGCTCAGCCTGTCTGTAAAGCGGGGACAGCTGTGTAGGCACTGGAAGAAAGGGAAATGCAAAGCCAGCAGTTGCTCACTAAGGAGGGATTAGAAGCGGCTAGGAGAGAATGGGTAAGGTTGATAGTGTGGTGGAGATAGCTGGGGAGAGGTAGAGGGTGGCATAAGAATGGGAATGAGAATAAGAGTGAGTATAAAAGTAAAGAATAGAACTTCATCAGGGCGGAAGTATTGGAGGGTGCCCTGCCAGCAAAGATCATCTATCCACTCTAAGAGGGAGTTAAGAGTGGCAGTTGCGGGATAGCACCAAGAGATATCAGCTGTGATGGCTTGAAGAAACAGTGTAAACCAGCAGTGAAAACAAGAGCAGGGCATTTATAAGTAGTTGAGAATGGAGAATAGGAGTATGACTAGACAGAAGATAGTAGGGTTGACTAGTTTTTTGGGGATCAGCCCAAGTGGTGAGGGTGACTTCGTAAAGCCCTGTTGCAAAAAGTAGGGTAAGGACGAACAGATCTAATAGAATGAAGGGATGTATTAGGCTCATAAGGGCTATTACTGTTCTTCAGAAATACGAGTGAGTTTAAGGGAAGTAGGGGAGAATACTTGTGACTTCCAGGAGGAAGAGGAGGGATTAGGCTGGCTGTCCGATGGACACAGCTTTATTCTGGAACGGTGAACCCAGTGGGGAGGATCCTGCAGGTGGACGGCAGTCGGGGTACTATAGATTACTAAGTAGGGTCCGGTCCATCAAGGTTGTAGAGTTTGAGGGGTCAGATTCTTAACAAGAACTGATCATCCAGCTAGGGTGTCTTCATATGGCTGGGGATCTGGAGTAGGCAAGAGAAGATTAGCAGCCTGGCAAATTTCCTGTCTAGCCTGTTGGAGGACTGGAAGATGATCGTCTAGAGGGCTGGTGTCTGGGATGAGGTTGGGGCCAAGCAAGAAAGTGCATCCATATAAAAGTTCAAATGGACTGTACCGTGTAGCATCTCGAGGACAGGCTCTAATTCTGAGAAGGGCAAGAGGTAAAAGTACTGTCCAATCCTTTTTAAGTTGGAGGCTGACCTTGGTGAGGTGTGTCTTTAAAAGACCATTAGTCTGTTCTACCTTTCCTGAAGATTGAGGATGGTAAGAGATATGAAGGTTCCACTGAATACCAAGAGCCTGAGAAACTGCTTGGGTGATTTGACTAGTAAAGGCTGGTCTGTTATCAGACTGTATAGAGGTGGGAAGGCCAAACTGAAGAATTATGTCTGACAGAAGGGAAGAAATGACTGCAGTGGCCTTCTCAGACCCTGTGGGAAAGGCCTCTACCCATCCAGTGAAAGTGTCTACCCAGACTAAGAGATATTTTAGTTTTCTGACTCGGGGCATGTGAGTAAAGTCAATTTGCCAGTCCTGGGCAGAGACAAATCCCTGAGCTTGATGTGTAGGAAAGGGAGGGGGCCTGAACAATCCCTGAGGGGTAGTAGAATAGCAGATGGAACACTGAGAAGTGATCTCCTTGAGGATAGATTTCCGTGATGGAAAGGAAATGAGAGGTTCTAAGAGACGGGCTAGCGGCTTGTAAACTGCATGGAAGAGGTTATGAAATGACGACAGAATAGAATGGGCCTGTGAGGCTGGAAGGAGATATTTTCCTTGGTCTAAGAACCATTTGCCTTGTGTGGGAAGAGATTGATAGGTGGAAGTTTCAGCGGGGGAGTAGGTGGGAGTGACTGATGTGAAGGAGAAAAACTGGCCATGAGGGACAGAAGTTGGAGAGCTAGCTGCTTGTCTAGCCACCTTATCAGCATAAGCGTTGCCTAGAGCAATGGGTTCTGATGCCTTTTGATGCCCCTTACAGTCAATGACCCCAGCTTCCTTTGGAAGTAAAGCAGCCTTGAGCAGA
Organism: Homo sapiens; assembly: GCF_000001405.40. Taxonomy (NCBI): domain Eukaryota; kingdom Metazoa; phylum Chordata; class Mammalia; order Primates; family Hominidae; genus Homo; species Homo sapiens. The sequence goes on along the minus strand of NC_000011.10, from coordinate 122,551,604 downwards.
GTTTTTATTAAAGAGGCATTAATGATGGAGGACCCTTGTGTAGTGAGGTAACCTCTTTCAGCCCATGTGACCACACGGTGGTGCAGAATATGGAAGGCATATTTAGAGTCAGTATAAATATTGATGCATAGTCCTTTTGCAAGAGTGAGGGCCTGAGTTAAGGCAACTAGTTCGGCTTGCTCAGAGGTAGTGGAGGGGGGCAGAGCGGTAGCGTCAATAACAGATGTGGAAGATACTATTGCATATCCTGCCTTTGCTGGTGAGTGGCAATTAGGCCTGGTGGAACTGCCATCAATAAACCAAGTGTGATCAGGGTGAGAAACAGGGAAGAAGGAAATGTGGGGAAATGGGGTGAACGTCAGGTGGATCAGAGAGATGCAGTCATGAGGGTCAGGTGTGGTATCCGGAATAATGTGGGAGGCCGGATTGAAGTCCGGGCCAGGAACAATGGTAATTGTGGGAGACTCAACAAAGAGTGAGCATAGCTGAAGGAGCTAGGGAGCAGAAAGTATATGCACCAGGTGTGAGGAAGAAAATAGATTTTGGAAATTATGAGAGCTGTAGAGAGTGAGTTGAGCATAGTTTGTGATTTTGAGGGCCTCTAAAAGTATTAGGGCAGCAGCAGGTGCTGCACGGAGACATGATGGCCAGCCTAAAACAGTAAGGTCAAGTTGTTTGGACAAAAAGGCTACAGGACATGATCCTGGTTCTTGTGTAAGAATTCCGACTGCACAACCCTGTACTTCAGCTGTGTGTAATGAAAAGGGTTGGGATGAGTCAGGGAGAGCTAGGGTGGGGGCAGTCTCTAAAGCTGTCTTCAAGGAATGGAAAGAGGAGTGGAGAAAGGATTTAGGATCTATGGGGTCAGCTAAGTTTCTTTTTGTGAGTTTATATAATGGTTTTGTTAGGATGGCAAAACCAGACATCCAAAGGTGAAAGTATCCAACCATGCCCAGGAAGGAAAGGAGTTGTTGTTTTGTAGAAGGGGTTGGGGTTTGAGAGATCAGTCAGACACAATCGGCAGGGAGAACATGTGTGTTTTTATGAAGAATTATGCTGAGGTATGTAAAGGATGGAGAAGAAATTTGAGCTTTGGAGGGGGGATACCCAATATCCTTTGGAGAATAGATGCTGAAGGAGCAGAAGTGTGTCTTGTTGAGAAGATTCAAAGGAGGGGCTACAAAAAAGAAGGTCATCAATATATTGAATAAGGTGAGAAGTGGAGGGGTGGAAAGAAAGTAAATCATGAGAAAGAGCTTGGCTGAAGTAATGAGGGCTGTCCCTGAAACCTTGCGGCAGCACAGTCCAGGTAAGCTGCTGGGACTGATGGGTGTCAGGGTCAGTCCAGGTGAAAGCAAAGAGAGGCTGGGACGGGGGGTGCAGGGGAATAGTTAAAAAAGCATCTTTAAGATCAAGAACGGAATAGTGAGTTGTGGAGGAAGGTATCGAGGACAAAAGAGTGTATGGGTTGGGCACCACAGGGTGGATAGGCAAAACAATTTGGTTGATAAGGTGCAGATCCTGAACTATCTGTAAGACTTGTCTGGTTTTTGGGCAGGTAAAATGGGGAAAATTGTAAGGAGAGTTTATACGTTTTAGAAGCCCATGCTGTAGCAGGTGAGTGATAACAGGCTTTAATCCTTTTAAAGCATACTGTGGGATGAGACATTGGCATTGAGCGGGGTAAGGGTGATTAGGTTTTAATGGGATGGTAATGGGCATGTGATCGGCTGCCAGGGAAGGAGTAGAGATGTCCCATACTTGTGGGTTAAGGTGGGGGGTTACGAGAGGAAGATGCAAAGGAGGCTTTTGGTTGGGGAGAAGGGCGGCAATGAGATGCGCTGTAGTCCAGGAATAGTCAGGGAAGCAGGTAATTTGGTTAAAATATCTCGGCCTAATAAGGGAAGTGGGCAGGTGGGGATAACTAAAAAAGAGTGCATAAAAGAGTGTTGTCCAAATTGGCACCAGAGTGGGGGAGTTTTTAGGGGATTTGAAGCTTGGCTGTCAGTACCCAACTTATCGGGGTGAGGGAAACAGGCCCTTGAAAAGAAGGCAACGTGGAGTTGGTAGCCCCCGTATTGGTTAAACAGGGGATGGACTTACCCTCCACTGTGAGAGTTACCTGAAGCTCAGCGTCTGTGATGGTCCAAGGGGCTTCCGAGGCGATCGGGCAGCGTCGATCTTCAGTCGCTAAGCCAAGCAGATCTGGGAAGGAGTCAGTCAGAGAGCCTTAGGCTAGAGCTTTAGGGGCTCTAGGAGTGGCTGCCGGGTGAGCTGGGCAGTCTGCCTTCCATGGGTCCCTGCACAGATGGGACATGGCTTGGGAGGAATCCCAGGCTGTGGGCATTCCTTGGCCCAGTGGCCAGATTTCTGGCACTTGAAGCAAGATCCTGATGGAGGAAGTCATGTAGGAATGCTTGACTGCTGCGGCTTAGGCGTGTGTGGCTTAGGCATTTTGAAGTTCTTGCATGCTGGAGGTGTGGCTGGGTTTTGTCTCACAGCAGAGGCAAGTAATTGTAACTCAGAAATGCGTTGCCATCTGGCTGCTTCCTCTCTATTATTGTACACCTTGAAGGCGAGGTTGATTAATTCCTGTTGTGGGGTTTGAGGGCCAGATTCTAATTTTTGAAGTTTTTTCCTAATGTCAGGAGTGGATTGGGTGATCAAATGCATATTAAGAATAAGGCGGCCTTCTGGCCCTTCTGGGTCTAGGGCAGTATAGTGTCTAAGGTTTGCTGCTAAGCGGGCCATGAACTGGGCTGAGTTTTCCTCTTTACCTTGGGTAGTCTCTTTAAGCTTGTCCTAATTAACAGCTTTGTAAACTGCCTTTTTAAGCCCTTCAACTAGGCAGGAAATCACGTAATCTCACCTAGCTATACCTGGGGAATTTGCCTGAGAGTTCCATTGGGGATCCTCTTGGGGAACTACTCTACTGCCTTCCTGGAGGTCTGGCTCGTGAAGCCGGTGGTTATCAGCGTGAGATTGGGCTAGAGAAAAAACTCTTTCCCGATCATCTGGGGAGAGGGTAGAAGTCAGGTTGACATTTAAGTCACTCCAGGTTAAATCACAGGACAGAGTTAGATATTGGAATTCCTGTATATATTTAGTGGGGTCTGATGAGAAAGAGACTAAATGCTGAATGATCTGAGAGAGGTCTGATAGAGAAAAAGGTACATGTACCCTGACTGCCTTCAGCTCCAGCCACCTCTCTAAGAGGAAATTGTTGGGAAGGTGGGGAAGAGCTAGTCGTGGAACTAAACTGTAAGCCAGACCAGGTGTGAGGAGGGGAGGTGATAGAAGGATTATAGGGTGGAGGAGCAGAGACTGAGGAAGAATTGGGACTTAGCTCGGCATGGCGATGAGCAGCCTAGGGAGGAGGGGAAAGGTCAGATGGGTCTGTAGAAAAGGAAGACTGGAAAGACTCAGCGATGCTTGGGGTTGGGATTGAGGGGACAGGCGGGAAGGAAAGAAGGAGGATTTGGGAGGAATCGCATTGGGAACAGAGACTAGGGAGGGAACGAAGTGTGAAAGATGCCTGGATGTAAGGCACCTCAGACCATTTGCCCATTTTTTGACAAAAATTACTTAGGTCTTGTAGGATGGAGAAATCGAAAGTGCCATTTTCTGGCCATTTAGAGCCATTGTCAAGTTTGTATTGGGGCCAAGTGGTATTGCAGAAGAAGATAAGTCATTTAGGTTTTAGGTCAGGTGTGAGTTGAAGAGGTTTTAAGTTCTTGAGAACACAGGCTAAGGGAGAAGAAGGAGGAATGGAGGGTGGAAGGTTGCCCATAGTGAAGGCAGCAAGCCCAGAGAAAAGAGAGAGTAAAGACATGGAGGGAAGGGGTTCGGGGGTTCTTACCCTCCAGAAAAGTGGGAAAGGGGTCGGGGAGCAGAAATAAGGGGTTGGGGCACAGAGATAAGAGGTTGGGGTGTGGAAATAAGGGGTTGGGGCACAGAGATAGGTCGGGGCGTGGAAATAAGGGATCAGGGTGCAGAGATAAGGGGTCAAGTCATGGAAATAAGGGATTGGGGGGTTCTTGCCCCCCAGAAAAGCAGAGAAGGGGTAGAGGCAAGGAGAGAAGGGGTCAGGATTCTTGCCTCTCCCCCAGAAAAGTGGGACTTGCTGCTAAGGGTGAAGGACCAAGGCAGGCATCCCTGCGTGGTCAGACACCTCTGAAACGTGGGTGAATAATCAGAGAGGCATCCCTGCAATGATTAAATACCAAGGGAAGGCTGCCTTCCTGAGTCCGTGACCAGCACCGGCGTTTTGGGTCCACGGATAAAGCATGTCTCCTTTGTCTTTACCAGAAAATGAAAGGAATTGAAATTAAGAGAAGGGAGAGATTGAAGAGTGGCGCCAAGATTGAAAGGAGAAAGTGGTTGAGGGATAGTGAGAGAGGTTGGAGAAGAGAGTAAGAAGAGGCCGCTTACCCGATTTAAAATTGGTGAGATGTTCCTTGGGCTGGTGGGTCTGAGGACCCGAGGTTGTAGGTGGATCTTTTTCATGGAGCAAAGAGCAGGAGGACAGGGGATTGATCTCCCAAGGGAGGTCCCCCGATCCGAGTCACAGCACCAAATTTCATGCGTGTCTGTGTGAGGAGACCACCAAACAGGCTTTGTGTGAGCAATAAAGCTTTTAATCACCTGGGTGCAGGCGGGCTGAGTCCAAAAAGAGAGTCAGCGAAGGGAGATAAGGGTGGGGCCATTTTATAGGATTTGGGTAGATAAAGGAAAATTACAGTCAAAGGGGATTTGTTCTTTGGTGGGCAGGAGTGGGGGTTGCAAGGTGCTCAGTGGGGGAGTTTTTGAGCCAGGATGAGCCATGAAAAGGACTTTCACAAGGTAATGTCATCACTTAAGGCAAGGACTGGCCATTTTCACTTTTTTTGTGGTGGAATATCATCAGTTAAGGCAAGGACTGGACATTTTCACTTCTTTTGTGGTGCAATGTCATCAGTTAAGGCGGGGCAGGGCATTTTCACTTCTTTTGTGATTCTTCAGTTACTTCAGGCCATCTGGGCATATACATGCAAGTCACAGGTGATACAATGGCTTGGCTTGGGCTAAGAGGCCTGACACTGACCACTGCCGGTTCCTCTCGATACTACCACAGCTGATGCTCTCTGGAAAGTGCCACCTCCTGGCAGGCCAACCAACACAAAAATAGAGCATTAAACCACCAAAGCTAAGAACACTCTCAGAGTCCATTTTACCCCCTTGTCACCTCCACCAGAACAGATGCTGGTATCCATGGCTGAGAGACCCATAGAGGGTTCACATCACAGGACTCTGTGGAGACAACCCCCAGTACCAGCCCGGAGCCTGGTACACTTGCTGGGTGGCTAGACCCAGAAGAGAGATAATAATCACTACAGCTTGGCTCCAGGAAGCCACATCCATAGGAAAAGGGGGAGAGTACTCCATCAAGGGGACACCCTATGGGACAAAAGAATCTCAACAACAGCCTTCAACCCTAGACCTTCCCTCTGATAGAGGCTCCCCAAATGAGAAGGAACCAAAAAACCAACTCTGGTAATATAACAAAACAAAGCTGTATAACACCACTCCCCAAGATCACACTAGAGCACCAGCAATGGATCCAAACCAAGAAGAAATCCCTAATTTATTTGAAAGAGAATTCAGGAGGTTAGTTATTAAGCTAATCCGGAAGGCAACAGAGAAATGTGGAACTCAAGGCAAGGAAATTGAAAAAATGGTAAGTGAAGGGAGAACTATTCAATGAAATAGATAGCATAAATAAAACACAAAAAACTTCAGGAAACATTGGACACACTTATAGAAATGCAAAATGCTCTGGAAAGTCTCAGCAATAGATTGAACAAGTAGAAGAAAAAATTCAGAGCTCAAAGACAAGTTCTTTGAATTAACCCAATCCAATAAAGACAAAGAAAAAAATAAGAAAATATGAACAAAGCCCCCAAGAAGTCTGGGATTATGTTAAGTGACCAAACCTAAGAATAATCAGCATTCCTGAGGAAGAAGAGAAATCTAAAGTTGGAAAACATATTTGGGGGAATAATCAAGAAAAACTTCCCTGGCCTTGCTAGAGACCTAGACATCTAAATATAAGAAGCACAAAGAACACCTGGGAAATTAATCACAAAAAGATCATCACCTAGACACATTGCCATCAGGTTATCTAAAGGTAAGATGAAGGAAAGAATCTTAAGAGCTGTGAGACAAAAGTACCAGGTAACCTATAAAGGAAAACTATCTGATCAACAGCAGATTTTTCAGCAGAAACCCTACAAGCTAGAAGGGATTGGAGCCCAATCTTCAGCCTCCTCAAGCAAAACAATTATCAGCCAAGAATTTTGTATGCAGCAAAACTAAGCAAAATATGTGAAGGAAAGATACATTCGTTTTCAGACACACAAATGCTGAGAGAATCTGCCATTACCAAGCCACCACAATAACAATGGCTAAAAGGAGCTCTAAATCTTGAAATAAATCCTGGAAACACATCAAAACAGAGCCTCTTAGAAGCATAAATTTCACAGGACCTATAAAACAAAAATACAATTTAAAAAACAAAAACAAAAACCAAAGAACTAAGATACACAGGCAACAAATAGCACAATGAATAGAATGCTACCTAACATTCCAATACTAACATTGAATGTAAATGGCCTAAATGCTCTACTTAAAAGAAACAGAACTGCAGAATGGATAAGAATTCACCAACCAACTTTCTGCTGCCTTCAAGAGACTCACCTAACACACAAGGACTCACATAAACTTAAAGTAAAGGGGTGCAAAGAGGCATTTCATGCAAATGAACACCAAAAGTGAGCAGGGGTAGCTATTCTTACATCAGACAAAACATACTTTAAAGCAAGAGCAGTTAAAAAAGACAAACAGGGACATTATATACTGGGAAAAGGCCTTTTTCCAACAGGAAAATGTCACAATCCTAAACATATATGCACCTAACACTGGAGATACCAAATCTATAAAACAATTAGTAATAGACCTAAGAAATGAGATAGACAGCAATGCAATAATAGTGGGGGACTTCAATACTTAAGTGGCAGCACTAGATAGGTCATCAAGACAGAAAGTCAACAAAGAAGCAATGGATTCAAACTATACCTTGAAACAAATGGACTTAACAGATATGTACAGAACATTCCATCCAACAACCACAGAATACACATTCTATTCAACAGCACATGGAATTTTCTCCAATATAGACCATATGATAGGCCACAAAATAACCCTCCATAAATTTAAGAAAATTGAAGTTATATCAAGCACTCTTTCAGAACGTGGTAGAATAAAACTAGAAATCAACTTTAAAAGGAAACTTCAAAACCATGCAAATACATGGAAATTAAATAACCTGTTCCTGAATGATCAATGAGTCAAAAACAAAATCAAAATGGAAATTAAAAACTTCTTGGAACTGAATGATGACAGTAGCACAAACTATCATAACCTCTGGGATACAGGAAAGGCATACTAAGAGGAAAGTTCATAGCCCTAAACTTCTACATCAAAAAGACTATAAGAGCACAAACTGACAATCTAAGGTCACACCTCAAGGAGCCAGAGAAAGAAGAACTAACCAAACCTGAACCCAGCAGAAGAAAGGAAATAACCAAGATGAGAGCAGAACTAAATGAAATTGAAACAGAAAAATACAAAAGATAAATAAAACAAAAAGCTGTTTCTTTGAAAAGATAAATAAAATTGATAGACCACTAGCAAGGTTAACGAAGAGAAGAAGAGAGAAAATCCAAGTAACCTCAATAAGAAATGAAATGGGAGATATTACAATTGACACCACAGAAATACAAAAGATCATTTAAGGCTACTATGAACACCTTTATCTGCATAAACTAGGAAACGTAGAAAAGATGGGGAAATTCCTGGAAAGATATAACCCTTCTAGCTTAAATCAGGAAGAATTAGATACCCTGAACAGACCAATAACAAGCAGCAAGATTGAAATGGTGATTTAAAAATTACCAACAACAAAAAAGTCCAGGACCAGACAGATTCACAGCATAATTCTACCAGACATTCAAAGAAGAATTGGTATCAATCCTATTGAGACTATTCCACAAGATGGAGAAAGAGGGAACCCTCCCTAATTCATTCTATGAAGCCAGCATTACCCTAATATCAAAACCAGGAAAGGACATAACCAAAAAATGAAACTACAGACCAATATTCCTGGTGAACATAGATGCTTCCAGCAACATATCAAAAAGATAATCCACCACAATCAAGAGGGTTTCATATCAGGGATTCAGGGATGGCTTAACATATGCAAGTCAATAAATGTGATACACCACATAAACAGAATTAAAAACAAAAACCACATAATCATCTCAATAGATGTAGAAAAAGCATTTGACAAAATCCAGCATCTCTTTATGATTAAAACTTTTTGCAAAACTGGCATACAAGGCACATACCTCAATGTAATAAAAGCCATCTATGACAAACCCACAGCCAACATAATGCTGAATGGTGAAAAGTTGAAAGCATTCCCTCTGAGAACTGGAACAAGACAAGGATGCCCACTCTCACCACTCCTCTTCAACATAGTACTGGAAGTCCTAGCTGGAGGAATCAGACAAGAGAAGAAATAAAGGGCATCCAGTTTGAAAGAGGAAGTTAAACTGTTAGTGTTTGCTGATGATATGATGGTTTGCCTTGAAAACCCTGAAGACTCCAGAAAGCTCCTAGAATGGATAAAATAATTTAGCAAAGTCTCTGGATACAGAATTAATGTACACAAATCAGTAGCTCTCCTATACACCAACAGCAACCAAGTGGAGAATCAAATCAAGAACTCGACCCCTTTTACAATAAATGCAAACAAACAAAACAAAACAAAAACAAAAAAAACCTTAGGAATATACCTAACGAAAAGGAGGTGAAAGACTTCTACAAGGAAAACTACAAAACACTGCTGAAAGAAATCATAGGTGACACAAACAAATGGAAACACATCTTATGCTCTGGATGGGTAGAATCAATATTGTGAAAATGACCATACTGCTAAAAGTAATCTACAAATTCAACACAATTCCCATCAAAATACCACCATCATTCTTCACACAATTTAAAAAAATCTAAAATTCATATGGAACCAAAAAAGATCCCACATAACCAAACCAAAACTAGGCAAAAGGAACAAATCTGGAGGCATCGCATTACCTGATTTCAAACTATACTATAAGGCCATAGTCACCAAAACAGCATGGTACTGGTATAAAAATAGGAACATAGACCAGTGGAACAGAATAGGGAACCTAGAAATAAAACCAAATACTTACAGGCAACTGATCTTTGACAAAGCAAACAAAAACATAAAGTGAGGAAAGGACACCCCTTTAAACAAATGGTGCTGGGATAATTGGCTAGCCATATGTAGGAGAATGAAACTGGATCTTCGTCTCTCACCTTATACAAAAATCAGCCCAAGATGGATTAAGGGCTTAAATCTGAGACCTGAAACTATAAAAATTCTAGAAGACAACGTTGGAAAAACTCTTCTAGACATTGGCTTAGGCAAGGATTTCGTGACCAAGTACTCAAAAGCAAATGCAATAAAAACAAAGATAAATAGCTGTGTCTTAATTGAAATAAAGAGATTTTGCATGGCAAAAGGAACAGTCAGCAGAGTAAACAGACACCCCACAGAGTGTGAGAAAATCCTCATAGTCTATACATCTGACAAAGGACTAATATTTAGAATCTACAATGAACTCAAATCATCAAGGAAAAAACAATCCCATTGAAAAGTGGGCTAAGGACATGAATAGACAATTCTCAAAAGAAGGTATACAAATGGCCAACAAACATGAAAAAATGCTCAACATAAGTAATGATCAGGGAAATGCAAATGAAAACCACAATGCAACACCACCTTACTTCTGCAAGAATGGGCATAATAAAAAAATAAAAAAACATTAGATGTTGGCATGGATGTGGTGATCAGGGAACACTTCTACACTGCTGGTGGGAATGTAAACTAGCACAGCCACTATGGAAAACAGTGTGGAGATTCCTTAAAAAACTAAAAGTAGAGGCTGGGTGTGATGGTTCACGCCTGTAATCCTAACACTTTGGGAGGCTGAGGCGGGCAGATCACAAGGTCAGGAGTTTGAGACCAGCCTGGCCAATATGGTGAAACCCCGGCTCTACTAAAAATACAAAAAATTAGCTGGGTGTGGTGGTAGGTGCCTGTAATCCAAGCTACCTGGGAGGCTGAGGCAGGAAAATTGCTTGAACCTGGGAGGCGGAGGTTGTAGTGAGCCAAGATCGTGCCACTGCACTCCAGCCTGGGTGACAGAGCAAGACTCCATCTCAAAACAAACAAACAAAAAACAACAAAAAAGACAAAGTAGAACTGCCATTTGATCCAGCAATCCCACTACCTGGTATCTACCCAGAGAAAAGAAGTCATTATATGAAAAAGATACTCGTACATGCATGTTTATAGCAGCACAACTCGCAATAGCAAAATCGTGGAACCAACACAAATGCCCATTAATCAATGAGTGGATAAAGAAACTGTGAGATATGGATAAAGAAACTGTGAGATATGTATATATATACATATCTCACAGTTTCTTTATATACACATTGTATATATACACACACACAATGGAATACTACTCAGCCATAAAAGAAATGAATTAATGGCATTTGCAGCAACCTGTATGAGATTGGAGACTATTGTTCGAAGTGTAGTAACTCAGGAATGGAAAACCAAACGTTGTATGTTCTCACTTATATGTGGGAGCGAAGCTATGAGGACACAAAGGCTTAAGAATGATGCAATGGACTTTGGGGACTTGGGGAGAAGGGTTGGAGGGGCCGAGGGATAAAAGACCACAAGTAGGGTGCAGTGTATACTGCTTGGGTGATGGGTGCACCAAAATCTCACAAATCACCACTGAAGAACTTACTCATGTAACCAAATACCACCTGTATTCCAATAACCTTTGGAAAAGCAATTAAATCCAAATTTTAAATCACAAAGGAAGTCTTTAATCCATTTTAAGTAGGTTTTTTTGGTATGGTGAAAGATAGGGGGTTCAGTTCATTCTTTTACATATGGATATCTAATTTATCCAGTACCATTTATTGAAGAGTTGGGTCCTCTTCCTAATGTATGTTCTTGGTATCTTTGTTGGAAATAATTTGACTGTGTGGATTTATTAGTGGACTGTTTTGTTCCATTGGCCTATGGGCCTGCTTTTTGCTAGTACCATGCTGATTTGATTCCCATAATTTTGTAATATATTTTGAAGTCAGGTAGTGTAGTCTCCAGCTTTGTTTTGCTCAAAATTACTTTTTCTATTTGGAAAGTTTTGTGATTCCATTTACATTTTAGGATTGTTATTTATAGTTCTGTGAAGAATGTCAATGGTATTTTGATAGAAGTTGCATTTAATTTGTAGATCACTTTGAATAATGTGGATTTTTGATCAATATTAATTCTTCCAATCCTTAAACAAGGTATATTTATTTAGTTATTTATGTCTTCTTCAATTTCTTTTATTAATGTTTCATAGTTTTCAGGGAAGAGATCTTTCACTTCCTTGTTTAAATTTATTTCTAGGTATCTTATTTATATTTTTGGTGGCAGTTGTAAATGCTGTTATTGATTTCTAGTTTCATACCTTTGGGATCAGATAAGATACCTGATATGATCTCTACCTTCTTACATTTGTTAAGATTTGTTTTATGGCCTAACGTATGATCTATCCTGAAGAATGTTTCACGTACAGTTGAGAAGAATGTGTATTCTGTTGCTATTAGAATGTTCTGTGCATGTCTGTTGGGTCTATTTGGTCTAGAGTGCATTTTAAATCCAATGTTTCTTTGCTGATTTTCTGTGTGGATAATCTATCAATTGGTGAAAGTGGAGTGTTGAAGTCTCCTACTATTATAGTATTGCAGTCTATTTCTTCCTTCACCTCTAATATTGGTATGACATATTTAGGTGCTCCGAAGTTGGGTGCATATTCATTTCTAATTGTGATATGCTCTGATGGAATAGATCCCTTTATCACTATATAATGACCTTTTCCTCTTTTTTTTATTTTTTACAGTTTTGACTTAAAGTTAATTTTGTCTGATGTAAGTATGACTACCCTGCTTACTTTTGGTTTCTATTTGCATGGAATATTTTTATTTCCATCTCTTCACTTTTAGTCTTTGTGTGACCTTACAGGTAAAGTGAGTCCATTGTAGGTGGTATATAGTTGGGTCTTGTTTTTCTTATACATTCAACCATTCTATCTAAGTGAAGAATTTAATCTATTTACATTCAAAGTTATTATTGATGGGTAAAAACTTACTGCTGCTATTTTGCTAATTGTTTTCTGGTTGTTTTGTAGATATTTTGGTTTTTTTCTTTATCTCTTGTTTACTTTTGTGGTTTGGTGGCTTTCTGTGGTGCTAAGCTTTTATTTTTTCCTCCCTTTTGTATTTGTGTATCTGCTGCAATTTCTTTGTGTTTATGATGGGGCTAACATAAAGAATCTTAGACTATTTTAATCTGATAACTTATGTTTGTTTGCATAAAACTTCTCTAAACTTTTACCGTACCCCCCACAATTTACATTTTTGTTGACTTAATTTGTATTTTATATATTATGTTTCTTACAGCTAATTTGAGCTTTAGTTATTTTTACCATTTTGACTTTTAACCCTCATATGAGAGGTTTGAAAGATTTTCATCTCACTATTACAGTACTGGAGTATTCTGAGCTTAATTATGAATTTAGAGTTACTAGTCAATTTTATACTCTCATGTGTTTTCATGATGGTAATTATTCTTTTGCTTCTAGTTATAGCACTCCGCTAAGCATTTCTTGTAAGGCCAGTCTAGTTGCAATGAATTCCCTCAGCTTTTGCTTGTTTGGGAAGACTTTTATTTCTCCTCCATCTTTTTTTTTTTTTTTTTTTTTTGAGATGGAGTCTCGCTCCATCACGCAGGCTGGAGTGCAGTGGCGCGATCTTGGCTCACTGCAAGCACCACCTTCTGGGTTCTTGCCATTCTCCTGCCTCAGCCTCCTGAGTACCTGGGACTACAGGCGTCCACCACCACGCCTGGCTAATTTTTTATATGTTTAGTAGAGACGGGGTTTCACCGTGGTCTCAATCTCCTGACCTCGTGATCCGCCCACCTTGGCCTCCCAAAGTACTGGGATTACAGGCATAAGCCACCATGCCTGGCCCTCCTCCATCTTTAAAGGATACCTTTTTTGGATATAGTATTCTTGGATGGCAGGTTTTTTTTTCTTCTAGCATTTTGAATATATCATTCCATTCTTTTCTAGCCTGCAAGTCTTCTGCTGAGAAATCTGCTGATAGTCTAATGGGGATTCCCTTATATGTCATTTGATGCTTTTAGTCTTGATGCTTTTAGAATTCTTCATTTTACTTTTGACAGTCTGGTTATAATGTGCGTTAGAGCACATTGTTGGTTAAATTTTTGGTTAAGTCTATTTGAGGAATTTTGAGTTTCATGGATCTGGGTGCTCATATCTTTCCCAAGACTTGTGTAGTTTTTAGCTATTATTTTGTTAAATATGTTTTTTTTTCTAGTTTTCTCTATCTCTTCTCATTCTGTAAATCCAATAAATGTGAAAATTTGTTTGCTTAATGGTGTCCCATAGGCTTTCTTTATTCTTTTTTATTTTATGCTTTCCCCCCGACTGGATTTTTCAAAAGATGTGCCTTCAAGTTCAGAATTTTTTTCTTCTTGGTCTAGTCTGTTGATAAAGCTCTGAATTGTATTTTTTAATTTCATTTATTGAATTCTTCAACTCCAAGATTTCTGTTTGTTTCTTTTAAAATGATATCTATTTCTTAGTTAAATTTTTCATTTATATCATAAATTGTCTTTCTAATTTCATTGAATTATTTGTCTATATTTCTTGAATCTCATTGATTTTCCTTAACATCACTATTTTGAATTCCTTTTCAGGCATTTCATAAATTTCTGTTGTTCCTTTTGGATCTGTTACTGGAGAATTATTTTGTTCATTTGGGGGTGTCATGTTTACTTGCTTCTTCTTGTGTCTTGTGTCCCTATGTTGGTATCTGTGCATCTACAGAATAGTCATTGCTTCCAATTTAAAAGTAGCTTTTTAAAGAAAATCCTTTTTAATGTAATGTAAATCAGTTCTACGGTGTCAGTTTTGTAAGGTTTTTTGGCTTTGATTCTGGTGGATGCAGTTGTACAGTCTCTGAGCAGTTTCTTCAGCTGTAATTCATGTCAGCAATGTCTATGTGTGCCTCAATGGCCTAGCTGTGATAATTCATGGTGGCAGTTGTGTTAGTTTTCATATTGCTGTAAAGAAATACCTAAGACTAGGTGATTTATAAAGAAAAAAGTTTTAATTGGCTCACAGTTATAAAGGCTGTGCAGACAGCATAGTGGCTTCTGCTTTTGGGGAGGCCTCAGGAAGCTTCCATTCATGGCAGAAAGCAAAGAGGGAGCTGGCATCTCATGGCAGGAACAGAAGCAAGAGAAAGTGAGGAGGGGAGGTGCTACACACTTTTAACCAAGCACATCTCATGAAAACTCACTCACTATCAAAAGGACAGTACCAAAGGGGATGGTGCTAAACTATTCATGAGAAATCCATTCCCATAATTCAGTTACCTTCCAGCAGGCCCCACCTCCAAACACTGAGGATTACAATTTGACATGAGATTTGCTGGAGACACAGATCCAAACCATATAACTCTGCCCCTGGCCCTCCTACTCTCATGATCTTCTCACATTGCAAAATACAATTATGCCTTCCCAATAATCCCCCAAAGTCTTAACTCTTTCCAGCATTAACTCAAAAGTCCAAAGTCTCATCTGAGACAGGCAAGTCCCTTCCATCTATGAGTCTGTAAAATAAAAAAACAAGTGAGTTACTTCCAAGATACATTGGAGGTATAGGCATTGGGTAAACACTCCCATTTTGAAAGTGATAAATTGGCCAGAATAAAAAAAGGCTACAAGCCCCATGCAAGTCTGAAAGCCAGCAAAGCAGTCATGAAATCTTAAAGCTCCAAGATAATATCCTTTGACCCCACGTCTTACATCCAGAACACACTGGTGCAAGGGGGGGCTCCCTAGGCCTTGGGTAGCTCTACCCCTGTGGCTTTGCAAGGTTCATCTCCTGTGGCTGCTCTCATGGGCTGGTGTTGACTTCCTGTGACTTTTCCAGAGGTAGGGTGCAAGGTGTCAATGGATCTACCATTCTGAGGTCTGGAGGACAGTGGCCTTCTTCTCATAGCTCCACTAAGCGGTGCCCCATTGGGGACTCTATATGGGGGCTCTAACTCACATTTCCCCTTCACTCCTCCCTAGTAGAGGTTCTCTGTCAGGGCTCTGCCCCTGCAGCAAGGTTCTGTCTGGACACCCAGGCTTTTTCATATATCCTCTGAAATCTAGGTGGAGGCTTCCAAGCCTTATTCACCCTTGCACTCTGTGGACCAGCAGGCTTAACACCACATGGAAGCTGCCAAGGCTTATGGCTTACACCTTTTGAAGCAGTGGCCTGAGCTGTACCTGGGTCCCTTTGAGCCACAGCTGGAGTTGGACTGGCCAGGATGCAGGAAGCAGTGCTCTGAGGTAGTGTGAGACAGCAGGGCTCTGGGTCTGGCATACAAAAACTATGCTCTCCTCCTAGGCATATGGTGAGAGGAGCTGCCTCTAAGATCTCTGAAATGTCATTGAGGCCTTTTCCCCATTGTCTTGGCTATCAGCACTTGCTTCTTTTTTAGCTATGCAAATTTCTGCAGCCTGCTTGAACTACTTCCCTGAAAATGGGCTTTTCCTTTCTACCATATGGCCAGGCTGCAAATTTTCTGAACTTTCACTCTCTGCTTCCCCTTTAAATATAAGTTCCAACTTTAGGTCATTTCTTTGCAAATGCATGTGAGCATACTCTGTTAGAAGCAGCTAGGTGACATCTTGAGCACTTTGCTGCTTAGAAATTTATTCTGCCAGATACCCTAAATCATCACTTTCAAGTTCAAAGTTCCACAGATTCCCTAGGGCAGGGGCACAATGCAGCCAAATTTTTTGGTAAGGCATAATAAAAGTGACCTTTGCTCCAGGTCCCAGTATGTTCTTCATTTCCACCTGAGAACTCCTCAGCTTGGACTTCATTATTCATATCACTATCAGCTTTTTGGTCACCATTTAACCAGTATCTAAGATGTTCCAAACTTTCCCTCATTTTCCTGTCTTCTTCTGAGCCCTTCATACTCTTCCAACTTCTGTCCATTACCCAGTTCCAAAGTCGTTTCCACACTTAGAACAGTGCTCCACTTCTTGATACCAATTTTCTGTGTTAGTCCATTCTCACATTTCTGTAAAGAAATACCTGAGACTTGGTAATTTATAAGGAAAAGAGGTTTAATTGGCTTATGGTTCTTCAGAGTGTACAGGAAGCATAGAGGCTTTTGCTTTTGAGGAGGCCTCAGGAAGCTTCTAATCATGGCAGAAAGCAAAGGGAGAGCAGGTGTCTCACATGGCAGGAGCAAGAGCAAGAGCAAGAGGGCGGGGAGGTGCCACACGCTTTTAACTAACCAGATCTTATGAGAACTCACTCACTAACATGAGGACACTACCAAGGGAGACGATGCGAAACCATTCATGAGAAATCTGCCTCCATGACCCACCAGGCCCCACATCCAACACTGGGGATTACAGTTCAACATGAGCTTTGGTGGGGACACAGATCCAAACCACATCAGCAGTGGTGTGACTTTGCTGTGAGCAGTGTGGTTGGCTGGCTCTCAGTCCAAGGTGGGAATGCACGTGGCTGATCAGCTGGGTTGGGGGGCAAGCTCACCAGGGCCAGGGCCTCTGGACTGCTTCTTAGGCCGAGGGTGTACATATATGGTGCGTTGGCTGGCTTGGGGACAAGCTCTCTGGAGGCAGGGCCTCCAGGCTGGTTCTCAGGCTAAGAGCATGCACATATGGCAGGTCCACTGGTTTTGGGCTGGTTTCCCCACTGTGCAGGACTGCCTATTCCTTGGTCAGGGAGGACGGCTGCGCGTCATGTGGGCTCAGCTATCAGAGTCATAGCTGTTCCACTGGGTCTAGGCTCTGAGTAGGAGCACTGCATCCACCTGTTATAGACATGGAAAATAATGGTGGAGCCTCAGAGATGGAGAGACAAAGTTGCTAGTGGCCCAAGAGCAGGACACACTGTAGCAGTACGTCTGACTTCAAGATGGCCCTGTGTTGTAGACACTTGGGTGGGTGGGCGGTGCACAATGTAGGCTCCTACTCTGGAGCAATGCAGCCTTGTGAACTCCAGGCAGCTCTCCGTCCTGGGCTCAAGGCCTGTGAGGACTGTGGGATTCTCCTGTAGTAATGACTGCAAGTGTCTGTGGTGGTAACAGGGTTGCTAGAAGCCTCCAGCTTATCTTTTCCCCACAAGAAGTCACCCCAGGCTCCAAGACCATCCTAGTGGGGGCAGACGGGTTGGCAGAGGCAGAGTGCTTTGTTCCCCTCCATATGCTGCCATTCTGGGTTTCCACAAGGATTCTGCTACTTCCTTGCTGTACTCCAGCACTCTCCTTTAGACCCTGTAGTCAAAATGTGATTGTTTATTTATTGTTTGGGTCCTTTTCGGAGGGGGAGATTAGCACTAGGTACCTCTAGTGGCCCATCTTGCTTAAGCCACTTGATCTCTATTTAGTTTTCTGACATGCAAATTATTATTCTCCTTTTATAGATGAAGAAATTAGAGCTCGGAAAAGTAAGCAGTTGCAAGTCCAGGGCTCTGTCCACTATCCTAAGATTTAAAAAAAACAAACAATGCCCAATTAACAAATGTTATCTAATGTCATTTAAAAATAGCATATTTGTTATTGTTGCTGTTTTCATTTGAAGCAAAATGTATGCACTGTTATAAATTTTGATGTCTGTCACTGCTGTTGGGGCTGGTTGAGATTTTTTTTTCTTGACTGCATAATAAGCCAACTGGCACATTTAATTAACAAAATCTGTCCCGTGAAAGGTGAAAAGGCATTAAATACAAGTTGACAAGTAATGCACTTGAATAATGGAGAAATGAATGGAAACTTGTAGATGTTTCCAGTTATCTATAGCAGTATGATACACGTCAGCATTTCCCAAGCTGCTTCTAAAAAGCCTTTCATCTGGGAGATAGAAAAAAGGGATCTCAGTCCCCACCCCAGATCTACTGAATCAGAGTCTGAATTTTAAGAATAAATCTAGGTGGTTCATATGCATATTAAAGTTTGAGAAGTGCGGCTCTAAATAAAAGTTTCCTGAGAGATAATAATAGGTTTTCTGTGTGTCTAAGGTACCATTATCAAACAAGCTTAGGAACATCTGCATTTAACAGGTGGATTTTAACAAAGCCAAACAGGTATTCTATCCTGCATTGCAAAGGTCTGACAGGAGATTATAGTAGGAGAAGTGTTTCTCAAATTTAAGGCCTGTTAAAACTATGGTTCACTAACCTATAAGATAAATATCCTCAGAAACATGCTCACTTTTCTATTTCCTCCTCCATCTTTTGTTTGTCTAGACACTACAGCATAATTATAATACACAGTTACTCCATCAAGGCACTGGATAAAACACTAAACAGATAATTCCATTTATCTTATGAAGGAGTTATTGATATTGCTGTTTTACAGGTATATAGATCGAGGCACAGAGATATTAATTAATTAGTTCAGGATCACACAGATCCTAACTGGAAGGGCTGGGATTCAGATGCAGGTGGTCTGGAGCTATAGCGTCTGTGCTCTTAATCACTAATCTCTATGCTTGTTCTGATCTGTATGCCTCCAAAGCCTGTGGTATGTAAAGACTTGTGAGGAAAAGTAAACAATAACCACGAATGTTTTAAAGGATTTAAAAGCACTTGACTTTATTTAGTGTATAAATAGTATTTTAAAAATAGTATTTATTTTTGAATAGTTAATGCACTTATATGGCTCAAGAATCAAAACCTAGAATGAATATTTGGTGCACACACAGTCTTTCTCCACCTCTGTCCTCAGCCAACCATTTGCCCTTTCTGGGAGAAATGTTCTCAGTCACTTGTGTGTCTTTTCACAACCATCTTAGCAAATGCCTACATGTATGTATTTTTATATATTCCCTCTTTCAACCTTTTTCAGACAAATGGTAGAAGACTGTACATTTTTCATATTTTATACATGTGTGTTTTATTAACAATATATCTCTTTTTTTTCTGTTTTTTTTTTTTTGTTGTTTTTTTTTTTTTGAGACAGAATCTTGCTGTTGCCCAGGCTGGGGTGCAGTGGTGCGGTGTTGGCTCACTGCGACCTCCGCCTCCTAGGTTCAAGTGATTCTCATGCCTCTGCCTCCTGAGCAACTGGGATTACAGGCGTGCACTACCATGCCCAGCTAATTTTTGTATTTTTAGAAGAGACAGACAGGGTTTCACCATGTTGGCCAGGCTGGTCTTGAACTCCCTATCTCAGGTGATCCGCCCACCTTGGCCTCCCAAAGTGCTGGGATTACAGGCGTGCGCCACCATGCCCGGCAACAATATGTCTTGAAACACATTTCACATCAGTACACAAAAGGCTTCCTCATTCTTCTTTAAGAGATGCTTAATATTCTATTGGATGCATATACAATAATTTAACCCATACTCTATTGCCAGGCCAGTTGTTTGCAATGTTTTGCGATTTCAAACACTACTGTAATATATAACCTTGCATTTTCATTATCTTGCAGGTTCACAAGCAAATTTGTAGAACAAATTATGGTCTTCTGGAACATCTTAAAATTTCCATTCTAGATTGTCCACAGTTCTTGCTTCTTGGGTATTAAAGTTATACTCCCAGGTATTTTAGGTTTTTTTTTTTTCCTACTCCTTTGTTATATCTTCTCATGCTTGTATTTTTTTCTTTTCTTTTCTTTTGAGATAGACTCTTGCTCTGTTGCCCAGGCTGGAGTGCAGTGTCGCGATCTTGGCTCACTGCAACCCCTGCCTCCCTTGTTCAAGTGATTCTCCTGCCTCAGCCTCCTGAGTAGCTGGGATTACAGGTGCCCACCAGCACACCAAGCTAATTTTCATATTTTTAGTAGAGATAGGGTTTCACTATGTTGGCCAGGCTCTTCTCAAACTCCTGACCTCAAGTGATCCATCCTCCTCAGTCTCCCAATGTGTTGGGATTACAGGTGTGAGCCACTGCGCATGGTCTAATCCTGGTATTTTTGAGTTCTATTCATTTTTGTATTTCAATTGTGTACCCATTTATCTTTCTGAATTTTCTTATTGTATTGGCCAGAAACTCTAAAACAAGGGTCAACAAATGACAGCCTATGGACCAAATCTAGCCTGCCACCTGTTTTTGTAAATAAAGTTCTATTGGATCACAACCACATCCATTCATTTATGTACCATCTATGGCTTTTGCCTTACAGTTGAGTAGTCGTGACAGAGACATTATGGTTTACAAATAACTGCTACCCAGCATTTTATAGAAAAAGTTTGCCCATCTCTACTCTAGAATAATATCAAATACTAAATCATAATTAATAATGGAATCCTTATTTTGTTTTTGACTTTAATCAGAATGCTTCTGGTGTCTCCCCATTGTATAATGCCACAGTGGCTTTTAAAACATATTTGCAAATTTTTGACAGTCTCTTTTTAAGTGATGGAATCTATGCATCTTCTTCTTGAACTTGGATAGGGCTTTATGGCTGTCTCAAGAAATACAGCGCAACAAAGTTTGCTCTGTCGGCTTTCCCAGAAGGGTAGAAAAGGCTATGCCAATTTCTCTCTACTGGGACACTCACTTTGGGCACCTTTAGCTGTCATTTAAAAAATCCAGCTCTCTTGAGGTCCCTACCTGGAGGTCTCATATAGAGAGGAATGCAAGAGAAGCTTCAGCTGCTGCAGCCCCGGCTGTTTCAGTCTTTGCAGCCTGGGCACCAGACATTGAAGTGAAAAACCTTTGGAGGTGGCCTGAGCCACAGCCACTGTCTGGCAGTAACTCTGACAGACCCTGGCCTGAGCCACAGCCACTGTCTGGCAGTAACTCTGACAGACCCTGGAAAAAGCATCCTAGCAAAGCCTATGCAACCTCCAGATTTGTAAGCAAAATGAATAATTGTAATTGTTTTAAAGCCACTATTTTTTTAACTTTTATTTTAACTTCAGGGGTATAAGTGTAGGTTTGTTACACAGGTAAACTTGTGTCATAGGGGTTTGTTGTACAGATTGTTTCATCACCCAGGTATTAAGCCTAGTACCTATTAGTTATTTTTCTTAATCCTTTCCCTTCTCCCACCCTCCACCTTCCAAAAAACCATAGTGTGTGCTTATTCTCCGCTATGTGTCCATGTGTTCTCATCATTTAGCTCCCACTTATAAGTGAGAACATGTGAAATTTGTTTGCCTCTTCCTGTGTTAGTTTGCTAAGGATTACAGCCTCCAGCTCCATCCATGTTCCCACAAAAGACATGATCTTGTACTTTTTTATGGCTGCATAGTATTCTATGGTGTATGTGTACACCATTTTTTTTTATCCAGTCTATCATTGATGGCCATTTAGTTTGATTCCATATCTTTGTAAAACCACTATTTTTTTAAATGCATTTGGTGCATAGTAATAGACAAGTGCAATGCAGACTTTTTAGTATAGTTAGATGTACCTTTATCATGTTAAGGAAGACTCCATTTATTCTTAATGGGGTTTTTAAATTTAAAAAATTAGTATTATATGTAACTAATGGCTTTTCAGCAGCTATGAAGATGTGTGGCTTTTCTTCTTAGAGCTATTATGATGATAAATTATATTAGTGAATTTCTCTCTATCTTTGCATTCCTAATAGAAAATCCACTGGGTCATCATGTGTTATATTTTATATGCTGTTGAGTTCTGTTTAATGACATTTTTTGAGGATTATTTGTATTGATATTCATAAGTAAAATAATACTGTGGTTTTCTTATTTTTGTGCTATTTTTATTCAGTTTTGATTTTAGGAGAGGGGGACCTAGGTTTTTTGTTTGTTTGTTTGTTTGTTTTGAGATGGAGTCTCACTCTGTCACCCAGGCTTGAGTGCAGTGGTGTGATCTCGACTCACTGCAACCTGCATCTACCAGGTTCAAGTGATTTTCCTGCCTCAGTCACCCAAGTAAGCAGGACTACAGGCACATGCCACCACACCTGGCTAAATTTTGTATTTTTAGTAGAGACAGGATTTCACTATGTTGGCCAGGCTGGTCTTGAACTCCTGACCTCAGGTGATCCACTTGCCTTGGCTTGCCAAAGTGCTAAGGTTACAGGCATGAGCCACCGTGTCCGGCTTGACATAGGTTTTAAGAAGACTGATGCTTCTACAATTTGGGGGGCACTCCAAGAAAAAGAACAGTGAGTTACTAATATAAATTTTGGGCCAGGGCTTTGGAAGGAGCCCTTGCTAGAGAAGAATTGTAAAATTTAATCTTCTTTAGCTTTGTTTTATGCCTGTTGCCAGGTGTCAGTGTTATTCTTACATTATAAAAATTTTTGCTAGTCTAGTTAGTGGTCTATTTATTATTTTTTTTTTTCAGAAAACTAGCTCCTTGATTCATTGATCTTCTGCATGGTTTTTCATGTCTCAATCTCGTCAGTTCAGCTGTGATTTTGGTTATTTCTTGTCTTCTGCTAGCTTTGGGACTGGTTTGCTCTTGGTTCTCTCATTCTTTTAGTTGTGTTACTATGTGGTTAAATTGAGATCTTTCTAACTTTTTTACGTGGACATTTAGTGCTGTAAATTTTTCTCTTAACGCTGCCTTAGCTATGTCCCAGAGATTCTGGTATGTTGTTTCTTTGTTCTCATTAATTTCAAAGAACTTCTTGATTTCTGCCTTAATATGATTATTTACCCAAAGTCATTCAGGAGCAGGTTATTTGCTCAAAAGCTCCTTACACTGATAAACAACTTCAGCAAAGTCTTAGGATACAAAATCAATGTACTAAAATCTCTAGTACTCCTATACACCAACAATAGTCAAGATGAGAGCCAAATCAGGAACAAAATCCTATTCATAATTGCTATGAAATAAAATAAAATACCTAGGAATCAGCTAACCAGGGAGGTTAAAGATCTTTATAAGGAGAACTACAAAACCCTGCTCAAAGATATCAAAGAGGACACAAACAAATGGAAAAACATTCCATGCTCATGGATAGGAAGAATCAATATCATTAAAATGGCTATAATATTCAAAGCAATTTATAAAGTCAATGTTATTCCTATTAAACTACCAATGACATTCTTTACAGAACTAGAGAAAACTATTTTAAAATCTATATGGAATCAAAAAAGAGCCCAATAGCCAAGGCAATTCTAAGCCAAAAGAATAAAGCTGGAGGCATCATGCTACCCAGCTTCAAACTATACTACAGGACTACAGTAACCAAAACAGCATGGTACTAATACAAAAACAGACACATAGACCAATGGAACAGACTAAAGAGTGCAGAAATAAGGCTGCACATCTTCAACAAACATGACAAAAACAAGCAATGGAGAAAGGACTCCTTATTCAATAAATGATGCTGTGATAGCTGGCTAGTCATATGCGGAAGATTGAAACCAGACCCTTTCCTTACACCATATACAAAAATTAACTAAAGATAGATTAAAGACTTAAATATAAAAACCCTGGAAAATAACCTAGGCAATACCATTCTGGACATAGGAACAGGCAAAGATTTCATGATATAGATGCCAAAAGCAATTGCAATGAAAGCAAAAATTGACAAATGGGATCTAATTAAACTAAAGAGCTTCTGCACAGCAAAAGAAACTGTCAACAGAGTGAAGAGACAACCTACAGAATGGGAGAAAATTTTTGCAAACTATGCATCTGACAAAGACCTAATATCTAGCATCTTTAAGGAACTTAAAACAAATTTAGAAGAAAAATGCAAACAACCCCACTAAAAAGTAAACAAAGAACATGAACAGACACTTTTCAAAAGAAGCCATACATATGGTCAACAATAATATGAAAAAAAGATCAACATCACTGACCATTAGAGAAGTGTAAATCAAAACCACAGTGAGATACCATCTCATGCCAGTCAGAATGGCTATTATTAAAGTAAAAAAAAAAAAATAACAGATTCTGGTGAGGTTGCTGAAGAAAAGGAATGCTTATACACTGTTTTTGGGACTATAAATTATTTCAAACATTGTGGAAGATGGTGTGGTAATTCCTCAAAGACCTAAAAAGAGAAATACCATACAACTTAGCAATCCCATTAATGGGTATATACTCAGAGGAATATAAATCATTCTACAATACAGACACATGCACATGTATGTTCACTGAAGCACTATTCACAATAGCAAAAACATGGAATCAACCTAAATGCTCATCAATGGTAGACTGGATAAAGAAGACGTGGTACATGCCATGGAATACTATGTAGCCATTAAAAATAATGAGATCATGTCTTTTGTGGGAATGTGGATAGAGCTGTAGGCTAAAATCCTTAGCAAACTAACACAGGAACAGAAAACCAAATACCACATGTTCTCACTTATAAATGGGAGCTAAATGATGAGAACACATGATCACATGGACACATAGAGGGGAACAACACACACTGGGGCCTATCAGAGGGTAGAGGGTGGAGGAATCAGGAAAAATAACTAATGAGTACTGGGCTTGATACCTGGGTGATGAAGTAATCTGTACAACAAACCCCCATGACACAAGTTTACCTATGTAACAAATCTGCACATGTACCTCTGAACTTAAAAGTTTAATTAAAAAAATTTTTTAGAAGTTTATCTTATTTTTCTTTGGAGCAGCATAAATAATATTTCAAATCACAAAAAGAAAACAAAATCACTTCATATCAGCATTGTATGGAACTTTCCATTTTTCTGTGTCCTATTATAGCTCTGTCTTTACAGATACATTTTTTTACCTAGTTCATTCATTACTGAATACCTATCATGTTAAAGACATTGCAACAGGTACCATGGACTTAGCAGTAAAAGAGAGAATACATGTTTCACAAGTTAGAAGCAGTGGTAGATAAATGTGCACACAATTACAGTACTCATTGAGTGCTGTCTTGGAGGAAAGTGAAAAGCACCACGGAGGACATAGGAGTGGCATCTAACACAGACTGGGAGGGCACTGCAGGGGAAGAGGAGCATTCAAAAAAGGCCTCCTAGAGAGGCCAGCATCTAAGTTAAATTAAGGTGAAGAAATACTTTCTTATTTTGCTTTTTCCACTTAGCTAAAAGTCATAGTGGACTCCAACGACACTTTCATGACTCTAAAAGTCCTTCCAGAAAGCTTGATTGGTTACCTGGTAGGAGACCCTGAAACTGCCTAGCTGAGGCATGAGCTGGTTCAGGGGCACATGGTCAGTCAACAGATCCACTTGGTGTCATGGGCAAATTGAGACCCAAGCTGGAAGACAGAACCAGAAATGTGAAGAGATCTGGGGGTTGAATACGGGGCATTGCAGCTGAATCTGGAGACCAGATATTTCTAAGTAGGACTGCTTCATCCTCCACAATTTTAAGAAGTGATATCTTCTGTTTCGGGTGAAAGGTTTAGTATGGATTGGACAGGGGAATAATTTCACCTGGCCAAAATCCTCAGTTGGGAGGGTTTTTTTTCTGAGGTCACATGAGGTCTTCACTGAATATCTGTGCTTCCTAGTGTCTTCCAAGGTTCCTGAGGACCTAATATTGGTTCCTACTGGTTACTTTCCTGTTCTGGGATTCCCTTATGCTGCCTTGCTTGGAAGCTGTGATAGAAAGCGAGGATTTTGAGCAAGGAGCCCTGGGCTCACCTAAGTGTCTGAGCCTCAGTTCCTCATCTGAAATGTTAGACACAATCACAGGGTGATTGTATGGAGCAGGTAGGAGTACATTTGTGAAAGTGTCTTATAAATTATGAACTACTATGTAGATAGCTCTTATTCTTACAGTTTAGAGATTCCTAGTCTTAGAGATGAGAGAAGTGAGGCCTGATAGTTTAGAAATGTCCTGGAAATGATGCCGAGCTTATAGAAATAAAAGGGGCTCCACTAATTGCCAAAGTAATGGAGCCTCAGGTTCTACCTTTACCTGGGATTGAAAGCACCTAGGGAGTGGACTAAACCATAGAGGTGAAGAGATGGAAAGAATTCTCACCAGCATTAGTCATCAACCTGGACAAATAAATGGCTGGTGGTCATCTAGAAACTTTTCATTAACAGTTTTTCCTGGATTGGTTTTAGGAATCAAAGCTTTGGCTTTGACACATTATTACACATTATTGGTGTAATAATGATCCCAACTGCAATCCTTCATATCTGCAAGGCACTTTAAAATTACCAAACACTTAGGCGTACACTATTCATCTGATTATTGCAGTACCATGGGAGGTACAGACAAGACAGATAGGTTCTTTGATGCCCAATGAATAAATTATGGGTAAGTGGTTTGTCTGAGGAGAGAAGGAATCATATACCAGGCACTACAGTACGTTCTTATGATACCCTGTGCTTTTAATCCTCTCAAGAACTCCATGAGAGGGGAGTTTAATCATGGCTTGATAGCTTAGTAATTAAATTTGCAGAGAGAGTAAGAAGTCAAATAAAGTCACACACAAGCAAGTGGCAGATGAGTGAGTGGAATGCAGGTCAGTTCTCTGACTCAAAGTCCTGTGTTATTTCCACCTTCCTCCTTAAAAAAAAGGAAAAGAAAAAGAAACTCTGTCTTACCTCCAATTGTTTCCAAATGGAAGCATATGGTTGGGCTGGTTGTTGAGTCTGAAATAAATAGCTTCTTTTAGACTGTTGAGACAGCCAAATGCTTTCAATATGCTCCCAAGGTTGGTGATTGGGTCTGAATAGAAGCCAGATGTTCTGGATTCCAGAGCTATTTCCTTGTTGCATGCTCTCCCCAACCCCCAACCCTCCATTAAATGGAGGGAAGGGAAGGTGAGATCAGACTGACTGATTTTGCTTTTTCACATCTTTCTCTTTGGAAGAAGGAGGTGAGGGAGTAGTTGAGATTGCAGTTGGGATGAAGCAGGCTGTGGGCTTGGGGTGGGATGTGGACTAGAAGAAAAATCACCAGAAAGAATGTGCAATCGCTTATTCCAGGCCTTTAGAATCCCTTTGCTGCCTGACCTTTCTGTACTCCTTCACAGTTGACAGCCCAGACTCGGCTTCCCGCTAGGAGGAAGTGCCCTGCAGTTAGTCTGCTGATTACTAAAACAGAACCATCATAGCACTTGGCAGCTCCGCTTCCTCCAAGCACTTTGGCAGATTTTTTTTTTTTTTCGATTTCTTGTTTTATTACTGTTTGTCAGACTGGGGAGCCTTTGAAGTTCTTTACAGATCTGACTTTTATCAGAGCATGTAGGAGTTGGGGGGTGGGAAATGGGTTGGATGCAACCCATCAAAATATTCTATTCTGCACCCAATGAACTCACCCCCACTACGTCTTTGTCTGAAAAGCTTTGTGACATGGTGTTTCTATACGTGGCCTGCCTTCCAGATGAGAGAGTGACATCTATTGTCGTAATATGGGGAGGAAGTTATGATTGCTTAATGATAGCATGTCGCAGCTTGTCGCTTCTTTATTTTCCTTTTAAATACTTGCTGTCACAGCAACACACAATTGGCCTTCAATCCTGGGGCTGAGGCTGGGACCTCATGTGGTACAAGGTGGTGCAAAGATGACTTATTGGTAAAGCTGGGGAAAACAAAAGTGAATACAAAATATTTCTGTATGCCTGGCTTGGTTCTCTCCTCCTCCCACCTTGATATGAGGCAGAGGACTTTTGACCATGTTGGCTGGCACTTTGTACACTGGCCTTGAAAGCACCGACACCGGCTTAAGCATGCTTGGTCTCCCAGATTCTGATGATCTTTCCTTGTCTGGTTTACTCTTAGAATCTAGAGGGCATTGTTCATGGAAACAGCAAGCAAAGGGTAAGAATGGTTCAAGTCTCTACTGGTTGCAGCAAATTTATTCATTCTGTGCTACCACTTGACTTAGCTTTCTGACAACAACAGTGACAACAAAAATCATTTCGATCCTATTTAATAATTAAATGTTAATCTCTTTTGTTCAAACGATGAAATACAAATTCCTCATGCCAACATGTAACATCTGTCTCGATCTGGTTCAGACCTACCAAAATCCACCTCCCACCACTTCAGATCCTTTGTGGTAGCCAGGCATCGTTCTTTGTTTCCTTAAATAAAATAATTTAAATTATGGCACATTTCAAACATAGGAAACAACTAGAAAACACATAGACACTTGTGAATCCATCATATAACTAGATGGGTACATTTTAAAAAATAACATTGAATGTAAAAAGAAAGTTGAAAAAAATATGTGCAGTTATATTTAAATTACTATTTAGTATTACTTATGCAAACTTTTAAGCACCCAAAGCCTTTTCTGTTTTCATCTGGCAAGTGTCTATTATCCTTTATGGCTCAGTTCAAATATCACTCCCCTCTCAAGTCTGTGACTTGTTCAGCAGAGTAACTCTTCCTCCTTTGTGACTTCCTGCCACTCATTTATACGGTTTTCCATTACTAGTTAATACTGCTGGTGTTATAATTTCTAATTTCATGATGGTCTCCTCCACTAAGCTGTGAGCTCCTTAAGGATAACGACTGAGTTGCATTTTTCTTTGTCCACTTGGGACATAAACCCATGATAATTGTCTTGCAAGTTTTGTCAGACTAAAATATCATTATATGGCACAAAACCATGATCTAACTATAGGCACACTAAAGTACAATTTAAAGTTTGATTCCCAGTCTTTTTTGTTTGTTTGAGACTGAGTTTCACTGTATCACCGAGGTTGGAGTGCAGTGTGCGATCTCGGCTCACTACAACCTCTGCCTCCTGGTTTCAAGTGATTCTCATGCCTCAGCCTCCCAAGTAGCTGGAATTACAGGTGCCTGCCACCACACCTGGCTAATTTTTTGTATTTTTAGTAGAGATGGGGTTTCACCATGTTGACCAGGCTGGTCTCGAACACCTGACCTCAAGTGGTCCTCCCGCTTCGGCCTCCCAAAGTGCTGGGATTACAGGCATGAGCCACTGCACCCAGCCAGATTCCCAGTCTTAATAGCAACAACAGCTATCTTTTACTGTTTACAAAGTGCTTTCAAATTCATTAACTCTATTTTGCTTCATTATAACTCTTTAAAGTATGTACTGAAGACAGCATTGCTATTAAATGAAAGAAGAAACTGTGATTTAGAGAAGTTAAATGACTTGTTCATTGCCACACAGCTCAGAGGTGATGGAATTATCTCACTGGCTTTAAATGAAATGCTCTTTTATTATGAGTTTTTGAATTGGTGTTAACACCACAAATCAATTCCTCCTTTTCTCTATTCCTTTCTTCTTCTACCTTCCTTCTTCTTTCTCCTCATTTTTTAATTCTTGTAACAAATGTTAATTGAATACCATCTATCTGCATTGTATTAGCTTCTGGGGATAAAATAATAATTAAAACTAGTCCTGCTTGTGGCTCCTGTGGAGATAACAGTCATCTGGAGAACTTGAAATCCTTCTAAACGATACACAGCATGCAGGCTGGTAAATGTTTGGTAACTCCTTGCAAGACTGTGTTATGCTAGAATGGTGGTAGTAAGATGAAATGTTTCCTGATGCTTTGACAGAGTTCTGAGCACTTTGAGATTCTTTCCGAAGTTAATTGGGAGGGGGGGAATTAATTCACTTTGTTTAGCTCTTAAGAGCTCTTCCCTCTGTAGTGAATTGCTTAATGGTAGAGGCTTTGATGCTGGCAGGTACTTTTAGTGGAATATGACTGCTATTGCCCTCTCTTACAACCTGCACTGTTGTGTGGGCTGAAACCAATTAGACCTAAATTAATTAGCAAGAAAATGATGGGCCCACTTGCTGAGCCATTCACAATGCCATGTGAAGAAAGAAGAACAGTGTTTGAAGGATGCTGTGTGTTTCTGCTCAACCCTAATGACTGAAGTATTTCCAAATATGGAAGTAAATTCAAGCCATTGCTGAATTAAGTGGTCCACTTTTTTTAACCCATGAAAGTCCTTTATTCAAAGGCAGGGTAGGAAACTATATAGAACTCCTTATGGGTCCTAGGACCTGTAATAAGCTATGGGATACATTTAGAAGGCACATGGAATCATTATGTAATTTGACCTCTTAAGGCTTAAAGTAGCTGAGGAAATTGATGGTTGAAAAACATACAAGGACCAATATCCCTCCTACATGAACTGTGGATAAGGAGGCTTTCTTCTGGAGGACAAACTTAGCTCTCCCTGCTCTCACTGTAAGGTCTCCTTTGCTAGGTTCTTCCTCTGCCTATTCCTTCAATGAGAATATTAATGGGGCTTAACTAACAGCCCCTCCAGGGCCATCTCATCTCCCCTGATATTAAATACCACCTTTGTGTTGATACTTCCCAGGTTAGCCCACTATCTAGATGCTCTCTTGAGCTCAGACTGCCTATAGGTCTTTTCCTTGATGTCCCATGAGCAACTTAAACAATTATCTTAGAACCTAACTTCCTCCTTCTGATTCACCAACTGGTCACTCAAACGAGAAGCTTGGGAGTCATTCTTAACCCTTTTCTCCCTCTCATTCCCCTCACTAAGGATATTGAGGAGCTCTGTTCATTTTCTATCCTAAGTATTATAATTCCCATATTCATCTTCTAATATTTCTTTCCAACATCCGTTTAGACTAGGCTCCTAATCCTCTGCCCCTCGGTGTATTCTTCTGGTCACCTGTGATGGCTCCTGGTCTTTGGTCATCCTTAAATGTTCATACTTCCTAGGCTATTGCTGCCAAGAGTCTTCTTTTGAACACTGAACTGTACCAGAGTGACCTCATCCACTTCAAGATTTCAGCTGCCATTTTTATGCTGATGGCTCCCAAATGCACGTTTCCAGCTACAAACTCTCTCCTGAGCTTCCAATCCACATATCCAGCAACTAACTGGACATCTGCATGTTGATATCCCACAATCATCTCAAACTCAGTGTCCATAAACAAGCTTATTATTTTTCTCCTAAACCTTCTCTCCTACTGTGAGTAACTGCCCCATCCATTCAGTTGCACAGATTAGAAATCTAAGTGCCATTTTATTAACTCCTTGCTCTCGCTTCCCTTATCCTTATTTCTAAGTGCAGATGATTCCAAATTTTAAAACTCTCCACAAATTTTAAATCTGTCCACTTTTCTTCATTTCCATTGCTACCGTCTTAGTAGAGGGCACTACCATCTCCTCCCTGAATTACTGCAAAAGCCTCTTGCATGGTGATCTTACATATTATTTATTTATTTATTTTTGAGACAAGGTCTCAGTTTGTCACCCAGGCTGGAGGAGTACAGTGGCATGAACATGGCTCACTGCAGCCTTGACCATGCAGGCTCAAGTGATCCTCCTGCCTCAGCCCTCCAAGTAGCTGGAACTACAGGCACACACTACCACACCCAGCTAATTTTTCTATTTTCTGTAGAGATGAGGTCTTGCCATGTTTCCCAGGCTGGTCTCGAACTCCTGAGCTCAAGTGATCCCATCAGCCTCCCAAAGTGCTGGGATTACAGGCATGAGCCACTGCGCCTGGCCTATTTTGTAATTTTCTAATCCAGATTCCACTTGGCCAGATTTACTGGGGAGTGGGGGCAGGATAAAGTCTGGCTCTGTTGCCCAGGCTGGAGTGCAGTGTGCAATTATGACTCACTGCATTCTCAACCTCTTGGGCTCAAGAGATCTTCCCACCTCAGTCTCTTGAGTAGTTGGAACCACAGGCGAGAACCACCACACCTGGCTAAGTTTTTCTTTTTCTTTTTAGTAGAGATGGGGTCTCAATATGTTGTGTAGGCTGGGCTCTGCCTCCCAGAGTGCTGGGATTACAGGTGTGAGCCACCATTCCCGGCCCCACATTGACATTTATACAGTGCTGATGGGTTAATGCCACTCTCAAACTTTAAAACATTCATGGTTCTGCAAAGCTGTGAGGATACATTTTAACTCTTAACTTTGGCTTTTCTTTTCTTTTTCTTTTTCTTTTTTTTTTTTCTTTTTTTTTTTTAGACGGAGTCTTTCTCTGTCTCCCAAGCTGGAGTGCAGTGGCACGATCTTGGCTCACTACAACTTCCACCTCCTGGGTTCAAGCAGTTTCCCTGGCTCAGCCTCCCAAGTAGCTGGGATTACAGGTGCCTGCCACCGTGCCCGGCTAATTGCTTTGTATTTTTAGTAGAGACAAGATTCCACCATGTTGGCCAGGCTGGTTTTGAACTCCTGATCTCAAGTGATCCACCCCGCTTGGCCTCCCAAAGTGTTAGGATAACAGGCATGAGCCACTGCACCTGGCCAACTTTGGGTTTTCAAGACCCTTCAAGATTCTGGCTTCTAATAACCTGATCTCATTTCTTGTGTCACTATTGGAACTTCATGCTCTGGCTATCCTGCACATACTTTTCCAAACATGCACATTTCTACTTGCCTCTGGTTGCAAATACTGCCAATGCCTTCTGATCTTTCAGACCTTATTTTAGATGCCACTTCATGGTACAGCAGGAAGCCTTCATGGCACCATCATTATGTATGTAAATGACTGTTACTTGCCTGTCTTCCTCATTAGACCAGAAGTTCTTTGAGTGCAGGTGCTATGTCTTGTTCATTTTTGTTTCTCCAGATAGAGAAGAAAGACATTCCATTGACAGCTGATGATTTTAAATTTGAAAGATGTCCTCCTGTAGCAGGACAAGCCACAGACAAAACCCCTCAGACACGGAGTTAAAGAAGGAAGGGCTTTATTCGGTTGGGAGCTTTGGCAAGACTCATGTCTCCAACAACCGAGCTCCCCAAGTGAGCAATTCCCATCCCTTTTAAGGGCTCACAGCTCTAAGTGGGTCCACGTGAGAGGGTCATGATCGATTGAGCAAGCAGCGGGTACATGACTGGGGGCTGCAAGCACCAGTAATTAGAACGGAACAGAACAGGACAGGGATTTTCACAGTGCTTTTCTATGCAATGTCTGTAATCTATAGATAACATAACTGATTAGGTCAGGGGTCGATCTTTAAGTACCAGGCCCAGGGTGTGGCGCTGGGCTGTCTGCTTGAGGATTTCATTTCTGCCTTTTAGTTTTTACTTCTTTCTTTGGAGGCAGAAATTGAGCACAAGACAATATGAGGGGTGGTCTCCTCCCTTATTCTTATAGGTGTACCTCCCTCCAGGCTTGAACTTCTGTAACTTGTCTTCTGCACTGCTCCAGGATGATCTTTATGAAATGCAAATCAGACCATGCTGCTCTTGATAAATCTTTCAGCAGCTCCCTACTGCTGCCTTTTCTCAATCCTAGACTCTGGGACTGGACTGAGGCTGATTCCATCCTAGCCTTTACGATACATGTGATCCAGGCCTAGGCCAAACATAACATCTCATTCTTTTGGCCATAGTGACTGGTTTGGAGATGGGCATGTTAACCAATGAAAGTTTTGCTGGGATTTTTGAGAAGGTGATTCTTCTCAGATCTTGTTATTATATAAAGCCCAGGTTTGATGACAAAACAATAGAAGGTGGAGCCCAGCTGTGGAGGAATCCTGAATCCTGATTACTTTATTTGATCTGTGACCTCAGTAATCCTGAAGCCAGCCTTACCCTGTGATTTCAGCTTGTGCAATCGAATACATTTCTTTGCTTGCTTAAGCCAGATGGCTCAAGATTTCTGTTATTTCATTTATTTATGCATTCATTAAACAAATATTCATTGAGCTTCTGCATTGTTCTAAACACTGTTAGGGAGAATGCAGTGACAATGTAGACAGTCTCTATAATATGGTTTGACTGTGACCCCACCTAATTCTCATCTTGAACTGTAATCCTTATAATCCCCACAGGTTGTGGGAGGGACCCAGCGGGGGGTAATTGAATCATGGGGGTGGTTACCCTCATGCTGTTCTTGTGATAGTGAGTTCTCACGAGAGCTGATGGTTTTATAAATGTCTGGCATTTCCCTTGCTGGCACTTGTTCTGTCTCCTGCTGTCCTGTGAAGAGGTGCCTTCCATGATGATTATAAGTTTCCTGAGGCCCCCCAGCCATGCAGAACTGTGAGTCAATTACACCTCTTTCCTTTATAAATTACCTAGTCTTGAGTATTTCTTCACAGCAGTGTGAGAACAAACAAATACACTGTATTTTAAAAGGGGTATTGAAAGTGACCTCACTGATCCATATCTTACAAAAGAACACCATAACATCCATAATCTATCTCATGCATATCTCTCCAGCTAAAGCTAAATTCAGTCTTGACCATGCTGAATCTGAAGTACCCAGGTTTCTTATTATAATGCAATGGTTCTCCATCTCTGAAATCATAAACCTTAATATTCCACGCATATAACCACAATTTTATAAGCTTTCACCTCTTGGTACTTTCATCCCCTTGCTTATCAATAATCATTTATTTACTTCTTTTTATCCACTTCCTCACACACCCATTGCCACCCTGGCTCAACTTTGCCCTTAGAGAGCAACATAGACCTGCAGGATGTCTCTTTAGTAACTCTTCCAATTACCTCAGCTTCTCTGCCATGTTAATTTCCCTCTGTCCTGCTCTCAAAAAACCACAATGCTGTGTCAACATGACCGTCCACCAACTATGTTCCTCCTCCTGTTTTTCAGAGCCTAATTAAGGGAAAACACAGAACAGAACATGAAGATGAGTGTTATGATAAATTAATATCTCCCAGCTCTACCGTGTCTTCAGGGTTGCCTAGAATCTTTCCATGTGTTTCTAATCAACAACTTCCTGCATTTCATTTCAGCTGCTATTTCAGTCCTTTGCTTATCTACACAAAACCCCTCCATGATAATCAACTCTAACCCTAACTCATTAATTATTTAACAAATACACATTGAGAACTTGCTATCTAATAGGAATCATGCTGCATTTTGAGTCATGGTGATGCACAAGGGAAACAAGTGATTACAAATGTGCTGATGATTATAAAAGGGAAGGAGGAGACAGGGTGCTGAGATGGTACTTAACCTGAGGATGTGGACTATTTAGAAGGAGGTTGGAGAAGGCTTTCCTGAAGAAGTAAAATTTAATAGCAAAGGAAATATTCCTAGGAATAGGAACAGCATAGAAGGGCCTGAGGTGAGGAATTGGTAAAAATCCAGTATGGCTGGAGCATAGAGCTTGAGGAGAAAGTGGCATGAGGCAATGCTGGGGAAGGCCATTCTTTCCTTCCTTCATTGATTGTAATATTCATCCAGATATTCACTGGGAGCTTGTAATGTACCCAGCACTATTATCTGGGCTGGGGATTTGGGAGTCACAGCAGATGCCCTCAAGTGCTTGTTCCTATTCCATTGCATCTACTTTTTCTGTACATTCTGGCCCAACATCTGCTTGCATTTGCCAGCACTTGGTTTCTTTGCCTGAGGGCTTTCTTTGGCTGCTGGCATGACTCTGCCTACATCTAAGGTGGGCTGGAGTGCTGGGAAATTAAAGCTCTCAAGGAGTGACCAACAGGAGTGGGCATATAGAAACCCCAGTCCCCTTGCCCCTTGCAGAAGAAGATCTCTGAGGTGTTTGTTCTACACTAAGTTTCCCCTTGGGATGAGATGGCAGTTGCCCTCAGTGGTTACCTGTTTAAACACTTTCTACCTTTCAGATTCTCTCCCCCTTTCTTCCCTACTCCCTTACATCCCTTCCTTTGCCCTTAGAGAGCAACCTAGACCTGCAGGGCATCTCTTCAGTAACTCTTCCAATTACCTCAGCTCCTCTGCTGTGTTAGTTTCTCTCTGTCCTCCTCTCAAAAAACTACAATGCTGTGTCAACATAACTGCCCACCATCTATGATCCTCCTCCTGTTTTTCAGAGCATGATTATGGAAAAACACAGAACATCAAGATGAGTGTTATGATAAATTAATATCTCCCAACTCTACTGGATCCAAGTTTTCTTGAACCACCTCCCAGATAAACTCCTTGCATTGAATCCTTTGGATTTTGTGAAACCTGAATGAAGACAGTGGTAAACAAGATGTATGAGGTCCCCGACTTCATGACATTTAGATTCCGCAGAGGGATACAGACAATGGAAACCAAAATAAACAAGTTATTTTCAGCTAGAATTTATATGATGAGTAAAGTAATTCAGGGCAATAGAGTAGAAAGTGCCTGGCATGGCAGGGAGGTAGGGGCCAGGGAGAGTGGGCTGCATAGATTGGGTGTTCAGAGAAAACTAGGTGGGTGAGGCTCCGTGCGTTCTTCCTCCTGTTGCCTCTTCTTGCCTGCATGGCAATGCTGTGCCAGTTCTTCCTCCTTGAAGCTGTTGTCTTCCCTTGGCTCCAATGATGCTCATCTCCTGTGGTTTTTCTTCTGATTATTCTGGTTATTATAACCCAATCCTCTCCAAGAACTTTTTATCCACCTAAAATCCTAAATATCAGGGTTTCTCAAGGTCCTTTCTTGTTCCTTTTCATTCTCCCTCTGATGGAATCAACATCTCATGGTGATGATTCTGAAATTTATATCTATTGTGAAACTCTTTACTGAATTCCAAGTCCAGATACCCAACCATCAATTGCATATCTCTTCCTAGATGTTCCACAGATGCTGTAAACTGAAAATATCCAAACCTTTTACTTACCCCCCAAAACTGGTCTTCATCTTAAATCCTTTGTGTCAAAGGATAGCATCACCCACATCCAAGTAGTCAGCAAGCCTTTTTTATTCCTTCTTAAATTCTGTTCTGTCATCTCCATTGCCATTGCTGATCATTGTTCAGGACATGATTAAAAGCCTTTACCTGGATTACTACAGCAGCCTCTAAACAAAGCTCTCGTTCTTCCCCCTCCCATCCATCCTCTCCACGGCAGACCAAAAAATAGTTCTAAAATTCAAATTTGCCTATGTCATTGCTATGCTTAAAATTTATTCAGGGAATCCCATCAACTTCAGATAAAGCTCGGGCTCCATAGCATCACAATCAAGATGCTGCAAGATTTTGCTCTTGCTTTTCTCCCCAGTCTCATCCTAGCCCTTCCCCTTCGTGTTGTTTTGTGCCTCTGTGTCATTGCATATGCCTTTCCCTCCCAAGCTTTGATGTCTGGGTTATTCCTGAGCATTCTGAAAGACTTGGCTCAAGCATTTCCACTTCTATAAAGGTTTCTTGACCATCCAAAACAGGAAGTGATTCTTCCCGTCAAGTCCCTCAGCTCCCTAACTGTGGGATTGTCTATAAATCTATATGTCTATAGTGCATTGTCATGTTTTGCTCTTTGCCTATTTCTGTCACTAACCTCTGAGCTCCTTAAAAGCAGGTAATGGGTTATTTATGTCTGTATCAGTGCCGAATACATAGACATGTGCAATCAACCTTTGCCCAATGAATTAATAGTGTAGATTACTCTATGTGCAGGTCTGGGATAACATATGACCCAACCTTGAATATTTTCTCTAAATCATACTATAAAAAGTTCCATTTGACATAAAATGCAAATTGTTTATAAAGATCACTCACCCTGTTCCTTAAACCACCTAGACCTTTGTCTGTTCCCTGGGACAAAGTGCTTCAAAAGCAGATGCTTTCACATTAACCAGCCCATTCCCTGCACTTGCTATAATTTATAACAGAGGGAATTGTCATTTCATCTTTGAATTCTGTTACTTTCGTTACATTTATGTGCTTATATTTTAGATAACAGAATGGAGAGGATGAGTTATTCAGTAATTCTTAGTTGTGTTGTTTCTGAAATATGCTTTTGTTCTCCCTATCTCTACTTAAACCAGTCATTGAAGGCACCCATAGAAAACAAATTGAAAAAAAAAAAGGAAACCAATTTGACAAATTTCCATTATGCTTCCTATTTAATTTATTTTAGATTCATGTTGGTGAGGTCTCTCACATATTGTTCACTGTCATACAAAGCACTGTCTTTCTCTGCAGTCAGTCCTTTATTAAGAACTTCTATGCTCAATGTACAATAATAAGGACTTTGCATTTTACTTAATCCACCCAGCCACTCTATGAAGGATTAGCATGTGGGAAACATCTGGAGCCAAGAGAAAGCATGACGACTTTAGGAAACTGACAGCAGTACTGTCTTGCTTTTAGCACTGAAATTGTAGGAGTAGGGGGAGAGTAATGGGGAGAGATGAATAAAGCTGGAGAGTTAAGCAGATGCTACATCTTATTCTTGTACACCGTCTCCAGAAGTCTGGGCTTTTCCCCAAGAGGAATGGAGTGTCACTGGTGGGAGACCTTATAAAATAAGTGTTTTATAAAGATAGCTGTGGCTGCAGAGTGGAGAATGGACTGAAGGACTGCAAGACTGGAGGGGAGAGAGAGTAGTCTGATAATGTAGTAATCTAAATCAATTGTAATGGTGGCTTGAACAAATGTGGTGGGATCATAGAGTCAAGAGATACATAACAAGTAGGAATGCCTTATAGTAAGTCAAACAGGCCTCAGGATGAATCTCTTTCTGCCATTTACTAGAGTGTGACCTCAGGCAATTGAGGCAATTTGGCTAAATCTGTTTTTTCATCTGACACATAGAAACAACAATAGTACCTATCTCACCAAATTCTTGAGGAGATTATGAGGTAATTCATGTTGTGGTAGCCAGAATACTGCCTCCCAAAAGATATTGCTATCCTAATCCCTTGAACCTATGAATAGATGTTATCTGATATGGCAAAAGAGCCTTTGTAGATGTGATTAGGGTAAAGGAAAAATCCTGCAATGGGGAGATTATTCCTGATTATCCAAGCGGGCCAAATCTGATTATACAAATCCTTAAATGTAGAGAGCCTTTCCTGGCTGTGTCTAGAAAGAGATGTGGTGATGGAACATGGGTCACAGAGATGTTACGTTGGTGACTTTGAAGATGGAGGAAGGAGGCCAGGAGCCAAGGAATGTGGGTGGCCTTTAGAAGCTGGAAAATTCTCACTCATTTGTGGGAGCTATAAATTAAAACAACTGAATTTATAAAGCCAGAAAGCAGAATGATGGTTACCAGAGGCAGGGAAGGGTTGCCGGGGAAGAGGGAGTAGGAAATAGAGATAGTTAATGGGTACAAAAATATAGTTAGGCCCAACGAATAAGATCTAGTGTTTGATAGCACAACAAGGTGACTACAGTCAGCAATAATTTGTTGTACATCTTTGAATAACTGAGGGGGCACAATTAGAATGTTTATAACACAAAGAAATGATGAATATGTGAGGGGATGGAAACTCCACTTACCCCGATGTGATTATTACATATTGTCTGTGTCAAAATATCTCATGTGCCCCATAAATATATTAATACATCTACTATGTGCCCCAAAAAATTAAAAATAAAAATTATAAAAAAGAAGCTGGAAAAGGCGAGAAAATAGATCCTTCCCTAGAGAGCCCAGAAAAAAAGGTAGTACTGCCGGGACCTTGATTTTTGTCCAGTGAATTGTCAGGCTGGTGCACAAGTACCCATCTGTATGTTTCCACCACAGAATTGTGGACACAAACATCCCAATCATACCAAAGCCTTCTTCAATTCCTGAGTCCTGCACCAGAAATGCTTGTTGGATAAAACTATCCACTATGGCTTCTGGGGTTTGTGTTGGATTTCTAACATACAAAATGGCAAGATAATACACTTGTGTTGTTTTAAACCCATGAGTTTGTAGTTATTTGTTATAGAAGCAATGGAAAACTAATACACCTGTTGAGGGCTGAGCCTAGTACTGAATATCGGAGACTTTGGGTAGTGAATCAATTGGATGTGGTGATTGATTGGCTGTGGGGAAGGGAGGATGAGTGAACAACTGAGAAGAGTGCTTGGGAATCCATGCTATTGCCACAGTTTAGTTTGGGAAAGTTGGGTTTCAGGACCCTGAGAGATATTCACATGGACCTGTTAGTAGGTAGTTGGACAGGGTCTGCAACTTAGAAGAGAGATCTGGGCTACAGATTCACATTTTACATATTGTATTTCTGCATCATACATACAATGGATGAGATTGCTTCAGTTTATCACTCCCAGAAGATATTTGGGAAAACATTAGTCCCCTCCAGATCCCTGCTTCCTCAAGCTGACTTCCAAGGCCATAGACTCCAGATTGCCCAAGTCCACAAGAGGCAAACCTGTACATCTGTCAGCGATTTTTGGTTGAAAGTAATGTCTTCGACGTGGCCATTTAACCCAGGAGGAGTCTCAAATTGGATGCCACTCCCCATTCTTGGATCGACAGAATCCAACCAAGTGGAATTATTTCATATGTGAGAGCAGTGCCAGGCCACGAATTCTGCCACCACTAACTACAGGTGGCTGATACTAGGTGGCTGTTCAGACTGATTTTCCATTTGCTTTTGTTATTTTTGATTGATTTGTAATAATTGCAAATATTTATGGGGTACAGTGTGATGATTTCTTTATGGTGTGAATACTCGGAATCTGCTCTTCTAGCTATTTGAAAATATGCGTACATTGCTAATTTAGTCATTCTATAGTGCTATAGAACACTAGAACTTATTCCTCCTATCTAGCTATAATTTTTTTTTTTATTATACTTTAAGTTTTAGGGTACATGTGCACATTGTGCAGGTTAGTTACATATGTATACATGTGCCATGCTGGTGCACTGCACCCACTAACTCGTCATCTAGCATTAGGTATATCTCCCAATGCTATCCCTCCCCCCTCCCCCCACCCCACAACAGTCCCCAGAGTGTGATATTCCCCTTCCTGTGTCCATGTGATCTCATTGTTCAGTTCCCACCTATGAGTGAGAATATGCGGTGTTTGGCTTTTTGTTCTTGCGATAGTTTACTGAGAATGATGTTTTCCAATTTCATCCATGTCCCTAATTTTGTGTCTGTTAATCAACCTCTGGTTTTCCGTCCTCACCCACCACCACCTCTGATGCCTTTCCAGTCTCTAGTGACCACTATTTTACACTCTACTTCTATGAAGTCAACTTCAGAGTGAGTTTTATGGTATTAAACATCTTTGTTTTCTAACCAGCAACCTCAGCTAAGAGTGTCATTTCTTTTCTTTTTTTTTTTTTTTTTTTACTTCTTTATGCTGTCACCTATAATTGTAGGAGCTAGATCTGTAGTACTAGTGCTTTGGATGTAGTACTAGTGATATGGAAGTGCTGGGAAGGGAAGAACGTGGTCCCTTTGAATGACAGGGAAGGGGGTAAGGGAAGTGCTGAGTAGAGAAAGGTGGTTCCCTGGATAGAGCTCCACCCCCAAGGACCTAGGTGACAACAGGCGCTCCTGCCTTTGGCGCCCAAATGTTCCATTTTCCAAGACCACCCTGGCCCCCCTCCCACGCCACCATCCTGGGCCTATAAAAACCAGAAACCTTAGCAAGGCAGAGACACAGTGGCTGGATGTCATGAGGAACACATCGTGGAAGAAGACGCAAGCGGCTGGTAGTTGAGAGCACAGCAGCGGAAGAGCACCCGATAGGCACCAGCAGGCGGCAGGCCATAGACCACGGAGCGACGGGGAGTTTGGCTGGGGCAGTCGCAGGAGAGCCCGGATCTCCAAGCGGCTGGTCTCCAGGGGAAAAAATCTCCCTTCTGGCTCCCCCATCTGCTGAGAGCTACTTCCACTCAATAAAACCTTGCACTCATTCTCCAAACCCATGCGTGATCAGATTCTTCCAGTACACCAAGGCAAGAAATCCAGGGATACAGAAAGCCCTCTGTCCTTGGGACAAGCTAGAGGGTCTAATTGAGCTGGTCAACGCAAGCCGCCTGTAGGCGGCAAACTAAGAGAGCACCCTGTAACACATGCCCACTGGGGCTTCAGGAGCTGTAAACATCCACCCCTAGACACTGCCATGGGGTTGAAACCCCACAGCCTTCCTGTCTGTATGCTCCCCTAGAGGTTTGAGCAGCGGGGCACTGAAGAAGCGAGCCACACCCCCATCACATGCCCTGAAAGGGGGCCAAGGGAACCTTTCTCGTTTCACTAGTGCTTTGTCTTGTCTTGGATGTCAAAGTACTTGTGTAGCCTCCATAAGTGATTCTCGGACCTGAGGAATTCATAGCTTCCCTCCCCTAACTCCAGCAACAGCAGACTGATGTATGGATGCAGGCATGCCCCCATACTGACATTACTTCATATTCAGCAAGGCCCCTGGAATTGTCCGGCTGGTGCACAAGCACCCATCTGTATGTTTCCACCACAGAATCATGGACGCAAAACACCCCAGTCATACCAAAGCCTTCTTTAGTTCCTGAATCCTGCACCAGAAGTGCTTGTTGGATAAAATTATCCACTGTGGTTTCCGGGGTTTGTGTTGGTTCAAAGTCCATTGTAAGGAGAGACTCCATGCAATAATCACAACAGCCACTATTCATTGGAGGTCTACTATTTGCTACATCCTGCACTTTACATGTATAATTTCTTACTCTCGCCACATTTTAGTAAGAAGAGTATTATTATTATCTTTATATTTTAGGAGAGGAAACAATGTCTTAGGCAATTTAAGTAAATTGCCCAAGCGAATAAAGTGGCACAGCTTGAATTCAAAATTACTTTCATCTGTTTCCAAAATTAACATTTATTGTTCTAATTCACATGTTAGCAATGTCTATAAAGGATAAAGGACAAATCCAGGAAGATTCAGGACCTTCTGGTGCTCCAGTCCAATGCGTAGGTGTCTGCGGGAACTTTATAACCAATTTCTCCCATCCCAGGGTCGCTTATTTATTCTTTAATTCAACCAATATTTATTGAATGCTGACTGTGCTAGTTGAAGGAGATGTGTCTGTTGTCTTCAAGGAGCATGTTTTCTAGTGTAACAAATAGATAAGTGAACAGACGGGTGCACTATGCTGTGTTAAGTACAACAATAGCAGCTCAGTATAGGGGAGATGGAGGTCCATACCATCCTCTTCCTACGTCGGCTGCCTTCCCTAAGAGAGGCGCTATTAGAAATTGATCGTGGGTCTTCATCTGTGTGCCTTATGTCTCTGGGATGTGTACATGCAAAAATGCATAGATATGCAGTCTCCAGTTTATACTGTCTTCCAGATATCTTAGTCACCTGTATGTCAAGGGACAGCTATCTTCCCCCATTCATAAAATGTCCAGAAAGGACACATAATAGATCCTGCGACAGGACGTCCAGCCAGTACTTATTATCTGGAGGCCGAGGAACAGACCCATGCCTCTGTCATCTCCCAGATACTCAGGACACATATTTGAATCATGAGTGGAGTTCCATTGGTCCCTTGGGGGAAGGCCCTCCAGGGTCACAATAGACTTTTTAGAGCAGCTTCATCGGACCCTCTCCCTTGACAGTCAGGATCCAGCCCTTTCAAAGTGACCATGATCCAGCAAGGTGCTGTTCACTAGACTAAGGTGGGACTTCTCCACATTTTCACCTGGACCTGGACCTCTTACTTTCTGAAACTTTGGCTTTTTTTTTTTTTTTTTTTTGAAACAGAGTCTCACTCTATACCCAGGCTGGAGTGCAGTGGTATGATCTTGGCTCACTGCGACCTCTGCCTCCTGGGTTCAAGTGATTCTCCTGCCTCAGCCTCCCGAATAGCTGGGACTACAGGCATGAGCCACCGCAGCCAGCTAATTTTTGTATGTTTAGTAGAGATGGGGTTTCACCATGCTGGCCAGGCTGGTCTCAAACTCCTGGCCTCAAATGATCCACCCCCCATCGCCTCCCAAAGTGCTGGGATTACAGGTGTGAGCCACTGTGCCTGGCCTTGGCATTTGTTTCTATTCACAACTACACACCA
This sequence comes from Homo sapiens, assembly GCF_000001405.40. Taxonomy (NCBI): domain Eukaryota; kingdom Metazoa; phylum Chordata; class Mammalia; order Primates; family Hominidae; genus Homo; species Homo sapiens. The sequence goes on along the minus strand of NC_000011.10, from coordinate 122,507,813 downwards.
AGTGACTGCTCTTCTTGTGTTTTAGGTCTTCTCCGTTTATGTCCTGTGCCTGACCTGTCTGTTTACCCACTCACTGACCTTACTTTAGCCTCTCAGATTAGATTGGACTGACACCCCAGTGACTCTGAGTACCAAGAACAGGAAGAAACCTAATTTTGATTTCTTTTTGCTTTCCTTATGTGCTATTGCTAGTTGTGCCAGCGTATTCCTTCTAAATAGTGCTTTCATTCAAGAGCCTTTAATGACTCCTCATTCCCATAACCAACATTTTACACTCTTGATCCTGCCTTCTGATCCCAGTCTGCATTCTAGCTCTATATCTCTCTGCTGTGCAGCATGTGCCAACCATGATGGATTACTCCCTTGTTCCAACACATTCGTGCTTCTGTGTAAGTTACTTGATGCCTCAAATATGCTTCATTTCTTCTTTCCCTTTTAAAATTATCCTATCTTCCTGGCTCCTTTATTTCTTCCCCCTTGAGATGGTGCCTTGCTCAGTCACCCAGGCTGGAGCGCAGTGGCTTGATCATAGCTTACTGCAGCCTCAAACTCCTGAGCTCAAGCAATCCTCCTGCCTCAGCCTCCCAAGTAGCTGGGACTACAGGTGCTCGTCCCCACACTGGGCTAATTTTTAATTTTTTTGTAGAGATGGGGGTCTTGCTATGTTGTTCAGACTGATCTAGAACTGGCCTCAAGCAATCCTCTTGCCTCAACCTCCCTAGTGGCTGGGATTACAGTGCCTGGCTAACTCCTACTCCTTCAAGACCCAGACAATGCCTCTCACTGTTGGGGCAGGATCTCTAATTGCCTTTTGCACAGGCTGAAGGGATGACCTCCATTCTTAAGCCAGTTGTGTAATTTGCACATAGCTCCTTGCTATACTTTATGGCAATGATTTCTCTATGTATTCTCCACTAGTCTATATGCATTCTGAGGTCAGAAAGCATGCCTCTTTTATCTGTTATCCTGACTATCCAGGACAATGACTGGCATTATAATAGATGTCTTATTATTGTTTTTTGAATAAATAAATGGATTGTTTTTAACTCCACTTGCTGTATGTTTTGAAAACAAAATTAATTCTACAGTGGTAAGGAGAGATAATACTGAAAGTGTCACTAAGATGGCAATTTTTGACATGAAACCCTTCCAAAGAAAAAGGATTTTAAAAAGTTAGGCAGGTATTGTGGTGCACACCTATCGTCCCAGCTATTGAGGAGGCTGAGGTGGGAGGATCACTTGAGCCCAGGAGGTCAAGGCTGCAGTGAGTTTTGATTGTGCCACTACACTCCAGCCTTGGTGACAGAGCAAGACCCTGACAAACACACACAGACACACACACACACACACACACACACACACACACACACGAAAGAAAAGAAAAGAAAAAAGAAAAGAAAATTGTACCAGTAGAAAAGTGAAGAAGGTCATTTAAATAGAGGACCCTCTACTGCTCAACTTAAAATAGAGCAGGCCATTTAGAGACTAGGGGAAAGTCTGGTGTGTATTAATGAAAGAGGACATTGTAGGAAATGACAGGTAGTCATACCCAGATCCTAAAGAACTCTGTCTGTGGTACTAAGAACTTTAGACTTTATTCTGTGATCAATAGAGGGACTACTAACCACATACGTTTTCTAAGTGGTGGAGTGACATGGTCGGATTCAATTGGTGAGTAACTCTGGGCTTATGTTTTTGCTCTCTCTCTCTTTTTTTTTTTTTTTTTTTTTTTTTTTTTTTTTTTTAAGATATTGTGCATAGGTGTTCTGGGAAGTGGTTCCAAGAAGAGCTTATCATCCTGTACGCTAGCCTCCGGGAGGACAGGGTTGCCTGAGACAGTGTGGGCAGTGGTTGCCTCCTGGCTCAGCCACTGGAGGTCACTGTTGCACCATAGATATGTTCACAAAGCACCGTGATGCCGTTTCCAAGTTGGCTTCTGCCAGGGGTGAATTCATCATCCCCTGGGCAGCTTGGAAGTTCCCTAGTGCAGACATCTCTCTGTCTCCAAGGATTGGCCTGGTCACACAATGTGGTTGAGGGAGAGCTTAGTCTGAGGCAAGAGGGAGAGAGGCTGGAAAGCCTGGTGCAAAGAGGGCTGAGGCAGTCTTCAAATACGGGAAATTTCATGTGGTCTGGATTGCATTATCCTGCGTCTGAAATGGGAGAGGCTGGATGCCCCTTTGGGTCAAGGCGACTTTTCTCTTGCCACTTTCTGGTTTGAATCTGGTTGAGGTAGGGAAGGTTATTATTGTCTTCTGAGTCCCTAGAGATCAGAAGATACAAAACATGTTAGGCATCTCAGGCTCCCTCATAGAGGGAGATCTGGAGATTGGAAGAGGCCTTCCTAGTCCTGCTGGGCTCTGACAACAGAACTGCTACATAGAAAAGGGGAATGGAAACAGAGGCCCGCGCCTTAAACACACCCACTCACCAGTGGTCTGTACCCAGAGCAGGCTTCAACTGAGGCATCCAAGAGAACCATAGAGAAGAGCAGGAACTGATATTTCTAGTGAGAAACTCTGTGTGCCAGGTGTTTTCTATGTTTTCACACTCAGCTCTCATGATACATGTGTGCAGTGGGTATTATTTTTGCTCATTTGCTATTTGAAGAAACCGAGGTGTAGAGCTGACGCTTGAACCGTAAGTCTCCTAAAATACAAAGAGCAAAGATAGTAAAATGACTACTTGTGGGTACCTTTTTAAGAACTTACCTGAGCTTGAAAACTTGGTTTGAGTCATACAGGAGAACGGATCTCTGACCATGCAACTTAGCTAATAACTCATTTTACATTGCTTGAGAGTAACTTCTTCCTAGTAAGTCATAATCTGCTTATGACTTCACATAGGTCCAAAACACTTCTATACACATCAACTAATTTGACCCTTATAATGAGTACCTTATCCCCATTTTTGTAGATAAAGAATCCGAGATTTCAAGAATTTGATTGCCTAAGATCACATAGTTAATTAATGGTGGGATCAAACTCAGATCCTTCTTACTCCAAATGGGGCACTCTTTGCATGACCCGTAATTATACCTCTAGATAAATCTTGCATGATGAAAAGATGTTGTATCATAGCTGAATTAGAAATAAAATGCACTTGCAATTTTTGTAGTACAACATTTTATTTTTAGAGATGAGGAGATTTCAATCCATTAAGTTCCTTGCCCAAAGTTCATACAGCTCTGGGGTGAGTAACATTATCTTCCTAAGTTAAGATTCCCAGATTTAGCAAATAAAATGCAGAACTATTAGAATTTCTAGTATTACATGGGGCCTAATTATACTAAAAAAATACTCATTGTTTATCTGAAATTCAAATTTAACTGGACATCCTGTATTTTATCTGACAACTCTATCCTAAATCCAAAGAGGAAAAGCTAAGTTCACCGTTCTTCTGGACATATTTGAGTTTTGGAAATGCAAATATTTTGAGAAAAGCACTTTGAGCACCCTAAAAAAATGGGAAGACTTTCTGTGATTTTATTCTGGCTTTGCTAACAACACCTCCCTGAGCTGTGCTTGCCCGCTACACCTAATGGATTCATTTTTAAGTACATCCTGAGAAAAAAACAATTGCGAAGCAGTTTTGCAAAATGCAAAGCGCTTCAGGACAATTATAAAAGAAACCAGCCCAGTTAATCATACCAACTACTCAAGGGAAACCAGATCATGGAAAGAAATCCCCAAGGAACATGGAGTAGAATATCCTTCCTATGCACACCTTTAATCAAGATTCAAAAGGAAGACAGCTAGTTCCCTTTGGAAATGATTATGTAATGAAATCAACCCTGCTTTGTACTCCCAGACTAATTACTGGATTTATTCTTTTTACTCAATTTATTTCCATGTATTTGGACATTTTTCATTGATATTCTTCATTATTTTATTAAAACAAACAAAAATAAATAAATAATAGTATTTTGAGCTGACCAGGTACAAGAGTGCTGATTTTAGAACCAGTATTAAAAATTTAAATATTAAGGAAGTTTCATACTTAACTATATCCATAGTTAAATATAAAGGGAATTTCTTAGTCTATTATGTTGTATTATACATTACATATCCTTGTAGGTCCAGGTCTCATAAAGATAAAGCTCTGTGTACATATGATGACCTTTAGTCATTCTGAAAATAAAAAAATGCTGGTTCTTAAAGTCACATGTTAATGAAGTGGACAATAATGCATTTATGGCAATGAGATATCTGAGCCATTTTTACACCTGTTAGGATGGCTATAATAAAAAAACAAAAGGTAACATGCGTTGGTGTGATGTGGAGAAAAGAAAACTCTTGTACACTATTGGTGAGAATTTAAATTAGTACTGTTATTATGGAAAACAGCATGACGTTTTCTAAAAAAAATTTTAAAATAGAACTACCATATGATCCAGCAATCCTCCATCTGCCATCAAAGGCAATAAAAGCAGTATGTCGAAGAAATATCTGCACTCTCATATTCATGGAAGCATTATTCATAATAGCCAGGATGTAGAATCATTCTGATTTTCCACCAATGGATGAATGAATAAAATGTGGTGTGTGCATCTAGGAGCCTATTGCTCCTTGATATACACATATCTATATATTCAATCGTCTATAAAGACATGTATCACTTAACAATGGGAATACATTCTGAAAAATGTGTTTGTGAGTGATTTTGTTGTTGTGCAAACATCATAGAGTATACTTACACAAACCTAGGTGGTGTAGCCTATTACACACCTAGGCTATATGGTACAGCCTGTTGTTCCTAGGCTAAAAACCTGTATAGCATGTTACTGTACTGAATATTGTAGGCAATGGTAACAAAATGGTTCTGTGTGTATCTAAAGGTATCTGAACATAGAAAAGGTATAGTAAAAATACAGTATTATGATCTTATGGGATGCCATTGCATATACAGTCTGTTATTGACCAAAACATTATGTGGTCCATGAGTATATATATAAAATGAAATATTACTTAGCCTTAAAAAGGAAGGAAATCCTGCCATCTGTAACAACATGGATGAACCTGGGGGACATGATACCGTGAAATAAGCCAGACAGAGAAAGAGAAGTGTTGCATGGTCTAATTGAGATGTGGATTCTAAATTAAACTAGAACTCATAGTTGTAGAGAGTAGAACAGTGGTTGCCAGGGGCTGGGGAGTGGAGGAAATGGGGAGATATTGGTCAAAGGGTACAAAGTGCCGATCATGTAGAATGAATAAGTTCTGGAGATCTAATGTATAACATAAGAATATAGTTAATAATAATGCATTGCATACTTAAAAGTTGCTAAGAAAGTTGATCTTACAAATTTTCACCACACACACACACACACACACACACACACACTCCAATAGTAACTACGTGAAGTGATTAATATATTAATTAGCTTGATTGTGGTAATTGTTTCACAGTGTATACATACATCAATATATCATGTTGTACACCTTAAATATATACAATTTCTATTTGCCAATTATACATTAATCAAGTTGGAAGACATACAATGCATGTATGTTTCTCCTAAAGCTGCACAAACATTGGCAATTTGAACTTTTTGTTTCCTTATCAGAAGTTTGTCTTGCACCTTTTACCACCTTTTTTTCCATTTACTGACCATTTGTGTTTCCCTCTATAATCATTCATTATTTCAACATCTATTTATTCATTTATTTTTGAGATGGAGTCTCGCTCTCTTGCCCAGGCTAGAATGCAGTGGCGTGATCTCGGCTCACTGCAAGCTTCCGCCTCCTGAGTTCACGCCATTCTCCTGCCTCAGCCTCCCGAGTAGCCGGGACTACAGGCGTGGGCCACCATGCCCGGCTAATTTTTTTTTGTATTTTTAGTAGAGACGGGGTTTCACCGTGTTAGCCAGGATGGTCTCAATCTCCTGACCTCGTGATCCACCCGCCTGGGCCTCCCAAAGTGCTGGGATTACAGGCTTGAGCCACCGCGCCTGGCCAACACATATTTATTGAAAACCAATTGCGAAGGACACCCTGTGCTAGGAGCAAGGGAAATCGAGCTGAGAGCCACAGACCTGTCCTTAACATGCTCGCAGGCTGGAGGAGGAAAAAGGAATTGTAAGCAGTGAAGCTGAGCAGAGTAAATGTGAAGACATAGAGGAGAAGGCAACTAACAGTATGGAAGTTTCTCACAAAGTTAAAATAGAGCGACCATATGATCCAGATATACACCTCATCTCGGTATATATCCCAAAGAAAAGGGAGGTAGAAAAGTATGGGAAACATCAGTTCAAGCTGAAGAACAATATTTACAACCTATGGACCTATGGAAAGTCATAGTACATTTGGTGAGTGACAAGGAGTTTATGATGGAGGTGAAGGAAAATGAGACTGATGGGGTCCATCTCAAAAACATCTTTGTACACTACGCGAAGGGAGTAGGATTTAATGGGAAGTCACTGGAGGTCTTTAGCAGGAAGTGATGCGACAGTTTGGTTTTAGAGAGAAAGGTCTGTGAGAGGGAAGTGTAATGGGTAAATGGAAGTGGGGAAAGATGAGAAGCCAGATGAAAAGGCACTACATCCAAAGGGGTGATTGGGAACTGGGGAAAAGCTTGGGCTCCTGAGATGGACAGAAGGAGGACAGATTCCCTTTGATTTCATTCCACTTTTATTCTTTTAATTCTCCCATCTTCAAGTCCTGCAAAACTCAAAGCAGTAGTTGAGTAGAATTATAGAAGTTTGATTAAGTTGGGGGAGGGGAGCGTATCAGTAGGGTTGGGAAAGACCCATAGAGAGCTCATGCAAAATGCAATTACAGAAACACTTCTGAAAATGGTAGCCCAAGCCCAACTTTTCAATTATTTTTGATAATGGTTCAAAGATAGTTGGTCAAATTTGTGGATGCCAAAGAGTTGAAAGAAATAGTTAACATACTGCATGGACAAAAATCAAATTCCAAATGGATCTTCAAAATATTCAGTCATCAGCCAAATCTAGTAAGATGAAATTTATTAGGGATGCATGTAAAGTTCTGCTTTGAGTTTTGCAGGACTTGAAGATGGGAGAATTAAAAGAATAAAAATGGAATGAAATCAAAGGTAATCTGTCCTCCTCCTGTCCATCCCAGGAGCCCAAGCTTTTCCCCAGTTCCCAATCACTCCTTTGGATGTAGTGCGTTTTCATCTGGCTTCCGATCTTTCCTCACTTCCATCTACTCTAGACTTCCCTCTCACAGACCTTTCTCTCTATGGGAGGGATTTTAGTTGAAAACATGTTGGTGCGATGTCCCTCCTCTCAAAATTAATGTTTTCTTACATTGTTTTATTAGGGGTATGGTATTAGGTTAGAGTAATAGCTACTGCAAAAAAGTAGACCTCTAAGTCTCAGTGGCATAACATAATTGAAATTTAATTCTTTTTCATTTAACTGTCAGACTCAGATAGATATATCTTGTCTCATATGTTGTTTTCTTCCATGTCCTGAGTTCCTTCCATCTCATGGCTCAGCAGTCCTCTAAGCATTGGCCTCATTGTCATTTGCATTTAGCTTAAAGGTGAGGAAAGAAAGAGTAGAGAGGATACACGTCATTTCTCCTCACATTTCATTAGCAAGAGAGATGAGGAAATACAGTTCCTGCCTTCTATGGACAAATCTATAGTAAGGAAGTAGGAGCACACAGATTGGTGAATTGCTTGCCATTTCTGTTCCTTATGACATCCAGAATGGAGACCATCTTCTCAGCTCTAGTCAGTCCACAGCTCATGGATTAGCATCAATCAAGAGCATCCTGTTTTAGAAGAAAAATCAGCAACATGAAGCATCTTTGAAGGCAATTGAATAGAAGATACAATGAAAAAATCGGTAAATGTTTAGTGTAGAAGAGAAAAATCCAAAGAAGGAACACAATGGCTGTCTTCAGCTATTGGAAATTCCCGTAAATGTTGTTCCTCAGGCTTCTCTTTTTATGCTTCTCCTCTCTCAGGTTGTTTTCTATGCCTGGGTGATCTCACATACTCTTGAGCTGATAATTATTCACTTAGATGCTGGGTTTATTTTTCCAAGACCAATCTTCCTCTGAGCGGCAGACTTGTATTCAGTTACAAACCATTCATCTTAAATGGTATTTTAAAATTACATCAAACTTTGTAAAAAAAGAAATCCAACCTCAACTTATACTAGCATCTCCAACTTGATGTACCCACAATTAGCAGTACCAACAGTCAACCAATTACTCAAGTTAGAAGCCGAAGAGTCATCTTTGAGCTGTCATCCTCCTCTACCCTGTACATCTAATTAGTTATCCAGACCTGTCAGTTTTACTTCATAAATATTTCTTTAATGCGTCCACATTACTACAGATTGGATTCAGCTTTTTATCATTTTTACTTGGCTTACTGTAATAACTTCTTAAATAGTCTTGTCTCTTCTACCCTTGTTTCTCTTGTTACCAAGATGATCTAACAAAAGAGTAAATCTGTTGTATGATTCTTCTTTTAAAACCACTTTAGAGGTTTTAGGTGTAGTGTACAAGTTTCTTGATCTGATTCTTGTCTATGTCTCTAGCCCTGTTGCCTATCACTCCCTCTTCATGTCTTTCTACTTGTAGAAATGCAAGGGGAGCTTGTTTTCAAATATATTACAGCCTACAATTTCTCATTTGTACACCATTGCTTAAATTTTTCTTCTAGGGAATTAATTCTTTGGCTAACTCCTATTTGTCCTTAAAAATTTAGTTAAGACTTCCCCTACCCCTCAAAATTTGGATTAAGTATCCCTTTCTATGCATCTGAACACTCCGAGTATACTAATCCACATCAGTCTTACCCATACTAATATAAGTATCTCTAAAACAAGGACCATGTGTCATCCATTCATTCAATATCCAGTACACAGCACAGTGCCTGGTTCAGATTCAATAAATATCTGTTGACTTGAGTTGTCATGTGGAAGAGGAAACAGATTCGATCTCTGTTTTCTCAAAACCACAAAGCTATAAGATAGCACATTTTGGCTTTCATTAGGTAATAATGCATAAAAATGGAGAGGTAACCTTGGAAAAATGGATAGGTAGTAGATTTTTTCTCATTCATGATATTCAAGTAGAAGCTAGAATAGCAATTTCATAAGGTACCATAGTAGGGATTTAAGCAGCCAGTGGAGGGTTAGACTTGATATCCTGTAACAACTCAATGAATAGCAATATTCCATAATTTTTTGACTTATGTTGAATACATTTATAAAACAAATATATTTTAATTATTTCAAGTCTGTTTTGGGGCATAATAACACATGTTATGCTGGTAGATGTTTTAAAGAGGAAGATGTTTTAAAGAAGAAATAGACATAAAGATCTGCAGGTAGAAAACTTAGTCTGGATAAAATAATATCTATTTCAATAAGCTTTGGAAAAATAGAAACCTTTTTGAGACAGACCTCTCCATCTCTCTTTTCTAATGTCCATGCATATTGTAATAGCTGGACCGAAAGAAAGCGTTAAGACCCATGGTTGAGATGCTTAATGAGCAATTACAATTCCATTCTGCTGCCATCTGCATGCCAAATATCAATGCATTTAGTTTATAAAAAGGGATTTGACAGGTAAGAAAATGATTAATTATTGGAGTGTCTATGAATATGTTTCTTTGAGGGCTTTGAAATGTTGTGTTGATTTTTGGATCTATTTAAAGTAATTGAACACTTTGTATTGTGACCCCCAAATTACAAATCCTTTGGTCCTGATTTCTAGGGGCCCACCATTTAGAAAGGAGGCAGCATTAGGCAAATCAAGTGAAGGTTTTATTTCCACAGGAAAGAGATTGGCTTTCTCTTTATCTACCAGGACAAACTTTGCTTCAGAAGCTGAAACTCAAGGAAAAATGTACCTTTTCATTGTGTGGCCATTAAGCCTGTCAGAAAACCTTATTCATTTTTTTTTTCATTGCTATTGTTTTGAGACAGGATCTTGCTCTGTTGCCCAGGCTACAGTGCAGTGGGGCAATTGTAGCTCACTATAAGCTCAATCCCTGGGCTCAAGCAATCCTCCCATTCCAGCCTCTAGAGTAACTAGGACTACAGGTATATGCCACCATGACTGGCTAATATTTAAATTTAAATTTAAATTTAAATTTTTGTGGAGACAAAGTTTTGCCATATTGTCCAGGCTGGGCTTGAACTTCTAGCCTCAAGCAATTCTTCTGCCTTGGCCTCCCAAAGTGCTGAGATTACAGGAAGAAAACTTTACTATCTTAATGCATGGGAAGCTTGTTTTTCTACCAGTCTTTAAGAAATATTACCCCATTTTCCTTACAGTGGGATGAGCACGTGCTTTTATACCTTCCTTGCATAAAAAACAGTGTTTGCATGTTTCTCTATGTGCAAACTCTTTGAGCGGAGGCATAGTGCCTGATACTGGACGATGAATTTGATGTAGTGGAAAGGACATTGGATTTGGACTTAGATACTGGCATTTTAACTCTAGGTTCTGACTATTGTCATTTGGGGGCTCTGTCACCCACAAAATGAAGTCATTATACAAAATAACTTTTAAGCTCCCTACAGTTCTAATATTCCCTTAGTTCTGAAATTCTAGATGATATCTTCTTAGTGCCTACTACAGTGCTGGTTCATTGGGTTTAACCAACTTAAATGAAGGAAATGATCTAGAGATGAGGATTTAAGTTCAAATCCAGGATCCTCAACTACATTTTATACAAGGAACACTCCTCAGAAATAATGATGCATTTACCTTGGATTCCCTCTCCAATATAAGGGCTGCTTACTAATGATTATTAAAGGTAGGCATAGCATTCTATTCATAAAAATTACCTCCAAATATCCCCCTTTCACCAGTAACTTCCTACTCTAATTTATCCTACAAACTACCACAAATTTAATTTCTCACTGATTTCCTTTCATTCACCTGTGAACTCTTTATTGGTTACAGAATAAAATCGGATCTAGAACCAGAAATGCCATTTGACCCGGCAATCCTATTACTGAGTATAAACCCAAAGGATTACAAATCATTCTACTATAAAGACACATGCTCACGTGTGTTTATTGCAGCACCATTTACAATAGCAAAGACTTGGAACCAACCAAAATGCCCATCAATGATAGACTGGATAAAGAAAATGTGACATATATATACCATGGAATACTATGCAGCCATAAAAAAGACTGAGTTCATGTCCTTTGCAGGGGTATGGATGAAGCGGGAAGCCATCATTCTCAGCAAACTAACACAGGAACAGAAAGCCAAACATGGCATATTCTCACTCATAAGTGGGAGCTGAACAGTGAGAACACATGGACACAGGGAGGGGAACATCACATACCTGGGCCTGTCGGGGGGTGGGGGACAAGGGGAGGGGGAGCATTAGGACTAATACCTAATGCATGTGGGGCTTAAAAACCTAGATGACGGGTTGATAGGTGCAGCAAACCACCATGGCACATGTACACATATGTAACAAACCTGCACATTCTGCACATGCATCCCAGAACTTAAAGTAAGATTTAAAAAAATGGCAAAAATGGTAAATCTTATGTGTGTATATTTTACCACAATAAAGAAGATTGAGAACAACAAAAAAAGGAACTCTCAAAAAAAAATAAAATCCACATTTCTATATATGCTATTCAAGATCCCATACTTACTTTGGCCTCAGTATGTGATATGGTTTGGCTGTGTCCCCACCCAAATCTCACCTTGAATTGTAATAATCCCCAGGTGTCAAGGGTGGGGATAGATGGAGATAATTGAATCATGGGGGTGGTTTCCCCCATACTGTTCTCCTGGTAGTGAATAAGTCTTATGGGATCTGATAGTTTTATAAATGGGAGTTCCTCTGCACAAGCTCTCTTGCCTGCTGCCATGTAAGCAGTCTGTTTTCCTTCGTCTTCTGCCATGATTTTGAGGCCTCCCCAGCCGTGCAGAACTGTAGGTCCATTAAATGTATTTCCTTTATAAATTACCCAGTCTTGGGTATGTCTTTATTAGCAGCGTGAGAACAGGCTAATACAGTATGCCTTTCAAATTTATCATTGAACACACTCTATACGTGAAACCTCTGTTCCAAGCAGACTGAGAACTTTGTTTTTGCTCCAGAGTGGGGAGATGGGGTGCTTTCCTATCTGGGTGCCTTTGTTCATGCTAGTTTCCCTTCTCAGACATTCCCTTTCTCATTTCTTTCTGCAATAGGAATTGTTCTCATTTTTTAGTCTGCTAAAATCCATTCATTCCTCTCCCTGTCCCTGATTCCCACAGCCACAGCCCACTGGACAGCTCTTTTTTTTTTTTTTTTTTTTTTTTTTCTGAGATGGAGTCTCTGTCACCCAGGCTGGAGTGCAGTGGCGTGATCTCGGCTCACTGCAAACTCCTTCTCCCGGGTTCAAGCGATTCTCCTGCCTCAGCCTCCCGACTAGCTGAGACTACAGGCACCCACCACCACACCCAGCTAATTTTTGTATTTTTAGTAGAGACGAGGTTTCACCATATTGGCCAGCCTGATCTGGAACTCCTGACCTTGTGATCCGCCTGCCTCAGTCTCCCAAAGTGCTGGGATTATAGGCAGGAGCCACCGCTCCCGGCCCACCTGACAGCACTTAATCACTATGTAGGTACTATGACTAATTCACCATCAACATTCAGCCCTGGCTGTGCTTTGGGTAATCATACATTTGGCACTTACCATAAATGGCCTAACAGAGTTAGGGTGCATTTTTCTTGATTTCCCATCTAGATTATAACCTCAAAAGCAAGGACACAGTCTTACCCATTTGTGGCTCCTCATTGCTTACCAGTCTGTATTCCCATATTATCTTGTTCAAACCATCAGTAAGATATTGATTATATGATTTAATAGTAATTTATATTTCTGTCTTTGCAGGTAAACTATGAGTTTCTTGATTTAAAATACTATCTTTGTTTCTCTAGTGGCCAGCCCAGTACCTGGCATATAGTAGACACTCAGTAAATGCTTGGTGAAAGAATGAATGCAGTCAGATTTGACTATGCCAGGGAGAGCTGACTCTGTAAGACGTTGATAAATTGAACTGCTTTATGATCAGTCTAAAGTGTAGACGGTGATTGCCTCTGAAAATGGGATGCATCTTTTCTTTGTTTCTTGGCATTTTTCCTATTAGGAGTGGAACCTGAGTAGATTAAATAGGACTCAGTCTTGAATCTACAAGTGACACCAAGCCTGAAATGATGCTGAGGTTGGAAGCGATTTAGTTCACTTGAATTTTATTTGGGAGATAATGTTTTCCTTCTGGGAAAAGAAATGCTAATGAAAAAATCGCCTCTGACTACAACTCTGAAGTAATATGAATCTGGCCAGAAATATGATCTTATGAAAACTCTCCAAGCAAAGCATCTTATACCCATGTCTACAGCTTTGGATTGACATTCTAATGTTTGCCTTTCTCTGGTTTCCAGAGATCAGGGTGGAGAAAGGCGCCAGGGTAACAAGCCAAATAGGTCTATTATGGGATGTCATGCTCACTGGGCATGAGTGCTGTCTCCTAAGACATTTATAGCATTTATTACTCAGCCCAACTTTAATAACACATGGACAAGCCTGGGGCAATTTGTAAAGGATCTGAGAGTTTTTTTGTTATGAATGTCTGTATTATAAAATTAGTGAGTCTCAGAATTGGACTGGGTTAAAAAGATGATCTCATCAAAGGGGTCTCAGATTTACTAGGGAAGAGCTGTTTTCAATATCCCTGACATCCCAAATGGTCATGGGTACTATAGGGACATTTATAACGATACATTGGTAGATGGTGACTGTTAAGTTGTTAGTTAAGACATGGGCAAAAATGGCAAATACTGACTCTACCTTTTCCCTTGGGGCCATAGAGAGGAAGGACAGAGCACAAATGTCAGCTATCCTAATCTTCCTGGTATAAACCATGGTGAGGAGAACGTGACGGGAACCAATGATACAAGTCAACCAAGAAAGATTCCAAAATCTTGTAGATAATGCCTCTCAAACTTTATTGTTCATCAAATTACCTGGAAACCCTGGTAAAATTCAAATTCTAATTTAGGAGATCTGGGTGGGGCCTGAGATTCTGTATTTCTAATAAACTTCCAGGTGATGCTGATGCTGCTGATACATGGACCATATTTTGAGCAGCAAAACTCTACAGTCTACCGTATCAATGGGTCTGTTGGGAATTAAGCCCCTTGTTAACCATCCCAAATGAAGAAGAAACAGACTCTTGGCTGATAATGTTGAAAAGTTTACCAAGTTATAGATGATCAGAATTGAAAAAGGTTTTAAAGGTCACTCAGTTAATTGGTTTCTAAGTTATTTTTGTTTTTATTGTTTTTTTAAAAAAATAATTTCTTTTTAAGATTAAGATTACATGCAGAACATCAATATATAAAACAGATCAAAGCTCTGATTAAATCTGGAGCAGATTGCTTGGAGCCAACTCATCCTCCCATTACTCCACTCAAAGACTCCTAAGTCATTTCCTTAGAACCCTAGGACTCTGAGTAATACTGTTTTAAAACTACTATCCTTATTCAATGCATTAGGAAATTTATTATTTAAATTTATTATATTTATGGAATCCAAATCCAAATATCCTGATTGCTAGTCTGATGTTTCTTCCAGTATGCCAAGGCCTTATAATTTATTTGTTATCTTAGTTTGGAAACTAATTGTCAATGATGCAGGCAACTTCTGGCCATCTGGGCTCGAATCAATCTCTGTCACAAAACCTGTGGTTTGCTACATCCTTTGTACCAGAGCTAACTAAGTGGACTTGGGAAAATCATTAAATATTTCTGGACCTCACATTTCTGATGTACATAATGGAGAAATCTATAACATTTTTTTTTTAGATGAAATCTCGCTCTGTTGCCCAGGCTGCACTGGTGCGACCTCGGCTCACTGCAACCTCTACCTCCCGAATGGAAGCAATTCTCCTGCCTCAGCCTCCTGAGTAGCTGAGACCACAGGCGTGCAGCATCACATCCAGCTAATTTTTTGTGTTTTTAGTAGACGGGGTTTCACCATGTTGGTCAGGCTGGTCTTAAACTCTTTACCTTAAACGATCCACCCACCTCTACCTCTCAAAGTGCTGGGATTACAGGTGTGAGCCACCACACCCGACCAAGAAATTTATAACCCTTTAAAAAAATATCACCTCAGAGAAGCTCAATAAACATTCACTGAATATAACTTAAATGAGGGCAGAGACTCATCATAATCCCTATGAATGCCTTCCATGGTGCCTTTCATGAGCAAATACTCAACAAATATTTCTAAAATAAAGAATGATGATGGTAATATCACAGGCAGAAAATCATTAAAAAACTCGTAGGTGTTATTAAAATGTAAGGGCGCATTAGGATTATCATCATATTCAAAAAAGCTGTAAATTATCTATAGTGCTCTGCTGAGCGTTGACAAAAGAGAATCATGTTGTCTCTGTCTCCGGCATCTGGTTGCTTGCAACCTGTGACAAATAACCATGATGGGGATATATAGGGCTTAGTAAGAGTTGAACACAAAGCTAGTCCTTTAAAAAGATATTAGAAAGGAAGATTTTAATGTAATATGCAGATATGGGAAATGCATTTCAGATTGAGGAACAAAGGAACGTATCTTTTGGGTGAAGAGTAAAGACAGCAGTCTCAATTTTTTTCAAACTAAGTAAGGCAAGCATGTTTTGTTAGTTTTCTTCTGAGAAAGTGGAGAAGGTATCATGAAAGAAATGGAATCCCCAGAAATTTGCTATTTTCAACTCTTCTGATTACAGGTTAAAATGTTTGTTTGAGTGGAAGTTAAACTATTAGCTGGCTCACTTTTGGTCAAAGGCCAAGGATAGAAAACAATTGTACTTTATGTAAGAAGTGCACAGACAACAAGTGCAAACTTTCCTCCTCACCCATGTCTTGTTCGTTTCAGTGAGAAGCGAGGCAGTGGGAACGTAATGCATAGGTGAATTGGTTGAGGCTGGACTATGAAATGAAGACTCTGTAGCAAGCATGCACACTTTAAACAACGGCACCAGGATCCATTTATCTTCTTTTCTTACTTGCAAAGCCTTGGCTGAGAATATCCGCTGGTTCTGTTGGAGAGAGGAGACTTCCTGAGACATGATGTAATTTCTGCAAAGGGGAAACACATGTTGAGTCTTGCAGTACAAAACAATGTTGAGGTGCTGCTAGCTGGCCCTGTCAGTCACATGACAGGATACAGTGTATAGTTAGGCAGCACTATCCAGGAGCCTGCAGAGCATGGAGTTTGTGGGTAGGGAATGGAAGAAAAAGTCTCTGAAGCTTTTGAAATGCAGAGACTCCATTAAGTTTATAAGAGTTTGGAAGAAATGCTTTTCTGTTTTCAGTTATAACAATCTTCCTACTCAGAATACAGCATATCACACATGTGCTCCTTTTTACCCAAGAAACAGAAGGTACTTATGGTGTTTGTGTCAAGAATAAGTTTCAGCAAATTCACATTTTAAATTCAGCAAGATGAGTGAAAATTTTATCAACAGTATCATTCTCAGTGAATTTCTCATAATTTCAGATAGCTATCATGGTGTAGTGGGCTATACATTGGTAAATGGCTTCATAGAGACCTTAGGTTTTTCACCTTCCCTCAACACTTAAAAACTGGATACGGATTAATAAGTGTCAAGAGGTGAGGTTTGGTTTGACTAGGAACCAGGAGTTTGGCTAAGATGATATCTATTTCTCTATCTATCATCTATTTATTATTAATTAGCTGCATAGTCCCTTACTAGGTGCCATGATAATTACGAAAGCAAAAGTAAGTCAGTTCTCTTCTTTAAAGAGTTATTCTAGAAGGCGAGACAATAGAAATATAATCATAAGAAAAGGCATAAAACCTTGTTACTCAAAAGTGGGGTCTGCTCAGACCAGCAGCATTGACAGCATTTAGGAGCTCATGACAATCCAGCTCTCAGGCGTCCCTCCAGATGATTCTTATGCACGTGAAAGTTTGAGAAATACTGGTATAAATGTTTATATGGGAAACATAGAAGAGGAAGAAATTGCTTCTGGAAAGATGACAATGAAAGATTCTAACAGACGTGTGCATTGAGCTAGGCCTTGAAAATGGTTAGCTAAAGTATGTGCAAAGGCGTAGAAGTGATAAAACAGTGGACCAGAGAACAGGGAGTAATCCAATAGGCAAATGTATGTGGGAGAAGAGGGAGATGAACCTGAAAGATCCTTTAGGGCAGATTACCATACTAGAAGTCTGGGATTTTGTAGTATAGATATGAAAGTGTGATTACTTCATGTTTAAATAGAATAATAGAAATAATAATAGATAAGAATAGGAACAGTAATACTAACAATAACAGTATACTAACAATACTATTGTTAGTAACAATATTATTACTAACGATACTATTGTCAGTAACAATATTATTACTAACAGTATTATTGTTAATACTAACAATAATAGTATAACAAATTTCATATTCAGAGTTTTTAAAGTAAGAGGTATTATTTTATTCAGTCCTTATAGAAATTATGTGTATTAAGAATTATTACTACACTCATTGAGAGGCAGATTAGCAGAGAGGTAAAGAAAGACTTTTAATTTAGTACTTTGAAATTCCATTGTCTTCTGACTTGCAATATTTCTGATAAGAAGTCCAGACAAGTTATGTTTTCCCCGTTTAGATAATGTAATGCATTTTATTTCTGTATATGCTTCTAAACTTTTCTATTTATCATTGGTTTTTGGCATTTGATTATGGTGTGAACTGGCGTTTCTTAAAAATCAAATTTGGAAAAATTTTAGCCACTATTTTTTCAAATACAATTTCTGTTCTTCTCCCCTTCTACAACTCAAATTACACATTTACTAGCTTGCTAGAAGTTGTTTCACAGGTCACCAAGATTCATTCAATTTATTTCAGTTTTTTTTCTGTGTCATGCATTGCTTTGGATAGTTTTTATTGCTGTTTTCAAGCTTACTGATCTTTTAATATGCTGTAATCCAGTAAATTTATTAACTTTGCTAATGTAGCTTTTATTTCTAGAAGAGCCACTTGATTCTTTTGTTTTTACATCTGTCATTTCTTTCTATATGTTATGATTTTTTTTTTAAATCAAGGGTTAGTGAACTACAGTCTGTGAGACAAATCTAGCTGATGGCCTGTTTTTGGATGCCCTGTGAGATAAGAATGGTTTTTACATTATATGGGATTATAAAAAATAAAAATATGCAACAGAGCCTGTATGGGACCTACAAAGCTTGAAATATTTACTATCTGGCTCTTTATAGGAAAAATTTGCCAATCCTTGCTTTAAATCTCAATTTAAATCATGTAATTATATAGCAGCTGTTTCAAATCCTTCTCTGCAAATTTTCTTATCTTTGTCATTTCTAAGTCTGTTTCTATTGGCTCATCTTTTCCTCCTTAATTGTTGCTGCTTCACAAGTCTAATGATTTTTATTGGATATTGGACATTATGAATGTTATATTGTTGAATGTTGCATTTTGTGGTCTTTCCTGAAAAATCTTTAGGTTTTTTTTAGGCAGGCTGTTAAGTTATTTACGGATTGGCTTAATGCCTTTGAGGCTTTATTTTTGAGGATAGTTTAGCCATACTACCAAGATGTGACTTTTCTGATGTTTTTCCTCAATCCTCTCCATGTTCAACAAGGTCTCGCCATCCTGAGCGACAAGTACTGGAATATCTTCTAGGCTTTCGGAATTGTTCAGTTTATATCTTCTTGGAATTGAGTCAATTTTTGTTTTGCCTTGTGGAGTTTCACCCTGCACATGCACAGATTACTATTTAGCCAAAGATTTGACGGGAATCTTACGTATATTTCTGGAGCTCGTTCTTTGCATAGTTTCCTCCTTTTCTGTATTCTTTCTTACAAATGTCATCTTTCGTATTGTACCTGGATTCTTATTTCTGATTTTTCAGTAAAAACCTGAGACTTTGCTTGGATTCCCACCCCCATGAAGCTGCTTGGACATTGCTTCCAGATGAATAATAGGTTATCTTAGGGCTCACTTGCTTCTTCCCTTCTTTCACAGGTTGTAGTCCTGTGCTCCCTGTAGCCCACTCTCTGAAAATAGTTTCTTCATGTATTTTGTCTGGCTTTCTAGTTGTTTGCAGTGGGAAGGCAAGTTTTGTACCAGTTACTTCCTTCTGGGTGGAAGCCAGGAGCATAGGTGTTTGAGTCAGACAAATTTGTTTTCTGCTTCCGTACTTACCAGCTGTGGGCCTTAGGCTGGTCATTCACTTCTGCAAGCATCAGTTTCCTCATCTATAAAAGAGGGCTAATAACAGGATTTTTTTTGTGAAGATTAGATTGAGGCAGTGCACACCAAATATTAGCAAAGTGCATGACAAATAGTGCTTAACACATCATGGCTATTATTAACATTTCTTTTTTGGGATGGGGGCAGTAAGATGAAGTCACTTGTTTGACATTACACATACAGTAAGCAGTAAGGTTGGCCTGCCTCATGGGAACTCCAACTTAAAAGCCCCTGGTTTATTTTAGCTCTGACAATGGCTAGCTCACTTGGAAATGGTTGAACCACAGAGACTAGAGTGTCAAAGGGTCAAAGAAAGGGCCACATTTGTGTAAAATGTGTTGTAAAACAGTGAAAAGCTTCTGATGATGATTAGATCTGAATAGAAGCTCAGACTGTTCCACAAGTTAGACTGCTTGCTGGGAGTAGACACTGCATAACGGGAGGAGTATGCTAATATTTAGAACAAGTGGATTTCTTCCTTATTGAGCATTAGGTTACAATTCTTCTTCTACTAATTGGTTCAACTGTTATGGCTCTAATTGTTTCTACTTCTCACTCTCTCCCCCTTCCTTGTTTTAATCAGACCAACTCTACCCTCTCCAGATGCCCGCCATTCCCAGCTCCCGTTGTGACATTTAGTTTTAGTGAAGGAGATTCCTACATGTCCTAAATGGGTAGTCAGAACTTGAGAAGGGCATTAGAGTAAACTTACACTCTGCATGTTGACAACTGGGCAGTCTAAGACACATGCACCAAAGGGGACATAAAAAATGGGTTTTGGTTGTCCTGTAGCTGAAGCTAAGTAGACGGGTTTCATAGGTTTCAGATTCATAGAGCATGAGTTTTAGTATAAGACTGATTTAGGTTCTGATCCCAGCTCTGCCACTTACTAGCTGGGTGACATTTAGCAAATTACTTAACCTCTTTTAGCTAAATCTGTAAAATGATGAAAGTAAGTGCTTTGTAAGATTAAATAAAATAATGTATACAAAGCACTTAGCCCATAGTAAGAGCTGAGAAAATTATAACATTTATCCTCCCAATAACAAGAGAGAGCCAATCAACAAAGCCTTATTTCTCCTCTCAAATGTCCATTCCACTTCATTTCCCCCTAGTTCCTTGAACAGTTAGGAGCCTGGAGCCTGTGCTAAGGCTGTTCTGAATACTATCTTCATTCATAAACAGAATCCTAAATAGGGCTTGTCTCAAGAACAGAAACCACATGAATTTTTAACAGATGATTTATGTTAGGAATTTGTTAAACAGGTATGGGAAGAATGAGAAGGCATAAAGGAACACGGAGGTAGCCTGGAGACAGTAACTGTAGGAAGCAACCATCATCCCTAGGACCGTTCCCTTTAGGGAGGACGAAGAGACAAGCCATGACCTCATGAAGCTGGGACTGACCTCCTTAGAGGAGGGGGTTCTGCCCTTGCTGGTGCCTCAGGAGCTTGGGTTAGGGACCATGCAGAATGGAGACTGGAGATCTACAGAAGGAGTTCTGCTCAGTTGGCACTAATAGCTCTAAGGGGGCTGTGAGAAGGGAGAGTGAAAAACCTGGACCCTGGATCACTTGTTACTGGAACGAACTGCCACTGCTGAGATGACTAAGGTTTGCTGGGCAACACTTAGAGAAACAACAAAGAAACAGGAAGAACAATGTTCCTTCTCCCTTCTCTAGCCTTACAGCCTGTTGGCATAGCCCAACAGGGACCACTCGGAAGGAGAAATGAGGTTTTCTAAGTCCCTCCCCTAGTGTCATGAAGCAGAGTCTAGAAAGGTAGGAATTTTTTAAATTTTATTTTGATTTTTGTGGGTACATAGTAGATGTATGTATTTATGGGTACATGAGATACTTCGAAACAGGCATGCAATGTGTAATAATCACATCATGGAAAATGGAGTATCTATCCCACCGAACACTTATCCTTTGTATTACAAACAATCCAATTATACTCTTTCAGTTATTTAAAAATGTACAATTAAATTATTATTGATTTAGTCACCCTGTTGTGCTACCAAAAACTTATTTATTCTAATCATTGTTTTGTACCCATGAGCCATTCCCACTTTCCAAGACCCGTCCCCAGCCTCTAGTAACCATCACTTCTACTCTCTATCTCCATAAGTTCAATTGTTGTAATTTTTGGCTCCCACAAATGAGTAAGAACATGTGAAGTTTGTCTTTCTGTGCCTGGCTTATTTCACTTAAAATAATGACCCTTATTTCCATTCATGTGGCAAATGATAGGATCTCATTCTTTTTTTATAGCTGAATAGTACTCCATTATATATATCTACCACAGTTTTGTAATCCATTTGTCTGCTGATGGACACTTAGGTTGCTTCCAAATCTTAGCTGTTGTGAACAGTGCTGCAACAAACATGAGCATGCAGATATCCCTTTGATATGATGATTTTCTTCCTTTTGGGTATATGCCCATCAGTGAAATTGCTGAATTATATAGTAGCTCAATTTTTAGTTTTTTCAAGGAAGCTCTAAACTGTTCTCCACAGTGGTTGATCTAGTTTACATTCCTACTAAGAGTGTACGAGGGTTCCCTTTCTCCTAGCCAGCATTTGTTATTGCTTGTCTTTTGGATAAAAGCTATTTTAACTGGTTCAGGATGATATCTCATTGTAGTTTTAATTTGCATTTCCCTGATGACCAATGATGGTGAGCATCTTTTTGTATAACTGTTTGACATTTGTATGTTTTCTTTGGAGAAATCTCTATTCAGATCTTTTGTTCATTTTAAAATTGGATTATCAATTTTTTTCCTATAGAGTTGTTTGAGCTTCTTATATATTCTGGTTATTAATTCCTTGTCAGAGGGGTGGTTTGCAAATATTTCATCCCATTCTGTGAGTGGCCTTTTCACTTTGTTGATTGTTTCCTTTGTTGTGCAGGAGCTTTCTAACTTGATGTGATCTCATTTGTTCATTTTTCCTTTGATTGCCTGTGCTTGTCGGGTATCACTTTAACTTTTGGCCAGAGTAACATCCTGGAGTTTCCTCAATGTTTTTTTTGTAGTAGTTTCATAGTTTGAGGGCTTACATTTAAGTTTTTAATCCATTTTGATTTAATTTTTGTATATGGTGAAAGATAGGAGTCTAGTTTCATTCTTCTGTTTATGAATATCCAGTTTTCCCAGCACCATTTATTAAAGAGAGTCTTTTCCCCACTGTATGTTCTTGGCACCTTTGTCAAAAATGAGTTCACTGTAGGTGTATGGATTTGTTTCTGGGTTCTCTCTCCTGTTCCATTGGTCTATGTGTCTGTTTTCATGCCAGTACCATGCTGTTTTGGTTTCTACAGCTCTGTAGTGTAGATTCAAGTCAGGTAATGTGAGTCCTCCAGTTTTATTATTTTTGCTGAACATAGCTTTGGCTATTCTGAGTCTTTTGTAGTTCCATATACATTTTCAGATTTTGTTTTATTTCTGTGAAGAATGTGAAAAATGTCATTGGTATTTTAATAAGGATTGCATTGAATCTGTAGATTTCTTTGGGCAGTATGAACTTTCTAACAATGTTGATTCTACCAATACATGAACATGGAATATCTTTCCATTTTTTGTGTCCTCTTCAGTTCCTTTCATCAGTGTTTTATAGTTTTCATTGTAGAGATCTTTCACTTCTTTGGTTAAGTTAATTCCTAAGAATTTAATTTTATTTGTAGCTATTGTAAATGGAATCACTGTCTTGATTTCTTTTACAGATTGTTCATTGTTGGTATGTATAAATGCTACTGGTTTTTGTGTGTTGATTTTGTATCCTGCAACTTTACTGAATTTTTTTATTAGTTTTAATAATTTTTTTGGGGGGGGGCCTTTAGGTTTTCCAAAACATAAGATCATGTCATCTGCAGACAAGGATAATTCGACTTCTTCTTTTCCATTTTGGATGCCTTTTATTTCTTTCTCTCATCTGATTGCTCTATCTAGGACTTACAGTACTATATTGAATAACAGTGGTAAAAGTAGGCATCCTTGTTGTGTTTCAGATCTTAGAGAAAAGGCTTTCATTTTTCCCCATTTAGTATGACACTAGCTCTGAGTCTGTCATATAAGAATTTTAATATGTTGAGGTATGTTCCTTCTGTACCCAGTTTTTTATGGATTTTATTATGAAAGGATGTTGAATTTTATTGAATGCTTTTCCAGAATCAGTTGAAATTATCACTTTTTTTTGTCTGTAGTAACATAGTAGGTGTATATATTTATGGGGTACATGAGATGTTTTGATACAGGCATGCAGTGTGTAATAATCACATCATGGAAAATGGAGTATCCCCTCAAGCATTTATCCTTTGTGTTATAAAAAATCCAATTATGCTATTTAGTTATTTTTAAATGTACAATTAAGTTATTATTGACTATAATCACCCTATTGTGCTATCAAATACTAGGTCTTATTCATTCTTTGTGTTTTCTTTTGTACCCATTAAGCATCCCTGCTTTATCTTCCCACCCTATGCTACCCTTTCCAGCCTCTAGTAACCATCCTTCTACTCTCTACGTCCATGAGTTCAGTTCAATTTTGATTTTCAGATTCCACAAGAAAGGTGATGTTTGCCTTTCTGTGCCTGGTTTATTTTATTTAATATCATGATCTCCAGTTCCATCTATGTTATTGATCATATGGTTTTTGTCTTTCATTCTGTTGATACTATATATTGCATTGATTGATTTGCATATGTTGAACCATCCTTGCATTCCTGGAATAAATCCCACTTGGTCATGATATGTGATCTTTTTAATGTATTGTTGAATTTGGTTTGCTATTATTTTGTTGAGGATTTTTGCATCAATATTCATTAGAGATATTTGCCTCTAGTTTTCTTTGAGGTATCTTTGTTTGTGTTTGGTATCAGGATAATGCTGGCCTTGTAGAATGAGTTTAGAAGTATCCCCTACTCCTCTATTTTTCTAGTTTGAGTAGGACTGATATTAGTTCCTCTTTAAATGTTTGGTAGAATTCAGCAGCGAAGCTATCAGGTCCAGGCTTTTCTTTACTGGGAGATGTTTTATTACAGCTTCAATCTTACTACATTTTATTCATCTGTTCAGGTTTTGGATTTCTTCATGGTTCAATCTTGGTAGGTTTCATGCGTCTAGGAACTTATCCATTTCCTTTAGATTTTCCAGTTTATTGGCATATAGTTGCTTGTAGTAGCCACTAATGATCCTTTGAATTTCTGTGGTATCAGTTGTGATGTCTCATTTTCCATCTCTGATTTTATTTATTTGAATCTTCTCTCTTTTCTTCTTAGTCTAGCCAGAGTTTTGTTACTTTTATTTATCTTTTCAATAAACTTTTTGTCTCATTAATCTTTTGTATTGTTTTCTTCATTTCATTTTCATTTATTTCTGCTCTGATCTTTATTATTTTTTTCTTCTACTAATTTGGGGTTTGGTTTGCTCTTGCTTTTCTAGTTCTTTAAGATGCCTCACTAGGTTGTTTATTTGAAGTTTTTCTTCTTTTTTGATGTAGGCACTTACAGTTATAAATTTGCCTCTTTGTAGTGCTTTCTCTGTATCCCATAGGTTTTGGTATGTTGTGTTTTCATTACTATTTTTTTCAAAATATTTTTCAACTTTCTTCTTAATTTCTTCTTTAAGCCACTAGTTATTTAGGAGCATATAATTTAATGTTTGTGTTTGAATAGTTTCCAAAGTTTCCCTTGTTACTGATTTCAAGTTTTATTCCATGTGTTTGGAGAAGATGCTTGATATTATTTTAATTCTTTTGAATGTTTTAAGAATTGTTTTGTTTTAAGAATTGTGTTTTATGCTCTATCCTAGAGAATGATTCATGTGCTGAGGAGTAGAATGTCTATTCTGCAGCCACTGGATGAAATGTTTTGTATGTACCTATTGGGTTCATATCATCTATAATGCAGATTAAGTCCAGTGTTTGTTTGTTGATTTTCTGTCTGAAAGATCTGTCCAATGATGAAAGTGAGATGTTGAAGTCTCCACCTATTATTGTGTTGAGGTCTATCTCTCTCTTTAGCTGTAATAATTGCTTTATATATCTGAGTGCTCCAGCATTGGGTGTGTATATATTTATAATTGTTATATCCTGCTGCTGAGTTGACCCGTTTATCATTCTATAATGACCTTTTTTGTCTCTTCTTTCAGTTTTTGTCTTAAAATCTATTTTGTCTGATATAAGGGTAGCTAATCCTCCTCTTTTTTGGTTTCCATTGACATGGAATATCTTTTTTCATTGCTTTACTTTCAGTCTATGTGTATCTTTATAGTTGAAGCTTCTTCTAAGCAACAGATCATTGGGTCTTGTATTTTTAATCCATTCAGCTGCTCTATGTCTTTTGATTGGAGAGTTTAGTCCATTTACATTCAACATTATTATTGATAAGTAAGGACTTACTTTGTTCACTGTGTTTTTTTGTTTTCTGGTTGTTTTGTGGTCTTCTCTTCCTTCTTTCCTTCCTTCCTGTCTTCCTTTAAGTGAAGATGATTTTCTCTGGTGGTATGACTTCATTTCTTGCTGTTCTTTTTTTGTATCCATTGTATGTTTTCAATTCCAGGTTACCGTTAAGCTTGCAAATGCTGTCTTATAACCCATTATTTTGAACTGATGACAACTTAACATTGATTGCAAAAACAAACAAACAAGCAAAAAGAAAACCAATAAAAACTCTACACTTCTTTAACACATTTCCCCACTTTTTAACTTTTTGTTGTTTCTTTTTATGTCTTGTGGTACTGTCTATGTCTTGACAAGTTGTAGTTATTATTTTCAATTGGTTCATCATTTAGTCTCTCTACTTAAATAAGAGTAGTTTGCACATCAAAATTACAGTGTTAAATTCTGTGTTTTTCTGTGTGCTTACTGTTACCAGTTAATTTTGTACCTTCAGATGATTTCTTATTGGTCTTTAGCATCATTTTCTTTCAAATTAAATAATTCCTTTTAGCATTTCTTGTATGACAGATATGGTGTTCATGAAATTCCTCAGCTCTTGTTTGTTTGGGACAGTCTTTATTTCTTCATGCTTGAAGAATATTTTCATCAGATGTACTATTCTAGGGTAAAAGTTTTTTTTCCTTCAGCACTTTTAATATGTCATGCTACTCTTTCTTAGCCTGTAAGGTTTCCACTGAAAATCTGCTGCCAGATGTATTGGAGCTCCATTGCATGTTATTTGTTTCTTTTCTCTTGTTGCTTTTAGGATAGTTTCTTTATCTTTGACCTTTGAGAGTTTGCTTATTAAATGCCTTGAGGTAGTCTTCTTTGTGTTAAATCTGCTTGGTGCTCTATCACATTCTTGTACTTGAATGTTTATCTTTCCTTAGGTTTGGGAAGTTCTCTGATGTTATCCTTTGAATAAACTTTCTACCACTATCTCTTTCCTTACCTCCTCCATACGGCCAACAACTCTTATATTTGTACTTTTGAGGCTATTTTGCAGATCCTGTAGGCATGTTCCGTTGTAGTTTACTTGTTTTTCTTTAGTCTCCTCTGTGTATTTTCAAGTAGCCTGTCTTCAAGCTCACTAGTTCTTTCTTCTGCTTGATCAATTCTGCTACTAAAAGACTTTGCTGCATTTTTCAGTATGTTACTTGTGTTTTCAACTCTAGAACTCCTGCTTGATTCTCTTAAATTATTTTAATCTCTGTTAAATTTATCTGATAGAAATCTGAATTCCTTCTCTGTGTTGTCTTGAATTTCTTTGAGTTTCCTCAAAATAGCTATTTTGAATTATCTGTCTGAAAGGTCATATATCTCTGTTTCTTTTGAATTGGCTCCTAGTGCCTTATTTATTTCATTTCATGATTTTATGTTTTCCTGGATGGTCTTGATGTTTGCAGATGTTCATCTGTATCTGGGCATTAAAGAGTTAGGTATTTATTGTAGTCTTTGCAGTCTGGGTTTTTTTGTGCCTATCTTTCTTGAGCAGGCTTTCCAGGTATTTGAAAGGATTTGGGCCCCAAGTACAATAATGCTGTGGTTCTTGTAGACTCATAGAGGTGCAGCCTTAGTGGTCTTGGATAAGATCTGGAAGAATTCTCTGGACTACCAGGCAGAGACTCTTGTTCTCTTCCCTTACTTTCTCCTGAACAAGTGATGTCTCTCTCTTTGTGCTGTCTGGAGCTGGGGGCGGGTTGATACAAGTACACTATGGCCACCACCACTGGGACTATGCTGAATCAGAAATGAAGCTAGCACAGCACTGTGTCTTGCCTGTGGCCTGCTGTAACCACTACCTGGCTACTGCCTATGTTCACTTAAGTCCCTAGAGTGAACAATCAGCAAGGGGAAAGCTAGCTAGGTTTATGTCCTTCTCTTTAGGGTACCATGTTCGCCCAGGCTCCTGGTGGGTCCAGAGATGCTGTCTGGGAGCCAGAGATTAGAGTCAAAAACCTTAGAAATCTATTCAGCATTCTATTCTACTGTGGCTAAGCTGACCCTCCAACTACAAGTCCTTCCCATTCTTCCCTCCCCTTTCCATAGGCAGAGGGACCTCTCCTGGTGACCACTGCCACTATTGGCCCATGGGGAGTTCTGCCAGACCTCTGCTGATGTTCACTTAAAGCCCAAGGACTCTTTAGTCGGCTTGTGGTAAATGCTGTGAGGCCTGGGACTCCCCTTCAGGGCAGTGGGTTGCCTCTGGCCAAGGAAGGTCCAGAAATGCTTTCCAGGAGCCTAAGTCTGGACTTGGAAACCTCAAAGGCCCGCTTGGTGCTCTACCCCACTGTGGGCAAGCTGGTATCTAAGGTGCAAGACAAAGTCTCCTTTACTTTTGCCTCTGCTTTTCCCAAGCAGAAGGAGTCTCTCACCATAGCCACCAAAGCTGGGAATGAGCTGGGTCTCACCTGAAGCCAGCAAGTCTCAGAGTCTCACCCAAGGCCCATGGTGTACTACCTGGGTATCACTGCTAGTTATTCAGGACCCAAGGGCTCTTTAGTCAGGAGATGATGAATCCTTCCAAGACTGAGTCGTCCTCTTCATGTCAGTGTGTTCCCTAGAAGGGTAGATTTGAAGCTAAGAGACAATATCTTAAGAACCAGCACAACATGACTTGCACACTGATCCTCGACCTTTTCCTTATCTCCTTGGCACCTGATTCCCAGATTCGTTTCCTGTTTACAAGCTTGCCTCCATGGTAGAACTTGCTTTTCAGTACCATTTATGCAGCTCTAATATTTGGGATTTTCTCCTTGATTATGATTTGTATTAAGACTCTTTTGAGTGCAAGTAACAGAAGGTCAACTTGACCCAGTTTAAACAGAAAGGGGCCTCTATTTGTTGACATAATCAAGAGAAACAGAATGCAGCAGGAAACAATTAAAAGGAGGTTGCAATACTGATGATACGCCTCCTCCCTCCCTGGTCTGTTTTTCTTGACAGTTGGCTAATTCTCTCCCGTTGTAGGCAGACTTCCTCATATGGGTGGTGCATGGCAGCCTGTAGCTCTGGGTTCACAGCCTTACCACTGTGTAGGAAAAAAAAAGGAAAGAATTTTTCTCTCTCTGAGCTCCAGAGAAAACAATTCCTGGGAATTCTGATTGGCCAGTTTAGTCCTAGATTCTATCCTTGAACAAAGATATGAGATATTATCTTTTAGCTTAAGTCTTGTATCCACCCCTCTGAATTGCCATGACCAGAAGAAATGAATAAGTGTATTGGTAAAACAAAATCAGTACTTGTCTATGATAATTTTAATTTGTCTATTGAATTATAGACAAGATTTCCTTCATTATCCATGTAAAAAAATGACAGATGGTGATTGTGCACAGATAGGTCTGTTGTGGGCAATACCTTGATTACACTGTCACAGCTGTAGATACTATGTAGTCAAGCATCAAGATACCAATTTTACAAGAGTCCTATGAATTCTATTGTTGGGTACTTGGGTCACTCAATAAATAATATCCCCTGTCCCCTTGCCTCTTCTCTCTCTTTCCCTTCCTTCCTTCCTTTTCTTTCTTTCTTTCTCTCTCTCTCTTTCTGTTTCTTTCTTTTTTTTTTTTTTTTCCTTTCTTTTTTTTTTTTTATTATACTCTAAGTTTTAGGGTACATGTGCACATTGTGCAGGTTAGTTACATATGTATACATGTGCCATGCTGGTGCACTGCACCCACTAATGTGTCATCTAGCATTAGGTATATCTCCCAATGCTATCCCTCCCCCCTCCCCCCGACCCCACCACAGTCCCCAGAGTGTGATATTCCCCTTCCTGTGTCCATGTGATCTCATCGTTCAATTCCCACCTATGAGTGAGATTATGCGGTGTTTGGTTTTTTGTTCTTGCGATAGTTTACTGAGAATGATGGTTTCCAATTTCATCCATGTCCCTACAAAGGATATGAACTCATCATTTTTTATGGCTGCATAGTATTCCATGGTGTATATGTGCCACATTTTCTTAATCCAGTCTATCATTGTTGGACATTTGGGTTGGTTCCAAGTCTTTGCTATTGTGAATAGTGCCGCAATAAACATACGTGTGCATGTGTCTTTATAGCAGCATGATTTATAGTCCTTTGGGTATATACCCAGTAATGGGATGGCTGGGTCAAATGGTATTTCTAGTTCTAGATCCCTGAGGAATCGCCACACTGACTTCCACAATGGTTGAACTAGTTTACAGTCCCACCAACAGTGTAAAAGTGTTCCTATTTCTCCACATCCTCTCCAGCACCTGTTGTTTCCTGACTTTTTAATGATTGCCATTCTAACTGGTGTGAGATGATATCTCATAGTGGTTTTGATTTGCATTTCTCTGATGGCCAGTGATGATGAGCATTTCTTCATGTGTTTTTTGGCTGCATAAATGTCTTCTTTTGAGAAGTGTCTGTTCATGTCCTTCGCCCACTTTTTGATGGGGTTGTTTGTTTTTTTCTTGTAAATTTGTTTGAGTTCATTGTAGATTCTGGATATTAGCCCTTTGTCAGATGAGTAGGTTGCGAAAATTTTCTCCCATGTTGTAGGTTGCCTGTTCACTCTGATGGTAGTTTCTTTTGCTGTGCAGAAGCTCTTTAGTTTAATTAGATCCCATTTGTCAATTTTGGCTTTTGTTGCCATTGCTTTTGGTGTTTTGGACATGAAGTCCTTGCCCACGCCTATGTCCTGAATGGTAATGCCTAGGTTTTCTTCTAGGGTTTTTATGGTTTTAGGTCTAACGTTTAAATCTTTAATCCATCTTGAATTGATTTTTGTATAAGGTGTAAGGAAGGGATCCAGTTTCAGCTTTCTACATATGGCTAGCCAGTTTTCCCAGCACCATTTATTAAATAGGGAATCCTTTCCCCATTGCTTGTTTTTCTCAGGTTTGTCAAAGATCAGATAGTTGTAGATATGCGGCATTATTTCTGAGGGCTCTGTTCTGTTCCATTGATCTATATCTCTGTTTTGGTACCAGTACCATGCTGTTTTGGTTACTGTAGCCTTGTAGTATAGTTTGAAGTCAGGTAGTGTGATGCCTCCAGCTTTGTTCTTTTGGCTTAGGATTGACTTGGCGATGCGGGCTCTTTTTTGGTTCCATATGAACTTTAAAGTAGTTTTTTCCAATTCTGTGAAGAAAGTCATTGGTAGCTTGATGGGGATGGCATTGAATCTGTAAATTACCTTGGGCAGTATGGCCATTTTCACGATATTGATTCTTCCTACCCATGAGCATGGAATGTTCTTCCATTTGTTTGTGTCCTCTTTTATTTCCTTTCTTTCCCAGGGTTCTGAACCAACTGGAGAAGACCAGAGGATTCTCCTATCTGTGGCAATAGAAGATATGTAACTGGTCTCATTAAATCTTAGATCTTACTTAAAAGTTTGGTTAGGAGAGCAAAGATAAGAAAATATATTCACAGGTTTATAAGGAAAGAATCAGTGAAGCACAAACATATACTGATCCAGGGATAACATGCCAGGTATAATGAAAGATTTTAAAATGAATATGGAATATGCAGGCTTAACCTCTACCAGAATAATCATATAATGGGGGAGACAAGATTACTGCACAGCTAATTGTTTTGATTTATTGAGGAGTCTCCCAGTGGCTGTTTCAAACAATTACATTCTCTCAGTTCCCAGTCCCTTCTTTCATCTCTCCTTCCTCCTTTATTTTATTTTATTTTATTTTTTTTGAGACAAGGTCTCACTCCATCACCCAGGCTAGAGTGCAGTGGCATGATTTTGGCTTGCTGCAACCTTCACCTTTCAGATTCAAGCCGTTCTTATGCCTCAGCCTCCTGAGTAGCTGGGATTACAGGTATGTGCCACCATGCCTGGGTAATTTTTTTTTTTTTTTTTTTTTTTTTTTTAGTATAGATAGGGTTTCATCATTGGCCATGCTGGTCTTGAACTCCTGGCCTCAAGTAATCCACCTGCCTTGGCCACCCTAAGTGCTGGGATTACAGGCATGAGCCACTTCACCTAGCCACTTATTCCTTCTTTTATTTCTCTTTCCTCTCTTTCCTTTCTTACTATTCATTTTACTGTATAATTGAAGGCTATCGTATCAGTCAGGGTTCAGCCAGACAAACAGAACCAGTAGGAGATATATGCTAAGAAATGTATTACAAGGAATTGGTTTTTTGCTGCTGTGGTGTGCAGCTAGGCAAGTCTGAAATTTATAGGGCAGGCTACGAGGATTGTATAAAATGGAACCAATCATTTCTTCCTCATTTAACTTGCTCTCATAATTAGTTTTCAATTGAATTATTCTTTTAGGCTTCCAAGATAAAATGCTAGAACTACCTTTAATTCTTCCCACTTCCCTGTCTTCTAGTTCAGTCAATTATTAAGGGCAATGGTTTGTTCTTCCTGATAATTCTATTTCTGCACCCTTTTCCAGTGCCATTGCCACCTCTCCTGTTTGAGACCTTGGCTTTCATCTCTTAACTATTTTGTTAGCTTTCCCCTAGGAAATCTCTAGTCCCTTTGATCTCGAATTCTTCCTATATAATGCCACCAGATTGTTAATCTGAAAATACTATTTTTAGTATGCCACTCTTCTAACAAAATTGTTCTATGACTTAGAACTATACGTGGTGACTTGGAGGGATGTCTATGGTAAATTGTTGGGTTAAAACAGCAAGGTGCTGAGTACTATGCATGCTAATATGCCATGTTTTAATTAATCAAAATTCTTTAGTTTGAATGTTTTTTTTTTTGTATGATTGTATGAGTATAGCCAAAAGGGTGAAAGAAGACATATACTAAACTATCAATACTGACTTATTGATTGACTAGGTGAAAGGTTTTCAATTTTGACTTTATATTGGAATCATCTGGAGAGCTTTAAAAACTATAGAGATTTAATTAGACTGAGGTATGCTTTGGGCTTCTGATTGTAAAAAAGTTCTTTATGTAAGTCTAATGTGTTGAGAACCATTGATCCAGAGGATTACTCTGGCTGAAGTGATTCAAGACTGCATAGCTATACCCTCACAAAGAAGATGAGGGATATACAAAATAGGAAAGTAAGAAAACATTTTTTAATAAAGATAAGATTGCATAGCTAAAAATGCACTCTAACCCTGCTTAGCCACATAAGCATAGAAAAGGCAGCTTGGCTTAAAAACATGCTTTGATCTGCAAAAGTGAATGAATAAAAATTATATGTACATACTGCATATAATCTATATGTATTACAAAGCTGTACATACACACATACATATATATACATATATTTGACATTTGATTATGG
The DNA here is from genome assembly GCF_000001405.40 of Homo sapiens. Classification (NCBI taxonomy): domain Eukaryota; kingdom Metazoa; phylum Chordata; class Mammalia; order Primates; family Hominidae; genus Homo; species Homo sapiens. The sequence goes on along the minus strand of NC_000011.10, from coordinate 122,474,886 downwards.
ATTTCCATGTAGAGAATACATTATGATTTTGGATACCAGGAAGTTTAAATTACAAGTGTTTTGTTTGCATTTTGCATTTTTTCTTTTTTTAAATAAAAAAAAGTAAGAAGTTAATGTCCAGGGAAGGCTTTTCTAGTGCAGTCCTGATAACTGGATCCAGGAGGAGGAGGCCTGAGAATTGGTGTCTGATTGAAAGGCTGGCTTTAAGGAGCTACGGTGAAGAGGATGTGAGTGAATGTTGTCTGATCATCACTAATTTGGATTCCAGATTTCTCACAATTTCCTTTTCTCAACGCCAAATAACCCCCAAAAAGGTATAAGGCTCTAAAAAGAAACACTTGAATCATATTTCACAAGAGGTAGGTCAATCGATGAGTTGAGGCAAATCAGCTAAGAAGTCATTGGTTTTGTTCTGGAAACCATGGGTTAGGACCTAATTTTGCTTAAAGCTATAGAGAATATTGTAGGCTGAAGAACTATTCCTTCGCCAATTCCACATTTGGAAATGTTGCCTATATTTATCTGTTTTGATCTGGACTGTGTTCAGTTTCTGATTAAATGGTCTCAACAATGTATGAAACATTGAGTCTGGAAGTTCATATCTACAGAAGATCCACTGGACAAAAACTTGAGTGATAGGAGATATTTGGTGATGTCAAATGGTCTATATGAAATGGCAAGACTGGCCCCTTCAGTTTCTGTAGAGGCTATTTCCTCACTATCTCATTTTAAGATCTCTTGAAGACCTGCATTGTTATTAAGAAGTGAATAGACACTTACCAAGCTGAGATGTACTCAGCCATATGTGGGGGCTGGCTCATATTGGTTTGTAAGAGATGGCTATTAAATTTTCAGGAATTTTGCCTTTTGGTTGCTAAACATTATTGTTCTTAAAAATTAAATTAACTAGGCCGGGCATGGTGGCTCACAACTGTAATCCCAGCACTTTGGGAGGCGGAGGTAGGTGGATCACCTGAGGTCAGGAGTTTGAGACCAGCCTGGCCAACATGGGGAAAACCTGTCTCTACTAAAAGTACAAAAAATTAGCCGGGTGTGGTGGTGTGCACCTGTAATCCTAGCTACTCGGGAGGCTGAGGCAGGAGAGCTGCTTGAACCTGGGAGGCAAAGATTGCAGTGACCCGAGATCGTACCATTGCACTCCAGCCTGGGCAACTGGAGTGAAACTCAGTCTCAAAATCAAACAACAAAAGAATTAAATTAACTTACAATTTTAAAAATTTTTAATTAATTTTTTCTTTTCTTTTTCAACCTCTATTTTAGATTCTGGGGATACATGTGCAGATTTTTTACAAAGGTATATTGTATGATGCTACATTTTGGAGTACTGTTGAACCTGTCACCCAGGGAGTGAGCATAGCACCCAATAGGCAGTTTTTCAACCCTTGTTTCCTTCTCTCTTTTCTTATCTCCTCTTGAATTCTCCATTGTCTGTTGTTCTCATCTTTATGTCCATGTGTACCCAATGGTAAACTTACAATTTAATGATTATGTTAAAACAAAAATAATAAATGTTCATCACTTCTTAATTATTTTACAACATTTTATTACCTATGCTTTTGAGGTTATTTATGTCAACTGAATTTACAAAATTGAAATACGATTTAATGGTGCACTATTCATTACTCTACATCCAGAGACATCGCATTAGTAGCTTGAAATTGGCTAGTCAAGGCAACAAGGCAACATGATGGGCCCACATGGAAGCTAGGCATGCAATGAGTTGTGCTGCACCTGAGGAACTCAGGGCTAAACATGCAGCACCATTTCCAGCAAGCAACAAATAAGCTGTTCCCCATACCATAGTTACACTATGGTCACCTGCACTTACTTAATTGCATATATGACAAGTTACAAAAATGGCTCAGTGTCATGCAGAGAGGCACACTAGCAAGGACATGAAAAGATATCTGGAGTTGGGAATAGAGAGCTTGTAACAGCTATGGATAAAGGAGTTTGGCAAAAAACAATGAATGAAATCACATCAAGAACTAATTGGTTTCAGGAGCTTTATAATAAATGGTATTACGTATTCTATTATTTATAAATTATATATTACATATCCTTAGTATTAGTAATATTTTAATTAACATAAATATCTATGTGTTTCTGTTCTCAGTCATATGTCAGAGCTAAGCATTGGGTACACATGGACATAAGGATGGGAACATAGGTGCTGCGGAGTACTAGATGGAGGAAAGACAGAGGGGGACAAGGGCCAAAAATCTACCTATTGGGTACTATGCTCAGTTTCTGGGTGACAGGATCAATAGTACTCCAAACCTCAGTGTCACACAATATACTCATGTAACAAACCTGCATATATAACCCCACATCTAAAATAACAGTTGAAATTATATGTAAAAAAAGAACCAAACCAAAATAATTACTATGACAAATGACCAAATTCAAGGGTCTATTTTACATAAATTGAAGCACAGAAAGTTAGACTTTAAAGGGATGATGGCTAATTTAGACTCCTTTTCTATAGATGGAGAAATTACTTGCCCACTCTCTTTTCTAAGCCCCATACAACATTTTCCATGTAGCCACAGCAGCCTGATTTTCTGCACACATAAGATTCCCTATGTGTTGGTGTGAGTGCCTATCAACTTATTCAGTAAGAAGACACAGTTTACTGGTTTGAGAGCAAGTGGTTAAGAACTATCCAATTACCAACAGTTTACAAAATATATGCATACATATATATTTTTTAATCTATGTATTTATAGATCATACTTGTTTTAGACAGCTGTTAAACATTTATCAGCATACTACTGGATGCCTTTCATGACAATTATAGAGTTTCTTATTCACAAGATAACCTGGGCCTGGATGTGAAGATGCAGAAAGAGAAAGGGAAAAGGGAATTTCTCAGTGGGTTCTGGATTACAAACCTGGAAGAATTCAGAGGGAAAAGAATGTTCATATGTGAGGTAGGGATCCAATGCTAGACAATATAAACCCCATTAGCATCAATCAGAGATATATAAATTTTCCAACTTTGACACCCCTAAGCACATAGGGGTCTCTGTGAAATATTAACATAGATAGCATTCTGAAAGGCTGAGTTGCCTGCAGCAACAGCAATGGGGGAGGAGGAGGGGGTTGGAAAGAATAAAGTAGAGTTTCCCTTGATTTTCCCCCCTTTCCTTTCTGCAAAATATCTAATTTACTTGTTAAAGCCAACTGCACATTGTTTATCCAGACTGTCTATTTTTTTAGCCCTAATTGATACTAATTAAAATCAAAATAAAATTACTGCTGCAAAACTTGGCTGGGGTTTTGATCCACTGCCAGCATGCTCACAACCAATGAGAGTTACTATATAAACACTCTCATTTTGAAACTCCAGGTATTATAGTGGCTGCATGTGAAATAAAAAGAAAAAAATGGTACCACCATTCTAAAATTTATTTCCAGTTTATATTCCAGAACATAATAAAAATAGAGCCTAATTAATTCTTGATCAAGACCGAGGATCTTTCATTTATGATAAAAAAAAGTAAATTTGGTACATGTGACTAAATACTGATGGGCCTAGAATGGTTGAATCAATTGTTTAGCATTTCGTGCTAATGAGGCTAGATTCCTGGGGTCTGTCCCCTTACAGGCTAGTTATCTTTATCTGGAGAAAAACTCTGATTCACAATTAGGAAAGAAATACAATTGGAGGAGTCATCTTGCAGGTGCAATAATTGGTCATTTGGGGATTGGATAAGAGCATTGAATGGCTTAAAGCAAATCAGCCACCATCACTCCTGGAAAATAACTCAACCTTTTATTGAAGGTAAGTCATTAATACCTCCTTTGGTGTGCTATTTATGCACCTTATTATAGTACCGAATTGATGATAAAACTATGACTTATTTCTTATTCAAAGGAGATTTTTTTGGAAGAATCAAAAGATCATGAGGTGCAGTGGAGAGGACATGAAATTTTGATTTAGAAGTGGGGGTTCTACCATTGTTAAGAGTTAATATTTGTTACTATAGGCTAGACATAGTACTCAATGCCTTATATTTCCTCATACATTTTTCATAAAAATCCCATGTGGCAGGCACTTCTGCCACCCCATTTCTCAGATAAGAAGTTAAGCAACTCATGTGATGTTACACAGGTAAGAAGAGAGTGAACTGGCATTTGATTTCAGGCCTGTAGAATTTCAAAACCCAGCCTTTTAATCACTCTACTATGCTATCTCTACACTAGCTACCTTGTGTTTAGAGGAAGTTGCTTAACTTCTCCAGGTCTTGGTTTCTTCTCTTACATAATGGTGATAATAATGCCTGTTGCACCCACTTAAAAGGTATGAGGGTCATGAGATACTGTAGGTAGATTATAAAAGTTTATACAAATGTAAACTATTATAATTCTAATATTGGCATGGATTCTAATAAGGACATTATATAGCAAAATTATTATTTAAATGCAATATAAATATATGCCAATATTTATTCTTGGCCAATGTTTCAGATTTATTAATTTGTTTATTAGTTCTTCTTTTTAGCAGATCTTACTTGAGCCTCTTGAGTAGTAGAAAAAGACTTGGCTTTGGATTTAATCAACTTGGAAATTCTGAGGATCAAAAGTTTATTCTATCACTTGATAGCTGTGGGAACTTACACAAATCACTCAAACCCTCAGAGTCTATATAACAAAAGTTATTTCAGGTACTGTGGCAAAGATAGTATAGGTGTTCAAAAAATGTAAGCTTCTTTGCTTAACCCTAGCTTTTGCTGAAGTGAGGATAATATGAAGTTCACAAAATAAATAGAAGATAAATACCAATATAATTTTAGAATTAGAAGAGATTTAGGGCTCATCTAATCTAAACTTCTTGTTTTGTCTATAGAAAAGATGAGGTTGAGAGGAATTGATCCAAGATTACACAGCCAGGTAGTTCTAGAAAACAGGAAGGAACCCAGATTTCTTAACTCTAACTTTCAATTGAGTCAAGATACCCTGGCTGAGTGAACAATGTGTCATCTGAACAATGACAATATTATATCCTAACATTAAAGGAATAGACACATAACAGTTTTAGAGGTAATTTGGAGATGCAATTGTGAATTAAGCTTTCCTGCATCTGCACAGATGAGTTCTTCTATTTATTTATTTAATTAAAAAAATCAACTCTGGCCTACAGATGCACAGATGACTTCACAATCATTCTTCCATTTCACAGTTGCAGTGCCATGTGTGAACTAATCTTGCAAAATATCCTCAGATTTATCTCACATGCACTCAAAATCCCAACATGGCTCTTATCTTCAAAGAGCTTCCTCCAGGTTTAAAGGCATAAAATGTGGACAGTGAAAAAGTTGAACAACATAGAAATGTTGCCTAGAGTTACCTGTCAGGTAAGTGGTACATAGAACTACAAAAGCATTTCAAGGAGAAAGTTGTTTCTGCAGAAATATCTCAGGGAGTGAAGGTTTACCTTTGTCTTTAAGAATAAACAGGTCTTGAGAGAGAATTATGCAGTGTACATTTAATTAATAATACTGGTGGAGTGCCAGGTACATGTTAGGGACAATTGGGAGATTAGGTTAGAAAAGCAGATTGGGACAGCACAGAAGGCCTTGAATGTTATATTAAGAAATTTGAATTTTATCCTACCAAGAATGGTGACCTACTGAAACATGTGCAGTAGGGGAGTGCCGTGAACATGGAGGGAAAGTTTATCTGGTGGTGCTGTGATAGCCAAGGAGTGAGGCTGGAGCCAGAATACTAGTTAGGAATTTATTCCAATAAGCTGATAGGATCATGGCCAAAAGGATGCATGTGAGAAATGTTAAAAAGAGAGCATAAAAAAATCTTCGTGAGTTAGAGACAGGAGAAGCTCAAAGATGAGTTTTCAAGTGGGTAATAATAAGAGTAGTGGTTATCTGATAAAAATAGAACAAGGAAAAGGAATTTAGGGAGAGAAGAGAGAGAGTACTTTGAGATAATAGACTCACTTGTAGACTTAAGATTTTTGATGTGATGTTGAAGCATTCAAGTGGAGATGTCCAGGAGTGAGATAAGTATAAAGGTGCCAAGTACAGAAATCTGAATTCTGATGGTGCTGAAACCATCCTGTGCCAGCTTGAAACTGTGAAACTAAGAGATTCTGAATAACTTAGACCCCAAACACTCTAAAATATGAAATCCAACCTGTCACTAAATTACTCAGATTTGATTTTATTCTCATAATAAACTGAGCAAAGAATCTGCTTTCTCCTATATATTTCTATAAGTAAGGAAAAATAATGGGTTTTAAATATCATCAATGACCTCTGAACTTAACCTGGTAGGATTTTTCAAAAGTAAGGAATAACTCACGTACTAAAAAGTGTAAAATCTAATAATAAATTTTACACACACACACACATAAGCATCACTCAGATCAAGATATAGAACATTTCTAGCAACCCAAAAACACTTTATGAAGCACTCTCCCAGACCACATCCCCAAGGGTAACAATTATTCTGACCACCTTATGTAAAGATTACTTTTGCCTGTTAAACTTTGCATGAATTTAATCATACAATATAAATATATTTTCTTCTGGTTGAAATGCATTTTTCCAACATTTTATTATGGAAATTTTAAATATACAATAAAGCAGAAATAATTTTACAGTTATCATCCATATGTCTATACTCAGATTCTAATATTAACATTTTATTGTAGTGTATACTCTTTGGGGTTTAAATTTACCATCTTGCCTTTTTGTTTTCTTTTTAAAAAGTATTTTAAAATTTGTATACATTTATGGGATACATGCGAAATTTTGTTATATGTATATGATGTGTAGTGATCAAGTCACGGTATTTACAGTGTCCATCACCCAAATACAATATATTTTTGTATAGTCACCCCACTCTGCTCTCAAACATTGAATTTATTCCTTCTATTTAACTGTATGCTTATATTCTTTAACACACTTCACTCTCTCACTCCGTTAGTCACCTTCATAGTCTCAGTTATCTATCTTTCCACTCTGTACCTCCATGTGATCAATTTTTTTTTAGCTCTCATATACGAGTTAGAACATGTGATATTTGCCTTTTGTACCTGGCATATTTCACTTAAGATAATGATCTCCATTGTATTCATGTTGTTGCAAATGACATGAATTCATTTTTTTATGGCCAAATAGTATTCTACTGTGTATATATACTACACTTTCTTCATGCATGCATCCATTGATGGGCACTTAGGTTCATTTTATGTCTTGGCTATTGTAAATAGTGCTGTAATAAACACGTTAAGTGCAGGTATCCCTTGGATATATTGATTTTTTTTTTCCCCTTGGATAGACACCCAGTTGTGGAATTGCTGGATTGAATGGTAATTCTATTTTAGTTCTTTGAGAAATATCCATACTGTTTTTTACAGTAGCTTTACTAGTTAACATTCCCACCAACAGTGTATAAGCCTTCCCTTTCTCTGCATCTTTGCCAACATTTGCTATTTTTTATCTTTTTCTTTTTAACAATGGCCATTCTGGGATAAGATGATATCTCATTGTGGTTTTGATTTGCATTTCTCTGATTGTTACTGATGTTGAGCATTTTTTCATATAACTGTTGGCCATTTGTATGTCTTTTTTGTTTTTTTTCCCCCTACAGTAAATGGACGTATGTCTTATTTTAAGAAAGGTCTATTCATCTTCTTTGCCCACTTTTAAATGGGATTATTCGTTGTTTGTTTTCCTGTTGAGTTGTTTAAGTTCCTTATATATTCTGGATATTAGTCCTTTGTTACATTAATAGTTTTCAAATATTTTTTACCATTCAACATGTTGTCTCTTCACTCGTATTTTGTTTGCTATGCAGAAGCTTTATAGTATAACTAAGACTCATTTATCTTCTTTTGCTTTTGTTGCCTGTGCTTTTGAGGTCTTATTCATAAATCCTTTGCCTAGACAAATGTCCAGAAGAGTTTTTCCTAGGTTTTCTTCTAGTATTTTTATGGCTACAGGTTTTACAATTAAGCATTTAATCCATTTTGAGTTGATTTTTGTATATGATGAGAGATAGAGGTCCAGTTTCATTCTTTTGCATGTGGCTATCCAATTTTCCCAGAACCACTTGTTGATGAGGGTGCTCTTTCCCCAATATAAGTTCCCGTTGGTTTTGTAGAGAATCAGTTTGCTGTAAATATGTGGCTTTAATATGGGTTTCTTCTGTTCCTTTGGTTTATATGTCTATTTTTATATCAATACTCTGCTGTTTTGATTACTATAGCCTTGTAATATATTTTGAAGTCAGGTAATGTGATGCCTCCATCTTAGGTCCCCATCTTGCCCCGCCAAGTACTGCTTTGGCTATTCAGGCTCTTTTCTGGTTCCACGTGAATTTTAGAATGTTTTTTCTCATTTTGTAAAGAATAATGTTATTTTGATAGGGATTACACTGAATCTGAAAATTGTCTTGGACAATATTGTCATTTTAATGATATTAATTCTTCTGATTCATGAGCTTGGGATTTTCTCCATTTGTGTCATCTTTAATTTCTTTCATCAGCATTTTGTAGTTTCCTTTGTAGAGATATTTCATCTCCTTGGTTAAATTTATTCTTAGGTATTTATTTTTTTATAGCCATTGTAAGTGGGATTGATTTTTTGATTTCTTTCTTGACTATATCATTATTAGTGTATAGAAATGCTACTGATTTTTGTATGTTGATTTTATGTCCTGCAAATTTATTGAATTCATTTATCAAATCTAAGAGTTTTTTAGTGGAGTCTTTAGACTTTTCTGGATATAAGATCATATTATTAGTAAAGAGAGACAATTTGACTTTTCCTTTACAAGTTTGATGCCTTTTATTTCTTTTGCCTGATTGATCTGGTTAGGACTTCTAGGGTTAGTTCAATAGGAGTGGTTAGAGTGGGCTTGTTCCAGTTCTTAGAGGAAATGCTAATTCCTCCATTCAGTATGATGTTAGCTATGGGTTTATTGTATATGGCCTTTATTATTTTGAGGTATGTTTCTTATATACTTAGTTTATTGAGAGTTTTTATCATGAAGGAATGTGAAATTTTTTCAAATGCTTTTTCTGCACCCATTGAGACAATAATGTGTTTTTTATCTTTCATTTTGTTGATAAGATATGCTACATTTATTGATTTGCATATGTTGAACCATCCTTACATCCCTGGCATAAATCCCACTTGATCATGTTGTATTAATTTCATTGACGTTTTGTTGGATTTGTCTTGCTAGTATTTTGTTGAGGATTTTTGTGTTTGTTTATCAGATATATTGGCGTTAGTTTTCTTTTTTTGGTTGTGTCTTTGTCTGTTTTGGTATCAGGGTTGTGCTGGCCTCATAGAATAAGTTAGTGAGAATTCTCTCCTTTTTGATTTTTTGGAATAGTTTCAAGATTGGTATTAGTTCTTGTTTATACAAGTGTTAGAATTTGGTTATGAATTCATCTAGCCCTGAGCTTTTCTTTGTTAAGAGGCATTTTATTCTGGATTCACTTTTTACTTATCATTGCTTTGTTCAAAATTTCTATTCTTCTTGATTTAATCCCGGTAGACTGTATTTTTCCAGGAATTTCTTTATTTCCTCTAGATTTTCTGATTTGTCAGTGTACAGTTTTTCATAATAGTCTCTGGATGATCTTTTGTATTTCTTTGGTATCACTTGTAATGTCTTCTTTTTCATTTCTGATTTTATTTATTTGCCTCTTCCTCTTCTTTTCTTGGTTAGTCTAGCTAGCAGTTTATCAGTTTTGTTTATTGTTTCAAGGAAACAGTTTCTTGTTTTGTTGATCTTTTGCATGTTGTAATATCTCTATTTCATTTAGTTCTGCTCTGATATTTATTATTTCTTTTCTTCTGCTAATTTTGGGTTTGATTTTATCTTGCTTTTCTAGTTCCTTTAGGTGCATTGTTAAATTGTTCATTTGTAATTTTTCTACTTTTTTGATGTAGGTATTTATTGCTATGAACTTCCTTGTTAGCACTGCTTTTGCTGTATCCCACAGGTTTTGGTATATTGTGTTTCAGTTTTCATAAATTTTAAAACTTTCATCTTAATTTCTTTCTTGACCCAATGGTCATTCAGGAACATGTTGTAGAATTTCCATGTATTTCTATAGTTCCTAGAGTTTGTTTTGGTAATGATTTCTAGTTTTATTCCATTTTGGTTGGAGGAAATACTTGATATGATTTTAATTTATTGAAATGTGATGAACCTTGTTTTGTAGCCTATCATATGGTCTATCCTATAGAATGTTCCATGTGCTAATTAAAAGAATGTATATTCTGTGGTTGTTGGGTTGAATGTTCTGTAAATGTCTGTAGGGTCCATTTGGTTTTAAGCCCAGTTTAAATACAACGTTTCTCTGTTGATTTTCTTTCTAGATGATTTGTCTGAGAGTAGGGTGTTGAAGTCCCCTACTACTATTGTAATGAAGCACATCTATCTCTTTAGATCTAGTAATATTTGCTTTATGAATGTGGGTACTGCAGTGTTGGCTGCATCTGTATTTAGAATTGCTATATCCTTTTGTTCAATTGATCCCTTGTTCATTATATAATGACCTTCTTTGTCTTTTTTTTCTGTTTGTGACTTAAATTCTGTTTTATTTAATATACGTATAGCTGCTTCTGCTCGCTTTTGGTTTCCATTTACATGGAGTAGCTTTTTCCATCCTTTTACTTTCAGTGGATATGTGTCTTTACTGGTAAGGTGAGTTTCTTATAAGCAGCATATAGTCGGATTTTTAAAAATCTATTCATCTTCTCTATATTTTTAAGTGGATAATTTAATTCATTTATGTTCAAGGTTATTATTGATATGCGAGGCTTTTTTCTTGTCATATTGTTTATTGTTTTCTGGTTGTTTATGCTTTATTTTTTTCATTTTTTATTGTTTGTCATAGTTTGGTGGATATCTAAAGTGGTACCATTTAAATCATTTTTGTTTTTCCTTTGTGTGATTACTTTACCAGTGAGTTTTATAGTCCTATGTGTTTTCATGATGACAAATCTCATTCTTTAATGCCCAGGTTGAAGACTCCTTTGAGCATTTCTTCTAGGACTGGCCTAGTGATAATGAATTCCTTCACCATTTGCTTATCTTGGAAAGACTTTATTTGTTATTCATTTATGAAGAATAATTTTGCTGGACATAGTATTTTTGGTTGATGTTGCTTTTTTTTTTTTTTTTTCCTTTTAGCACTTTGAATATATTATCCCATTCTTTTCTGGTCTGTAAGGTTTCTGTTGAGAAATCTGTTGTTAATTTGATGGGGTTTCCTTTACAGGTGATTAGGTGCTTTTCTCTTGCTGTTTTTAGGATTTACTTTTTATCTTTGGCTTTAGACATTGTTACTATAATGTGCCATGGAGAAGACCCTTTTGCATTGTATCTGCCTGGGGCTTGTTGAGCCTCCTGTATTTGGATGTCTAAATCTCTTAATAACTTGGGAAGTTTTGATCTATTATTTTGTTAAATAGGTTTTTCTAGTCCTTTCATTTTCTCTTCACCCTTGGAGATACCAATAATTTGAATACTTAGTTGCTTTATGTTGTACCAAATGTCACAAAGGCTTTTTCTCATTCTTTTTTATTCTTTTTCCTTTATCTCTTGTTTGACTGTATTATTTCAAAAGACTTTTCTTTAAATTCTGAGAATCTTTCTTTTGCTTGATCTAGTCTGTTGTTGAGCTTCCAAATGTATTTTATACTTCCTTCAAGATTACTCCAGAATTTCTATTCAATTCTTTTAAAAAAAATCTATCTCTTTATTAAATTTCTCATTCATATCCTGAATTGTTGCTCTGATTTATTTGTATTTTTTTTCAGAATTCTCTTGCATCTCACTGAACTTCTTTAAAATCAATATTTTGAATTCTTTAAAATCAATATTTTGAAAATTTTATTAAGATCTATTGCTGGAAAGTTATTGTGCTCCTTTGGAGGTATATTTCCTTGCTTTTTCATCTTTCATGTGTTCTTATGATGATATCTATGTATTTGGTGTAGCAGTCACTTCCTCCTATTTTTGAATTTACTTTTGTAGGAGACAATTTTTCCTGAAGATGCATTTTAGGTGTTGGCTGGGTGGGGCATTTTGGCTTTGATTCTGGGTGCATGCAGTAGTACAGCCTCTGTATGATTTGTTTGGCTGTAGGTGGTGTTACTGGTATCTGTGATTTCCTCAGTGAGTTAGGGTGCAGCTATTAGTGAAAACTGTAGTAAAGTTGTGCTGGGGACTGGGATGCCATGTGGGCTAGTCTTCAGGCCCTAGTGGTGACAGTGGTAGGCTGAGAATGCCTATCTTTTTGCCCAGGATGATGTACACTGGCATCAGTGTTCGTGGTTACTGGCCAGCCAATTCATAGGCCTCCGGGTGACTTGCTCAGATACTAATAGTAGCAGGAGTGATCCAGGCAGATGGGCAGGTTCTTGGGTTCCTAGGCAGCTAGTGTGGCATGGGCTATGACAGTAGCAGTGGTGGGACAATTTTCTGGGTCCCCAGCAGTGTGTTTTGATGGCAATCTCCAGGCGTGCAGGTGGCACTAACTGGTAAGCGCCAGCTGAGGTGGTAGCGGGTAGGAGTTTAGGCTTAACTTCAGGCCGCTGGGAGAGTGTTCAGGAACCTAACGTGGTGAATTGAGTTGGGCAAACACAAGGATCATGGGCTATGTGCTCTATCTCAGGGAAGAGAAACAAACCATCTGGGTGGGCTTGTGCTCAGGTTCCCCAGTGATGACAGCAGGCACCAGCCATGGTGAGAGGGAGCAGGGGAATATTCAGGCCCAGGCAGAGTTCCTGTGTGAAGTGTGGTAGCAGTTGTGCTGAGGCCCTGCAGCTGGAGAGGTAGGGGCTGGCATTGGTGGCCATAGCCTGGGCCAGTGGTTGGGCAATGCATGTCCCTCTCATGACCCAATTGCAGTGGCCCTTGTCCCTTACCCCTGGTGGCTGTAGCCCATGCCTAGCTCGTGCCACAGCCCTGGATGTAGGTAGCCCCTGCCCAACTCACAACTAAGTCCCAGTGGCAACTTGTACCCTGCTCACATCTCAGTCTCAGTCCTGGTGGTACACACTTCCCAATACTGACAGCTGCAGCCCACGCCATGCTGACTTCTTGGTCCTGGCTGTGGGAGTACTCCCAGCTTGCACCTTCGTCCCAGCAGCAGCAGTCCATGTTTCCCTAATGCTCCAGCAAGCAGGGCTGGGCAGCAAGACAGCATGCAGTCTGCCAAAGGCTAGGTTTGTAGATCCTTAGGTTTCAGAAAGGGTGTGGAATCCCACACAAACTCCGTTTCTGGAGTAGTTCTCTCTCACAATCTCCCAGCAGCTCCCTATGTTGGTTTCAGAAGTTGGGAATGTTAAGGTGCTCCTCCATGGCCAAGAATGCATGAATCCATGGTGAAGTGGGCTGCTAGAAGCCTCTCAACTATCCTTTGTGTTGGAAAGTTACTCTGGCTCCTGCCAATCCTGGCCAAGCAGGCTGCCTCTCTTCCTTCTCCTTCCTTGCTTTTGGTGTTTTCAGTCATTTTTTCTGTTGAATTCCAGAGTTCTCTCTTGGATAATGTATTTGAAGGATGATTGTTTATACACTATTTTGGTTCTTCTAAGTGGAGGATGCAAGCACGAAATCCTAATAGTTAGCTATCTTGAAGCCCCTTCTATGCCTTTTGTTTTCCATTCATCCATATGTTCTTTGGTACTTTTTCCCTCTTATACTGACTTCTTTTTTGATTAATTTTTTGTGGTTCCATTTTACATTCTTTATTATTGGCTTATTAGCTATACTTCTTTTTCCAGAGGTTTCCTAAGATTTGTTTTAACTTAATCTTCAATGTATTGAGTGGAATTTAAAATAATATTAAAGTACTTTATGTAGAATGTGAGACTCTTAAAGCAATATACTTCCATTTTTCTTCTGTCCTTTGTGCTGTTGATGTAATGCATTTTACTTCTGCAAATGCTATAAACCCCATCACACATTGTCATTATTTTTACTTTAAAGAATCAATTATTTTATAAAGAAATTTTTGAAATGATATTTTAGAGTGTCTTTTATATTGACAGATATATTTAATTATTTTTAGTGTCCTCCATTCCTTCATGTAGAGTCAAATTTCAACCTGGTATTGTTTTCCTTTTGTGCAAAGAAATTCCCTTCTTGTAGTGCAGGTCTGCTGCTGATGAATTAACTCAGCAATGAATGCATTAACTTCAGACAATCTTTGTTTGTCTGAAGAAGTTTTTATTTTGCTGTCATTTTTGAAAGATATTTTTGTTGGGTGTGGAATTTTAGGTTGACAGTTCTTTTCCTTCAGTGCATTAAAGATGCCTTCCATTATCTTCTCATCTGCCTGATTTCTGATAAGGTCTGTTTTCAATTATTTTATCTTTGTTCCTGTATTTGTAATACATCTTTTTACTCTAGCTGACTTTAAGATTTTTCTCTTTTGCACTGGTTTTCAACAATTGGATTATGACATGTCTTGCTGTGGTTTTCTTTGTTTCTTCTACTTTAAAAACGTTTTAAGATTTTAAATTTTGTGGTTTTATAGCTTCTACCAAATTTGAAAAAAACTTTATGTCATTAGTTTTAAAAATAATTTGTATGTGCATTATCTTTCTCCCTTCTCCCTCTCCTTTTTTTAAACTCCAATTACACATATTTTAGACTGCCTGATATTTTCTCACAGTGTACTAATACAGTGTTCATATTTTTCCAGTCTTTTTCCTTTCTGTGTTTCATAGCAATTTCTACTGATATGTTTTTAAGTTCACTAATCTTCTGCAGTGTCTAATCTCTTAAACTCATTCAGTAAATTTTTAATCCCATATATATGTTTTTAACTTTAGTTCAACTTGAGTCCTCTTTATATCTATTTCTCTAGTCATCATGACCATGTTTTCCTCCACTTTCTTGACTATATGAAGTATATTTATAATATAGTATAAATACGTATATGTACATATGTATATGTCTTATGTAAATACATGTATGTTTATAAATGTTTATTTATACCATACTATAAATATACATATAAATATATTAATATATTGTATAAATATATTTATACAATATATTAATACTAATAATTAATCATTATAATAAATTAATAATGATAAATTAATTAAATTAATTATTAAGAATATTATAACATGATTTGTATATAATTTATATATTATGTATAATATAATGATGATTATATATAAATTATATGTTATATAAATATAAATTATATATAAATGATAATATAATGATATATAAATTATATATTGTATAATATAAATTATATTATTATAAAATATATTATATATTATATAGTTTATATTATATAATATATAAATTATTATAAATATATTTATACTTATAAATTAATACTTGTAATATATATAACATATTTGTATGTATATTAGCTGTTTTAATGTCATTGTTTGCTAATTCTGCCATCGGTGTCATATTGGTCTGTTTTTATTGATTGATTTTTCTCCAGTTTATAGATATATTTCCTGCTTCTTTGCCTGCCTAGTCATTTAAGGATTATTTTTAGGTGTGGCAAAATATATATGACATAAAATGTACATTTTAATAATTTTTAAGTATACAGTTGAGTAGGGTTAAGTATATTTATATTGTGCAATAATTGCTAGAACTCTTTTCACCTTTCAAAACTGAAACTCCATAGTTATTAAAAAAAATTTCCCATTTCCCTTATACTCCGCCTGCTGGCATTCACCATTCTACTTTCTGTTTTTATAAATTCGACTATTCTAGATACCTCATATAAATGGAATTTGTCTTTTCTTGACTGACTTATTTCATTAGCTTAAAGTTCATCCACTTTGTAGCATGTGTTAAAATTTTCTTGCTTTTAAAGTCTGAATAGTATTCCATTTTATATATATATTCCACATTTTGTTTATCTATTCATCCATCAGTGAACACTTGTGTTGCTTCCACATATTAGCTACTGTGAATAATGCTGCAACAAACATGGGCATATAACACATATCTAGTCATTTTTTATTGTATGCAAGACATTACTAATTTTACCCTGTTGCATGCTGGATTTTGTTGTATTCCTTTAATGATGGGACCTTTGCTCTAAGATGTGCACAAATGGCTTGGCCTATGTTTGATAATATTTTAGGCCTAATTTTAAGTTTTGCTAGGCAGGTTCTAAATAATCTTTTACTTGGAGCTAATTTGACTCTGGTACTGAAATAACATCCTTTTGAGGATTCTATATGCCTCACGCATAGGAAGTCTTTTCACTTTCTCTAGTTGGAAAAATAAACTATTCTGAGTACTATGTTTGTTTTAAGAATGATTATGTCTACTGATTTCTGTTCATTCTGTAATTGGCCTTGGGCAATTTTCTCTCTCACAATTCCAAACCAGTACTTAGCCAAAACCTTTAGTATACCTCTGTGCGGATCTTTGAAACCTTCTCTCTATGATGCTTCTTCCTATTATTTTGCCTCATAAATTCTAGCAACCTCAGTGTTTCTGAATTCTGAACTTTGTCTCCTCAGTTTAGCAAACTGCAGCTTGGAAACTCACACTGGGAAGTAAGCTGGGCAATTATAGGGCTCACTTTATTTATTTACCTTCTCTTAGTGATCACTAACCATTTTTATAATTGTTTAAGATTGGAGGGTGTATTTTGTTCCTGGAAGTGTATCATGGTTGTTATCTATTCTTTTTAGGTTTAATTTCTTCCATTCAATATTATGTCTGTGAAATTTATTTTTATTGTTGTATATATAAGTAGTTTAAAATTTGCTGTGTAGTGTTCCATTGTATAAATATCCCATAATTTAAAAGAGCCTCTATATTTATTTTTTATTTTTAATTGATACATATTTATTGGGTATATGTGATATTTTGATATATGTATACAATGTGTAATGTGATCAAATCACAGTGTTTAGGATATTCATCAACTCAAACATTTTTTCATTTCTTTGTGTTGGAAATATTTCAAATCTTTTCTAGCTATTTTGAAATATACAATAAATTTTTGTTAACTATAGTCACTCTATTGTGTTATTGAATACTAGAACTTATTCATTCTATCTAATTGTATTTCTTTTATAGGGATGGGGTATCACTGTGTTACCCAGGCAGGAGTGTAGTGCTTATTCAAATGTACCATCATAGCACACTACAGTCTCAAACTCCTGGGCTCAAGCAGTCCTTCTCTTTCAGCTTCCTGAGTAGCTGGACTCTAGCTAGGCATGCACCACGGCACCTGGCTTTCTACCTATTTTTGAATCCATTAACCAACGTATTTCCATTGACCAACTTACCCTTCCCTTTGGTAACCATCATTCTACTCTCTACCTCCACGACACCAACTTTTTTATCTCTCACATATGAATGAGAGCCTGTGAAAATTGTCTTTCTATGTCTGGCTTATTTCACCTAACATAATGACCCCTAGTTCCATATATGTTGCTGTAAATGACAGGGTTCAATTATTTTTTATGGCTGAATAGTATTCTATTGCATATATATACCAAATTCTTTCTTTTCTTTTCTTTTTTTCTTCCTTTCTTTTCTTTCTTTCTTTCTTTCTTTCTTTCTTTCTTTCTTTCTTTCTTTCTTTCTTTCCTTCCTTCCTTCCTTCCTTCCCTTTCTTCCTTCCTCTCCCCCTCCTTCCCTCCCTCCTTTCTCTTTCTTTCTTTCTTTCTTTCTTTCTTTCTTTCTTTCTTTCTTCTTTCTTTCATCTTCCTTTTCCTTCCTTCCTTGCTTCCTTCCTCTTTCTCTTCCCCTCCCTCTCTTCCTCCCCCGATCTCTCTCTCTCTCTTTTTTCTTTCTCTGTCTTTTCTTTTTTCTTTTCTTTTCCTTTTGACAGGGTCTTGCTGTGTCACCCAGGCTAAAGTGGTGCAAACATAGCTTACTGTAGCCTTGACCTCCTAGGCTCAAGTAATCCTTCCCACCTCAGCCTCCCAAGTAGCTGGGACTACAGGTACATGCCACCATGGCCAGCTAATTATTTTTTAATTTTTTTTGTGTGTGTGGAGATGGGGGTCTCACTATTTTGCCCAGGCTGGTCTAGAATTCCTGGGTTCAAGCTATCCTCCTGCCTCAGCCTCCCAAAGTGCTGGGTTTACAAGCATGAGCCACTATACCTGGCTCCAGTTTTTTTTTATCCATTCATCCATTGATGGACAGTTAGGTTAATTCCATATTTTGTTTGTATTGAAAATAGTGCCACAATTAACATGGGCATGTAGATATTTCTTTGATATACTCATTTCCATTCTTTTGGATATATAATCAGCAATGGGATTGCTGGATAATATGGTCGATTTAGTTTTAGTTTCTTAAGTAATTTCCGTACTGTTTTCTGTAGTGACTGTACTAATTTACGTTCCCACGAACAGTGTATGAGCTCCTCTTTCTTCACATCCTTGCCAGCATCTGTTATTGCCTGCCTTTTTGGTACAAGCCATTTTAGTTGGGGTGAGAAAATACAGTGAGGTTTTCATTTTCATTTCCCTGATTATTAGGATGTTGAGCATTTTTTTTTTCACGTGCCTCTTGGCCATTTGTATGTCTTCTTTTGAGAAATGTCCATTCAGATCTTTTGCCCATTTTTAAATCAAATTATTTATTTATCTTGTTACTAAGTTGTTTAAATTCCTTGTGTATGCTGGTTTTTAATCTCTTGGACAGGTAGTTTGAAATATTTTCTCTCATTCTACAAGATGTCTCTTCACTTTGTTGATTGTCTCCTTTGCTCTTCAGAAGCTTTTTAGTTTGCTGTAATCTCATTTGTCCATTTGTGTTTTTGTTGACTGTGCTTTTGAGATCTTACCCAAAAAACTTTTACCCAGACCAATGTCAAGTGTTTTTCCAATGTTTTCTTCTGATAGCTGCATAGTTTCAAGTCTTACTTTTAAGTCTTTAATCCATTTTGATTTGATTTTTGTATATGAGGAGAAATGGGTCTAATTTTACTTTTCTGCATATGAATATGCAATGTTTTATAGTTTTTCTTATAGAGATATTTCACTTCCTTGTTAAATTTATTCCTACATATTTTACATTTTGAGGCTCTTATAAGTGGTATTAATTTTTTTATTTCTTTTCCTGCTTGTTCATTATTGGTGTATAGAAATGCTACAGATTTTTGTATGTTAATTTTGTATTCTGCAAGTTACTGAATTCATTTATCAGTTTTAAGAGTTTTTTGGTGGAGTGTTTGCGGTTTTCTAGAAATAAGATCATATCTTCTTTAAACAGGGACAATTTGACTTCCTATTTTCCAATGTGGATGTTCTTTATTTCTTTCTCTTGCCTAATTTCACTGGCTAGGACTTCTAGTACTATGTCAAATAAAAGTGGTAAGACTAGGCATCTTTGTTTTTTCCAGTTCTTAGAGAAAAAGTTTTCAGCTTTTCCTCATTCCGTATAATGTTAGCTGTGTGTTTTCCCATATGGCCTTTATTCTGTTGAGGTATGTACTGTCTATACCTAATTTGTTGAGAGTTCTTATTATGAAGTGATGTTAAATTGTATCCAGTGCTTTTTCTGAATCTATTGAGATGATTGTGTGGCTTTTGTCCATACAGTGCAATGTATCGCCTTTATTTTTTGCATATGTAGAACCCTCCTTGCATCCCTGGGATAAATTCCACTTGATCATGTTGAATAATCTTTTAAATGTGCTCTCAATTTATATTTTTATTTTTTCTATTACTGATGGATATTTAGATAATCTCTACTTTTTAGCTACTAAAAAGAAATCTGTTATGAACATAATTGTACGTGTCTTTGGTAGACATAAACCCAGCATTTGTTTTTGAAAAATAATTTCCTAAATCCTCCGGAAGATTGCATTTGTAGCAATAGCTGCTTAATCTATATGCATTTTTACCAATCATGAATTTTCTCTAGAAAGACCTTCACTTCGTAAATTGTTAGTAGGAGTGAAGGGGGTCCATTCATCAATATCTTCTTGTACAATGTACCAGGAAGACTGTGTACTCCTATACATGCCAACCTTAAAACTCAAAGATAATGCAAGTAAAGATAAGGTCTCTTTACTATGTAAATCTCCACAGACACACACGTTATCACTACAAGGTAGTGCACATATGCTGTGTATCCTCGTGGAGACAATACTATATAGAATAGCATGACTTTGGTATAATTAAGATTTTCTATTGAATCGCTACTCTGTACCTTTGTAGCTACTTGTCCTTAAGCAAGTTATGTAATTACTCATCTTAGTTTTCTTATTTAGAGAATAATATTAGTACAAATCTTACAGGTGTGAAGATTGAATGAGAGAGCAGATGTTAAACACCCAGAGTAGTGAGTTTTCCTGAGGAATTTGGTAAGTGCTTTAAGGAAGGTCAGGACATAAAGACTGGATGAGAAAGAAAGCATTCTCCCTAAGGGGTGTGTGCATGAACAAAAGCATGAAAATGGCCATTTATTTGGCGTCTTCCTGAAATGATGTATTGAGAAGTTTGACTAGAGCAGTGAATTTGTAAAAAATAGTAGCTATTGAACGATTTGGGTGGAGAGGCAGGTTGGGACCAAATTTAAACCTGCCAAGATGAATGATTCAATGTTATCCTGCAAGGGAGTAATTTTTTTGTGTAGGCAAAAAATGAAGGCAGAAATGTTTGGGGAAAAGGCAGCTTGGCTATGCTGAAAAGTTTGAAGGGGGAGGAGACAGGAGGCACAGAAAATCTGTGGTTTTCATGGGCGAGTAGACTCTGTGGGATACTGTCGCACTTTCCAAAAGAAGATTCTATCGAACCAGTCAGGCAGACCTGTTCACTGTTCTCTTGTTGGTCCCCTGCTTTCGGTGATTTCCTTCCCTTTTCTCTCCGCCAACTCATGTTCCAATCTTCCTTCAGAACCTGGCTCAAGGCTCATCTCCACCAGGAGGCCTACTTGGTGTCTGGTCTATAACTGATTTTTAATCTGGGTCAATGATGTGTTAAAGAAAAATAGTCCCCCATTCTGACCTAGAGAACTGACTGCTGAGAGATATGCCAAGTTTTGTAGACAGTGTTGAAAAACCACACCAATAGGGGTCAGATCAGCCACTCTTCAAAAGAAATCAGAGAGCGAATCTGCTGGAAATAAAATCAACCCTTCCTCATTATGTTTCCTCTTTGTGTACTTTTCCTGGGTTGATGCCCAGGTCTGGGAAGAGGAGAATGGATACAGCTCGGAGTGGGTTAGCTGTGAGTTCTTAGCATCTGTGTTCTTGGATCCCACAGCCTTTGGATCAGGAGGAGGTCAGGTCAGATTGGTTATAAGATTTTTAATTAATGCACAGATTATGCCCAGTGTACAGGTCTATATACAATAGAAAAATTTGCATCACATTAATTTATAAAAATTATGAGACTGCTGTTAGCCTTGTGCTTATTTTGTGATTGTAGAGTAAAATAATGAGCTCTTTAACGTTTTGAACTTTGCAGTTGGTTCATAGAACTTATTCAGTTCCTTTCATGGTCATTTTAGTCAGTTTTCTTTCTATCAGTTTTATTGTATCATTTACATAAAACAAAATTAATTCTTTTTAAGGATATGGTTCAATGAGCTTTGATGAGTGTGTACAGTCACATAACCACTGTCAGTGTCATTTTCATTATACCTAAAACTTCCTTTATTCTCCTTTGCAGTAAATATCCTACTTTCATTCCTATCCTCAGTCAATGATCTGCTTTTTGTCACTATAGTTTTGCTTTTTTCCAGAATGCTATGTAAATCAAATCTGGCTTCTTTCATTTAGTCTGATGCTTTTGAGATTTGCCCCTGTTGTTTCATTTATCAGTAATTTGTTTCTTTTTATTACTGAGTAGTATTCCACTGTAGGGATGTATAATAATTTGTTTATGAATTCACTAGTGGATTCACATATGAGTTATTTCCAATTTTTGCTAAGAATAAAGTTTCTATAAACATTTGCATGCGGGTCTTTTTTTTTTTTTGAGACAGAGTCTCACTCTGTCGGCCAGGCTGGAGTGCAGTGGCATGATATTGGTTCACTGCAACCTCCGTCTCCCGAGCTCAAGCAATTCTCCTGCCTCAGCCTCCCGAGTGGCTGGGATTACAGGCGTGTGCCACCACGTCCGGCTAATTTTTGTATTTTTAGTAGAGACAGGGTTTCACCATGTTGGCCAGGCTGGTCTCGAACTCCTGACCTCAGGTAATCCACCCGCCTCAGCCTACCAAAGTGCTGGGATTACAGGTGTGAGCCACCGCGCCCAGCCGCATGCAGGTCTTTACATGGATATATATTTTCATTTCTCTATAGTCCCAGGAATGGGACTGCTGGGTCATGTGGTAAGTGTATGTTTAACTTCATCAGAAACTGCCACACTGTTACCCAAAGCAGCTGTGCCATTTTGCATTCTCACCAGCAAAGCATAAAAAATTCCAATTTCTCTGTATCCTTGCCACTACTTGGTATTGTCAGTCTTTTAAATTTTAGCTGTGTAGGCTGGGTGTGGTGGCTCATGCCTGTAATCCCAGCACTTTGGGAGGCCAAGGCGGGTGGATCACCTGAGGTCAGGAGTTTGAGACCAGCCTGGCCAACATGGGGAAACCTCTTCTCTACTAAACATACAAAAATTAGCCAGGCATGGTGGTGCATGCCTGTAATCTCAGCTACTCGCGAAGGTGAGGCAGGAGAATGGCTTGAACCCAGAAGCGGAGGTTGCGGTGAGCTGAGATTGCCAGGGCACTCCAGCCTGGGCAACAGAGCACGACGCCATCTCAAATAAATAAATAAATAAATAAATAAATAAATAAATAAATAAATAGCTGTGTATAATGGCATTTCATTATGACTTTAACTTATGTTCCTCTAATGAGTAATCATGTTAAGCCTCTTTTTCGGTGCTTATTTGACACGTATATTTTCTTTGGTGAGATGTATATTCAAATATTTTGCACTTTTTACGAATGGATTGTCTTACTGAATTTTGAGAGTTCTTTATGTATTCTAAATATGTTCTTTACCAGATATAAGTTTTGCTAATATTTTCTCCCAGTATGTAGCTTGTCTACTAATTTTCTTATGGTGTCTTTTGAGAAGCAGAAGTTTTAAATTTCGATAAATTTCAAGTTATCAGTTTTTTCTTTTATAGTTCTTAAGTTTTTGTCCTATATAAAAAAATCTTTGCTTAACTCAAGATCATGAAGATTTTATCTTGTTTTACTTTAGGCATTTTATACATTTAGATAAATTATTTTTAAATTTTATTTATTGTTTTCTTTTTTTTATTGTCATGGAAAATGGGGTTTTCATTTTTCCAAAAATTGCACCAAAGTAAAGCAAAGCTGTAGTTGATGTAGGTGTGTTGTGTACGTGTTAGCAGTAGTGCCCTCACCACGCACTCATTGGACAGTAGCGCAACCCCAAGGAAAGAATGGTTAGCTCTATAAATCTTTTTTTTTTTTTTTGAGACGGCGTCTCTCCCAGGCTGGAGTGCAGTGGCACTATCTCAGCTCACTGCAAGCTCCGCCTCCCAGGTTCACGCCCTTCTCCTGCCTCAGCCTCCCGTGTAGCTGGGACTACAGCGTCGGCCACCACGCCCGGCTAATTTTTTGTATAACTTTTTTTTTTTTTAGTAGAGACGGGGTTTCACCGTGTTAGCTAGGATGGTCTTCATCTCCTTACCTCGTGATCCACCTGCCTCAGCCTCCCAAAGTGCTGGGATTACAGGCATGAGCCACCGCGCCAGGCCAGCTCTATAAATCTTTAAATTCATGGCTATAATCCATTTCAAGGTAATTTTTGTGTAGAGTGCAAGGTAAAGGTTGAAGTTGGTTTTTTTTTTTTTTAATGTGGATATCGTTTTAGTTGCTTTTTGCTTTAAAACACTATCCTATCTCCACTGAAATAACTTGGTTCCTTCAGTGCAAATCAATTGACTCTGTATGTGTAGGTCTATTACTGTTCCCATGGATCGATATGTCTACGCTTATGCCAATAATCTACCATACTGACTGATTACTGTGGCTTTGTAGTAAGACTGGAAGTCAGGTGGTATAATTCTTCCAAATTATTTTTCTTTTCCAACACTGTTTATCCTAGGTCCTTTGCATTTCCATATAAATGTTAGAGTCAGCTTGTCAATTTCTAAAAACTTGCTGGAATTTTGCATGGCATTGCATTAAACCTATAGATCAATTTGGGTAGAATTGCCTCTTAACAAAACTGGGCCTTCTGATCTATGTACACAATATACCTTTCCATTGACTTCAATCTTCTTTAATACCTTTCAGTAATATTTTATAGTCTTCAGTGCATGAACTTTGGACACACTTTGTTAGATATACCATGAAATATTTTATAGTTTCTAGGCTATTTTAAATAATGTTTAAAAATTTTAGTTTTCAGTTATTCATTGCTACTATTTAGAAACACAAATGACTTTTATATGTTGACCTTGTAATTTCTAGGGCTGCTATCACAAACTATCACAAACTGGAGGGCTTAAAACAATATAAATTTATTATTTCACAGTTCTGAAAGGCTAGAAGTCCAGATTCAAAGTGCCAGCAAATGTGGTTCTTTCTGGAGGCTCTGAGGGAAGCGTGTCCCATGCCTCTCTCCTAGCCTCTGGTGGTTGTCAGCAATCCCTGACGGTCCTGTCTTGTAGCTGCATCATTCCAGTCTCTGCCTCTACTGCTACATGGCATTCTCCCTCTGGGTTGGTCTCTGTGTCCAAATTTCCCTCTTCTTGTAGAAACAGCAGTCCCCGAATTAAAGACTCACCTTGGTCTAGTAAGTCTTCATCTTAACTCATTACATCTGCAAAGACCCTGTTTTCAAATAAGGTCACATTCACAGGTACTGGAGGTGAGGACTTGAACATATATTTTAGGGAGACACAATTCAACCCACAATACCTTGTGTCCTGCAGCCTTGCTAAATTCACTTACTAGTTCTCGTATATTTTCCTGCAGATTATTTGGGATTTTCTATATAGATGATCAGTCAGTTTACTTTTGACAAAACACCAGAGCCACATATGAGCAAAGGTTTCTCTATATTAACCACTTCTCTTGTGTTATTGCCATAGAGTTTGAGGTTTTTTTAAAAAAGTGTTTCTGTTGATTCCAATCTTGACTAATCATGTTGAGCCTCTTTTTCAGCACTTACTTGACTTGTATATTTTCTTTGGTGAGATGTATATTCAAATATTTTGCACTTTTTACTAATGGATTGTCTTATTGAATTTTGAGAGTTCTTCATATATTCTAAATATGTTCTTTATCAGATATAAGTTTGGCAATATTTTCTCCAAGTATGTAGCTTGTCTACTAATTTTCTTACAGTGTCTTCTGAAAAGCAGAAGTTTTAAATTTTGATAAATTTCAAGGTATCAGGTTTTTCTTTTATAGTTCATAATTTTTTTGTCCTATATAAAAAATCTTTGCTTAACTCAAGATCACAAAGATTTTGTCTTATGCTTTACTTTAGGCATTTTATTGTTTTAGCTCTATAAATCTTTGTTTAAAATTTTATTTATTGTTTTATTTTCTTTATTGTGGAAAATCAGGTTTTCATTTTTCCAAAAATTGCACCAAAGTAAAGCAAAGCTCTAATTGATGTGGGTGTCTTGTGTAGGCGTTAGCAGTAGTGCCCTCACTGTGCACTCATTGGACAGTAGTAAACCTTAAGTTGACTTTTCAAAATTCTTTCAAGCTTCTCTTTATACTAGGTGCTGTCCATATCATCACATGCTTTTCCAACTGTATAGCTGAGTGGTGGATGAGAATGAAGTGAGTGAGGCACGTGCTCCAGGTGCAAAACTTAAGGAGGCACCAAGACTTTGGAAATCAAGATGAATAATACCTTTATGCAATATTTTAAAAGTAGAAATTCACACAACTATCCATGATGAACAAAATATCAACAATATAAATAAAGATAGAGGATTTTACCCTGCATTCACATGACCCTGCCTCACTCGGCTCACCCTAAATCTGGCCCTGCTGTCTCGACTGCTATCAGCTGCTCTTTCTCAGTATGATCAATGTCAGCGAAACAAATTATAGGTGCTTGGCATGGCTTCAGGGGCCAATTTTGCTGAGATCATAACAAGTCTTTTTTCCCCTACTTTCACCTGATTTAATCCTGTAGTTCAGTTGGTTCTCAGTCTTCCAACTCTTAGTCTTCCACTCTTTTTTTTTTTTTAATTATTATACTTTAAGTTCTAGGGTACATGTGCACAACGTGCAGATTTGTTACATAGGTATACATGTGCCATGTTGGTTTGCTGCACCCATTAACTCGTCATTTACATTAGGTATTTCTCCTAATGCTATCCCTCCCCCTGCCTTCTACCCCATGACAGGCCCCGGGGTGTGATGTTCCCTGCCTTGTGTCCAAGTGTTCTCATTGTTCAATTCCCACCTACGAATGAGAATATGTGGTGTTTGGTTTTCTGTCCTTGTGATAGTTTGCTCAGAATGATGGTTTCCAGCTGCATCCATGTCCCTGCAAAGGACGTGAACTCATTCTTTTTATGGCTGCATAGTATTCCATGGTATATATGTGCCACTATCCAGAATCTACAAATAAATCAAACAAATTTACAAGAAAAAAGCAAATGACCCCATCAAAAAGTGGGCAAAGGATATGAACAGACACTTCTCAAAAGAAGACATTTATGCAGCCAACAGACACCTGAAAAAATGCTCACCATCACTGGCCATCAGAGAAATGCAAATCAAAACCACAATGAGATACCATCTCACTCCAGTTAGAATGGCGATTATTAAAAAGTCAGGAAACAACAGATGCTGGAGAGGATGTGGAGAAATAGGAATGCTTTTACACTGTTGGTGGGAGTGTAAACTCGTTCAACCATTGTGGAAGACCATGTGGTGATTCCTCAAGGATCTAGAACTAGAAATACCATTTGACCCAGCGATCCCATTACTGGGTATATATATCCAAAGGATTATAGTCTTCCATTCTTTAAGGAAATGATACCTGTTGTGATAGCTTCCATGTACAAGCTTGGTTTCAGGTCAAAGTCACAATTTCAGAGCATATTCTGGATATATGCTGGATATATGGAATATATGTCCAATCCACAAGCCATTAGAATAGATTTACATGCAAAAAGCTATCTGCATTCTTTCTGCCCTGCTTGTCTAATTTCTACCATCACGTGCCTTGTCTCCCAGCCATGTTATTGTCATAGGTGGACAGCTGACCCACAGCAAGTCTATTGCATTTTCTTGCCTTTTAATTTGGAATCTGGTTTCAGAAATCATGTAGTAAGAACTGTGTGGAGCAGGAATTGGAGCATCCAAACTCCCAAGCTGTTTTTCACCCACATTCCAACATGTGAACTGAGAAGCAGAGAAAGTTGATTAGCAAAGGGAGAAGTTCGATGCAGAAAGGCAGGGATGATAGAGAGGTAGAGTCAGACTTGGCTTCCTAACAATTTTCCAGTTCATACTTCCAATCTCTTCCTGAGATCCAGCTCTATCCCTTCTTTTGAATTCTGTGAAATACCACATCATTCATATAACAAACACCACATCTCCACTTTTTTTCTTATACTTTGAATTTGCTTTCATTAGTCCAAATTAGAGACCCTTGGCTAATATGCTGTTTCCAACTTCCAAAATTAGATGCTTTATCCTCCCCGGGATTCTAAGGAAACTTTCCCAAACTGCTCTTTCCAGTGCTTTTCCCTGGTTAATAAAATCATTTCCTCTAGGAATACAGTTATTCTTTTCTTCTTTTAAAAAATCTTTAATTCCATTCTTCTTTCCTTTATACATTTCCCTGGTGATCCTTATTTGCATGGTTCCCAAGTTTACTCTTCCATTATATTCTGTTTTTTCTTAGCATGTTTTTGGTCTATCCCATTGTTAGTATTTATTAAGTATTTACATTGTATAAAAGATACAGAAGTCAGATTTCTTTTATTTACCACCCTATTCATTACCCAAGGTCCAATTTAAATATTATTTTCAACCATACTGACAAAAGCAATCTACAAATTCAAGGCAATTACCATCAAAATACCACTGTCATTCTTCACAGAACTAGAAAAAACAATTCTAAAATTCATATGGAACCAAAAAAGAGCCTGCACAGCCCAAGCATGACTGAGCAAAAAGAACAAATCTAGAGGCATCATATTACCTGATTTCAAACTGTACCATAAGGCCATAGTCACCAAAACAGCATGGTACTGGTATAAAAATAGGAACATAGACCAATGGAACAGAATAGAGAACCCAGAAATAAACCCAAATACTTACAGCCAACTGATCTTCAACAAAGCAAACAAAAACATAAAGTGAGGAAAGGATGCCCTATTCAACAAATAGTGCTTGGATAATTGGCAAGCCACATGTAGGAGAATGAAACTGGATCCTCATCTCTCACCTTATACAAAAATCAACTCAAGGTGGATCAAGGACTTACATCTAAGACCTGAAACTATAAAAATTCTAGAAGGTAACATCAGAAAAACCCTTCTAGCCATTGGCTTAGGCAAGGATTTCATGACCAGGAACCCAAAAGCAAATGCAATAAAAACAAAGATAAGGCTGGACATGGTGGCTCACGCCTGTAATCCCAGCACTTTGGGAGGCTGAGGCAGGTGGATCACCTGAAGTCACGAGTTCAAGACCAGCCTGGCCAACATGGTGAAAACCCGTCTCTACTAAAAATACAAAAGTTAGCCGGGCGTGGTGGCAGGTGCCTGTAATCCCAGCTACTCGGGAGGCTGAGGCAGGAGAATCGCTTGAAACCGGGAGGTGGAGGTTGCAGTGAGCTGAGATTATGCCATTGCACTCCAGCCTGGGGGACAAGAGTGAGACTTCATCTCAAAAAACAAAACAAAACAAAACAAAACAAGAAACAAAGATAAATAGGCTGGACTTAATTAAACTAAGGAGCTTTTGCACAGCAAAAGGAATAGTCAGCAGAGTAAAAAGACAACCCACAGAGTGGGAGAAAATTTGCACAAGCTATACACCTGACAAAGGACTAATATCCAGAATCTAAAACAAACTCCAACAAATCAGCAAGAAATAAACAAACAATCCCATCAAAAAGTGGGCTAAGGACATGAATAGATAATTCTCAAAAGAAGATATATAAATGGCCAATACACATATGAAAAAATGCTCAACATCACTAATGATCAGGGAAATGCAAACCAAAACCACAATGCGATACTACCTTACTCTTGCAAGAATGGCCATAATCAAAAAATCAAAAAATAATAGATGTTGGCAGGGATGTGACAAAGAGGGAGCACTTCTACACTGCTGCTGGGAATGTAAACTAGTTCAACCACCATGGAAAACAGTGTGGAGATTCCTTAAAGATCTAAAAGTAGAACTACCATTTGATCCAGCAATCCCACTACTGGGTATCTACTCAAAGGAAAAGAAGTCATTATACGAAAAAGATATTTGCACACTCATGTTTATAGTAGCATAATTCGCAATTGCAAAAATGTGGGACCAACCCAAATGCTCATCATTCAATAAGTGGATAAAGAAACTGATATACATACATATATATATACACACACAAACACACACTCATAGTGGAATACTACTCAGCCATAAAAGGAATAAATTAATGGCATTTGCACCAACCTGGATGACATTGGAGACTGTTATTCTTAGTGAAGTAACTCAGGAATGGAAAACCAAACATCATATCTTCTCACTCATAAGTGGTAGCTAAGCTATGAGGATGCAAAGGCATAAGAATGATACAATGGACCTTGGGGACTCAGGGGGAAAGGGTAGGAAGGGGATGAGTGATAAAAGATTACAAATTGGGTGCAGTGTGTACTGCTCAGGTGATGAGTGCACCAAAATCTCACAAATCACCACTAAAGAACTTAGTCATGTAACCAAATACCACTTGTTTCCTAATAATCTATGGAAGTAAAAAATTAAAAAAATATATCGGCTGGGCATGGTGGTTCACACCTGTAATCCCAGCACTTTGGGAGGCCGAGGCGGGTGGACCACCTGAGGTCAAGAGTTGCAGGTCAGCCTGGCCAACATGGTGAAAACTCATCTCTACTAAAAATATAAAAATTAGCTGGGTGTGGTGGCGGGTGCCTGTAATCCCAGCTACCCGGGAGGCTGAGACAGGAGAATCGCTTGAACCCAGAGGCAGAGGTTGTAGTGAGCCAAGATAGTGCCATTGCACTCCAGCCTGGGCAACAAGAGCAAAACTCTGTCTCAAAAATAAATAAATAAATTCATTAATTAAAAAAATCATTACCACTATGAGCCTGTCTCACCAATCTCTTTTTTTCCTTCAGAAAGAATATAGACAGATCTTTGTATATAAATACATTTGAATTCTCCTCTATTATATCCCCTCAAGGCAAGGAATCAGATGTTACTCATGCTTGCATTATGAGCACTTAACATATAGGAGGTGATGGGTAAGGGCTGGTTGGATAAATTAGCAAATTAATGAAAAGGGTGGCCTACTTTGCCACATACGAAATTGGGGAACGTACTTGATCCCAAATATCCCTTAAACATTAGGTTCTTCTGGTCTCTGCTATTCTAAGTCCCGTTCTTTTCCCATTTTGCCCTGTTTCCCCAGATGATCTCAGTTACCACCATGACTTGAGTTACCATCTGCCATATGTGAGTCCATCCTGAGACTATATTTTTAGTCCAGATTTGTCTCCGGAAAGCAAGACCCATAATTCCAATTACTTATCAGGAAGCACCAGCAGGTGCTTCTGCAGGCACCTCAGACTCAGTTTAGTCTGCCAAATCCACCCACTTCATTACATCCTCCCGATCTTCCTTCTTTTTCTCCTTCTCCTCTGATGTTCCCTAAACAATGAATGGCAGCATTACTCTGTCAATTGCACAAACACTGGTGTATGGTTAACATAGAGCACATTGCCTGGTGCCTAGTAAGCACTCAATATTTTATTGAGTAAATAAATGCCACACACTAAAATGGCCAAATCAGTTGAAAATGACAGATTTGGTGATTACATTCAGAAATAATCTTAGACTTAATAGTAAAAAGCTAGAATGAGAATAAGCCCAGGGAATTTCCTGTCTTTCACTTTTCCTGCCTTTGAAACATTAAGCAAACCAACATCGCTCATGAGGTCTGAGTTGAAGATCAGACCTAAAGGCTTATATTTGTGATCCTCCGTGAAACTGTCTGAAACAGTTTCCTTTAGACAAATGGGACTTTGTTCATTATGCCCAATCATGGACAGTCTTTATATACATGCCAAGGTAAATTTTTCGAGGTAAGCTTATAGGGATTGAGGATATACTGTGTGCTGTCCTATTGGGAGTAAGGCTGATAACTAACCTTTCATTCTTCTATCCCAGGCTAATATTTGAGGCATCAGTTGCAGGCAAACAGCATGAGCTTTGGGCGTCACACTGGCTTGAGTCTGAATTCCAGCTCCTGCATTTACCAACTTTGTGACTTTGAATAAGTTACTTAAGTTTCTTGAATCTCACTTTCATCTATCATATGGAGACAATATTATGCATAGCATACGGTTATTTGAAAGTAGATGTGTGATAAGTTAAGCATAGTCTCTGAAACAAGGGGTGCTCACTAAATGTGAGCTTTCTTCCCTTCTCTTGTTAGATGTGTGGTGATCTCTAATTAGGTTACTCAACCCACCTTGATTGTCAGTTTCCTCGCCAGTGAATGAAATAATTACACTATCCACAGAGTTGATGTGAGGACTGAGTGATAGTGATTTAAAGTGACTATCACATGATACATAGTGATTATTTAATCACTACTAGATCCCTTTCTTTCTTCCTTCTCAGTAAGGCATGGGAAATGCCTGATTGTATTTTAAGTCTGTCGGAACTTCTAGGTGATCTAGCAAGACATAAACATGGAATATTGTTGCTTTGCTCGTGTGTATAATACAATACTGCTCAACAGAAATGATAAATAGAGGAAACTTGCCATCTTCTCTATGTGACAGTTGCATGCCCCAGCCGACATCATCAGATTTGCCTTGGGGTTTTTCCTCAGGGTGCATGTAACGAATGGAAAAGGACCAATGCCTGAGAAGTCTCATTGGTTACTTGGGGGTGCCACATCCTCTGATTGGTGTAAGCATCAGACAATCCTCATCCACGTATTAACAGCACTTCAATTATTAATCAGGTAGCTGCTGACTTTGGCTAAATCAAGGTATCTTGCCCGACCCTCTGGACTACTCTCTATTCCTTCCTCCCTTCATTCTGCACAATGACCACCTCCCTACACCCCATATATACGAATGCCATTTTGTTAAGAACTGAGTCCATTCCCTTCAAACCCCCAGGATGTTGAGCTTTCTGCTGCTAGCATCTACAACAGTTACAGAAATGACTTGTATTTCTTTAGAAACACATGACTCTAGTAATGAGGAAGCTAGTATAACTTTAGTGAGTATGCCTTTATAATGGTGTGAGTTGGGGAATAGGCATATATGGAGGCCAGTTTCTCTAGCAGGTGCCACACATTGAGATGATAACCATTGTAAAAAGCTATTTTCCAGGACTGATGGGGTAACAGACGAATTTTACCAAATCTCATTGGCTTTACTATTACAGAACCTGTCAAGAATCAGCTTACCTTTAACTGGTTGCCTCAGAAGCCTCCCTGTTTGAATTGCTGTGGGTGTGGAAAGAATGGGGGGTGGTAGATGGAGTTTGACTAGTAAGAAGAGGGAGTGGAGCGGAGCCCATGGCAGCGGAGGCTATAGGGGGAGTTTCCATGTAAGAAACTTTTGGTATCTGGGAACAAACGATTTATTACCTAAACCTCCCACTCGCTTGATAGATTGCTGTTGGCATCTGCGTTATTGGAAAAAAAAAAACAAACTTGCTTCTTAGAAAAAAAATTGATGAGGCAAATACAGGACATTCAAATACAGCAGTGGGAAGGAAAAGAAAGGGGAAAATGCACTTGGCAAGAATTCAGAGACAGCGAGAGCCAATTGTCTTTATTGAAATGGCATTGAATTACAAACTCAAAGGAGGGAGTGGCGTCTCTTTTAGTAGAGAAATAAAAAACCATGCCATCCCTACCCAGTAAACAGTGTAGGGAAAACATTAACAACAACAACTCTATGCAAGGTATTTTTTTTTTTGTTTCGTTTTTTTTTTCTCTTCTTATCTCCAAACAAAGTGATCTGTGCTTGCTACTGAAACACCCTAAATATACTGCCCACATACCCTGGTGGTTAAATTCCCTTCAAGAGGGTGACTGGACCAGGCCAACCCTCTGCCCCCAACCCCCTTCTGGTGGAGGCTCTAAGTCTGATATGTCCCGCCTCTCTGGCCCAGCAGAGCACGTTCGCCAAAGCCCCGCAGATGCAGCACGTTTCCAGAACGCGCACTTTCGCAATGGGCGGCATCTCTCGCTCTCTGATGAAGGGTCAAAAATGAGATTGTGGATGAGAACAATTAGAAACTCTAATTACCCTCCAGGCACCTAACAATTATAAGCCACATTCTTATTTTTATAAGGAATTAGCTACAGATTGGACAGTGCTTGTCATGCTTTGAAACATTTCCTGCGTCTTTCTGGCATCACTCTGTTCTTGTTAGAATGCTGGCGTTTCTCACATCCCCACTACCGCGCTCCCCCCGCCCCCGCGCTGCCCCACCTCTCTCTCTCTGTCTCTATGTGCATGTATATGTATATGTATATGTATATGTATATGTATATGTATATGTATATGTATATGTATATGTGTATGTATATATTTTTTGGGCTTGCCAATTCCCGCACCTTCATATACATTACCCCGTCCTTTCATCTCCAAGATGACCTGAAATGACCTTTTGCTTGGCACGAGACGTGATTCAACTGATAACAAAAGAGTTTGGGGGAGGGTAGGGGCGGTGTCTGTCTGCGCCGGGCTGAGGAAGAGCCAGGAGGGGGGCGGAGAAGGGGGGGACCATATCCATTTAAAGACGAATGCTGCTGCTTTTCGCAGTGCTATTTCCTGTAATTAATTTTCCACATATCACCTATCACACGAAAATAAAAGTTTTTTTTTGTTTGTTTTTTTTTTTTTTTTTTTTTTTTTAAGGCATACCACTCTCTTTGTTTAACCGGAGATCCTGGGCTGTTTAGACGTGTCTGTGGGGGGAGCGGAGGAGGGGGGTTGGGGTGGCAGGCCGGGGGAGGCTGGGCGTCCCCCCCGCAGAGAGGCCCGAGCTCTCCGCCGGAATGTGGGGTCGGAACCCCGCAGCTTTCTTTCTTTCTGCCTGGGTGTTTGCTGCTGGGAGCTTCTTTTCAAAGCCACGGCGCCTGCTAAGGTTCCAGCACGCAGTTCCCTTCCATTTTCCATCTGCAGCCTTTGAGGGGTGTGGGCTTTTCCCAAAGCCTTTATTTCTTTGTCGTTTTAGGAAACCTCAATTTTTGCACTGACTCCAGAACTCCAAATGGATCCCAATAGCAAGTCTCATCGATCGTCCCCCTCCCCCATCTTACTTAGGGAGGAAAAAAAAGAACAAACTATTTATTTGGATACTCAGCGAGGTTGTGAGAGTTGCCACAGCAACAGCTGTGAACCTTGCACAGCAAAAGGCTCTTACTGTAGAGTGTCCTGCCTTCCAAAACATCTCCTCTTTAAAGAGACACTGCTAGCGATACTATATCAGTTTGGTGTGTGTGTACATTGACATATCATCGACACCATTTGAAGAGACAAAGGCAAGTGTTTACTTGGGTGGTTCACAAGATAATTTTAGTCAAGCTTGACCAGATGAGATGTGAGAAGAGAAAAATGGACTGTGGAGTCACGTGGGGACCTGAGATTAGAGAACTTCGTGCCCAGAAGCTTGCGAAATGGTAGAAAGTATTCTAAAGGTGTCCTGTCCCTTCTGGAGGTCATAGCTTGCGTGTGAGCTGGCGGGGTTGATTATGCAGCCGTCCTGTCACCCTCTCCTGCACTTGTCGAAGGGATCTTGACATGAGATAGACGCTCTGAGCTCAGAGACGTGAGGAACTCAGCTTCCTGGGTTCCAGGAAGAACTTCTTTTCCCTGAAGTGCCTCATAGGCTAAAAGTTCCATGAAAAGCAAGAGGTTGCTCCACAGTCCCAGTTTCATACCTTCTGGCTTTCCTCGGAAACCGTGAAGTCGTTAATGCCTCATAGGTATTAATATTTGCTAGTCTCTGCAGATATAAAGGTACAATTAAAGACTAGTCCTTAGCCCCTGCCCTCAAGGAGCTGTCGGTCAAGAAGTGGATTAGGTAAACAGATAAATACAGGGAAGAAGGAGTGACTATGGGGCTGCCAGATCCATTACAGCCACCAGCATGATCCCCATTCATTTCTTAGTTCATGGAATGCCTGACAGAATGCCAATCAACATCCCTTTCCTCTCCTTCTTCAAAAGTGCCTCCTTATAGGAAAAATTGTCATTCTGGGCAGATGGGCGCCCAGAAGCTGCCTTGAGAGTCACACTGTGGAAGGGCACTGCTATCATCTTCAGTGAAAACCTCAGCCCAATTTCCAACCTGCTGTAGAAAAGGAAAAATACTAATATTACTGAGTACCCCTTCCATGTGCCATACATGATGCTATTTATTACACATATAATAAATAACACCTATAATAAATGCTATTTATTAAACCTATAGTAAATGCTATTTTATACCTACAATAAACGCTATTTATTATCCTATTGAATCCTCATGCAGTCTTTCACATGTAGTACCTGGTTTTATCTGAGCCATAGGACATAGGAAATGATCTGAGTGACTTGTTTTCTCAATTACCCCAAGGATGGTGCATAACTAGTACCATTCTATATGATAGAAGAGAAATTGATTCCCTTTATACAATGAATGCTTGAAGGCATTAGTTTTAATTCCCTCTCAGGGTCCCTCTTGAGAAAGTTGTGAAGTATCCTAACTTAACAGACAAGGAAACAGAGACTCAGGGAAATTGCTCAAGATCACACAGCCAACAATGCCAACAATAATGGAAATTTCCTTCCTGACTCAAAAATTTATAATCTTTTGAGATAGTGTGAATAGATTGCTCTATACTTCCATTTGACTATTTAAAAAAATAGAGACCGGGTGCAGTGGCACTTTGGGAGGTCGAGGCAGGCGGAACACCTGAGGTCAGGAGTTTGAGACCAGCCTGGCCAACATGGTGAAACCCCTTCTCTACTAAAAATACAAAAATTAGCTGGCGTGGTGGCACATGCCTGTAATCCCAGTTACTTGGGAGGCTGAGGCGGGAGAATCACTTGAACCTGAGAGGTAGAGGTTGCAGTGAACCAAGATCATGCCACTGCACTCCATCCTGGGCCACAGAGTGAGACTCTGTCTCAATACATAAATAAATAAATAGTTAAGGTTAGAATTTTCAGTGACTGACAGTCATACTGACTTAAAGAGTTAGTTTGATTGGAAGCTCTACAAAGACAAGAACTGAGTCTTTTTTTTTCTTCAGTAATATCTTTCTTGGAATTATCTGTCCAGTTAGGCAAAGATTATCACTAAGAAAACCATCATTCATAGTGAAGGGAACACCTTGCTTTTAATAACTCAAACCATTGCCACTCAGCCTGACCACTTACCAGACTTAACCTCACATGACTTTTAAAATCAAACATATCTTCAAAGACTGGAGACATTTGTCATTGAAATCAAACAACAAGCCTTTAGCTCTAAGGCCACTGCAAGAGAAGAGCTGCTAATTCTTGCTAGCAATACCGACCTGTTTGGCAAAGGTGAGAGCTTTTAAAAGCATCATAGTCATTTGTAAGAGTTTTGCTATGACCTCCTCTTTTGTACAGTAAGTTCTCAGTTCAGACCCTGCATCCTTGGGCAAATTACTCAACCCCTCTATTCTTCTTTCTTTTTGTTTTCTTTTAAGATAGGGTCTTGCTCTGTCACCCAGGCTGGAATACAGTGGCACAATCATGGCTCACTGCAACCTTGAACTCTTGGGCTCAAGCGATCCTCCTGCTTCAGCCTCCTGAGTATGTGGAGCTACAGGCATGCACCACCATGCCTTGCTAATTTTTAAAAGTTTTTTGTAGAGACAGGTCTCACTGTGTTGCCAAGGCTGGTCCCAAACTCCTAGCCTGAAGCAATCTTCCCATCTCAGCCTCCCAAAGTGTTGAGATTACTGGCATGGGCCACCTCACCCATCTGACCCCGTTATTCCTTAATTTCACATGAAAAGTGGAGGAATAGTAGCATTTATGACATAGGATCATGGTAAGGATTGCCCTGAGATTAAACGTGTACAGCATTTAGCGCAGTACCTGGCTCATATGAAATGCTATTTATTATGCCATTATTATGTGAATTATTATCATCACTTTTATTTATATTAGAATTGATTGATTAAAATGGATAGTTGACATTTTCTTTCCCATGCCATGGGTGGACCCTAAGCTGTACTGTGAAGCTGATAAGGCTTTTCTTTTTCAACTCTCTGTTTTTCTATCACCATGTCACTACTTCTCTTATTTTTAAACATCCATTTGTCCTGGCATTCCCTTTCTTCTTTCCCTAGCCTGCTCAAACAAAACAAAAAAATCTTGTTCTTAAAATGGCTCTGTGATTAATCATTTACACTAGGGATCAGCAAGATTTCCCTTTTTTTTATTATTATACTTTAAGTTTTAGGGTACATGTGCACATTGTGCAGGTTAGTTACATATGTATACATGTGCCATGTTGGTGTACTTGCACCCATTAACTCTTCATTTAACATTAGGTATATCTCCTAATGCTATCCCTCCCCCCTCCCCCCACCCCACAACAGTCCCCAGTGTGTGATGTTCCCCTTCCTGTGTCCACGTGTTCTCACTGTTCAATTCCCACCTATGAGCGAGAACATGCGGTGTTTGGTTTTTTGTCCTTGTGATAGTTTGCTGAGAATGATGGTTTCCAGCTTCATCCATGTCCCTACAAAGGACATGAACTCATCATTTTTTATGGCTGCATAGTATTCCATGGTGTATATGTGCCACATTTTCTTAATCCAGTCTATCATTGTTGGACATTTGGGTTGGTTCCAAGTCTTTGCTATTGTGAATAGGATCAGCAAGATTTTTCTAGAAAGAGCCAAATAGTAAATATTTTAGGCTTTACAGGCCTTACAGTCTCATTGCAACAGTTCAACTCTGATGTTGCAGTGCAAAACCAGTCATGGCCAATATGTAAATGAAAGAGTGGGACACGTTCTGATAAAACTTTATCTATGGACACTGAAGTTAGTTGAATTTCTTGGAATGTTTACATGTCACAAAATATTATTCTTTTATTTTTTTCAAGCATTTGTAAATATAAAAAACATTCTTGCCTGTATTGCTGACCCACAATATATACTTGACCATGAGTTCAACCACTATGACATGCTCGGGAATATTGCATTTCATACTTTCAAGTTCCAGAAGAATATACAGGAAACACTACTTTGGGGGCAGTGCCATGAATAGTGTTGGTGCTAATGGCAGCCTCCTCCCTTGGCTCTCTTTGGAAAGGAAACCTGGCAGAGTGTGACCCAGGTTAGCCAACTGAATATATTCATTTACTGGAAAACATCCAGGCATCTGGGAAGAGGCAGCAAAAAGAGCACTATTTGTGATGTCGAACTTGGCTTCAGTCAAATTTGGATTCTAATCCCTTAGTGGTGTTTTGATTTGGGCAAGTCACTTAAAGTCTTTACGCTTCAATTTTCCTAACTATAAAAGTAGAAATAATAATGCCTGTCTTGAAGAGTATAAGACTGAATTATATATAGTCACTGTATGTGACAATGTATATTAAGAGGATGATAATTACAACATGGTGGACATTTCATAAATGCATGAAGAGGATTAACAGGCACTCAGCTCATGTTTCCTTCAATCATTTATTGGTGGGGGAAGGAGGGTTCAATCTTTGTTGTTGTGAAATACAAGAATAGGAAGGTTGGACATGGTGGTACTTCTGGTATTTAAAAAAAGGTTCTCTGACCTTTTGCAGGGGGCAGGTGCGGGGACTAGTGAGAAGACAGGACATTTTTGGCACAGAAAAAAATAGACCTTTTAACCCAAGTGAAATGCAATCTTGTAGTGCAGAAGCAGTGGCTCTGTCATCAGGTTAGGGCTCAGCTCAAGATGACACTGATTTATGAAAGGACAATCAAAGTGTCAGTGCCATTTCTGGACTGGTGTCTTCAGGCAGGCGTCCATTATTACTCATGTAGGCACCAAGGGAAAACTTTCCTTCACCTTCTGAAGGTTCGCCGAAAAATCAACTGAGAACATGCGGATTAATAAGGGAAAGGTATCCAAATTTATTAACGTGCACATGGAGGAAAACGATGGAGTGATTACTCCAGTAGGGTAGAGAAGTTTATATATCATACCATCTTGAGATTACAGAAAGAATGGGGGCTTGGATCATGGCAAGACAGGTTATTGGAGGGGGAAAAGAGGAGGCCTGGCTAGCAAAGGTGGTCTTGTTATGTAGATGAAATTTCACAGGTAGCAACTCTCAGAGAAAATAGATGGTGAATGTTTCTTTCAGACCTTTAAAGATATTAGACTCTCTGTTAACTTTTCTCAGATCAGGCAAGGGAAGACCATCAGCGAAAGACTGGCTGCATCAATGGAGATTTTCTCTACAAGTGCAAATCTCCCTCACAAAAGGCAACTTTGCAGGGCTACTCCTGTTTGCAGGCCCTCTGAACAGCCATCTCAAAATATGTTAAACAAATATATTTTGGGGTGAAATACTTTGATTTTCTTCACTTGGTTCCCACATGAATCAGGGCTTTGGAAAGTGAATCAGGACTGCTTGAGAAGGTCTGTTTGTGCAGATAAGGGAGGTGTTTCCACGTGTGTGTGTGTGTGTGAGAGAGAGAGAGGAGAGGGAGAGAGGAGAGAGGGAAAAGTATACTTTTGTACTCACTGATAAGTCTTATGGATGAAGAAAAACAGAAGCAGTGTGGCCTGGAAGTTTAGAAACACACTGGAGACAGCTCATTCTAAAGATTGTACTCCTTCTCAGTACCAGGTTCTGAACTGAGGGAAAAAGACTCCTTTTGTCTTGAGGGAGCTTACAGGTGCACATTTTTTTATATATGACAAATGAGGTTAATTTGTATTAAAATAATTTACGTAATATTTCTGATAAATAGATGACTTTTAATCAAATTAAAGAAATTGACCTTTAGCATATAAAAAACTTTTTTCTCTCTGATTTTATCGACATGTAAATATGATGTAAGCACAATTTTTATTTAAGATGAGATCTGGGTTTAGTTTCTCATGATTTAAGATTTTCTTAAAGTTTAAAAATTTCTACATAAATTCTATGTGTTCAGTAAGTTATTTCTACAAATTGGTGAAGAAGTAAAAGAATATTGAATCATATTTAACTATATGAACTTGTAAGAATGCATGTCTTTCAAAAAGGGTTAATCTTGTGAATTCTCGTAATGCTGCAAATTGTATGGACATAATATATTAGCTTAAATTGTAATTTCCAGATCTTTAGCCAACCTTAGACTAATATTCAATTGAATTAATATATAAACTTTGGCTATATGGGCAATTTATAAGTAAGACAAATATGCAAATATTAGTTACTAAATATAGTTTTAATTTCCCCTACTCTTTATTTTATATATGTAAATGACTATACCTTAACAGGGTATGCAAATGTCTTTAAGTGATGCAATATATATGCTTACTTTTCCACCTTAAAATTTGTTAAAGTAATATAAATGTTTGTGGAAAAAATTAACTGGATTGTTTTTGTTTCCTGTCTCAGGTCTAGAAAAACAAAAGCTGCTTACAATATAAATTGTTGAGACAATATTAGGTACAATAATTTGGGAGAAATATGAATATGTATACCAGATAATAAATGTGGTTTATTTGCTTTTTAAGAAAATTGTTACAGTTTATTAGTATGGTAAATTCAATTATATATATGTTCACACACCCCTACATACATACATGCATTGTTTTATTTGATATGCTAAGAAAGTTAAAAAGTTTAATTAAATAATCTGTTTTCACAGTTAAGTATTTGTATAAGTCTAAATACATACATATAAAGGTATATTAAGTTTAATTCAAAATATTAAAAATTTAAAAAATGTAATTTTAAGAAAAACCCTAAATGTAAAAGGTCTGAGGAAGGCAAAATTTGTTTGCCCAAGTTGGTAATGCTGGCATGAGTTTGAAGGAAACAATTATTTAAAAAAAAAAATTATATACAAAGTTGGCTCCAAGCTAATGAATTTATTCCAAAAAAAAAAAAAAAAAGGAAAGGAAAGGCTCATGAATCCTCTACTGCAAGTGGTTGTATGGATGATTGTCTCTGTCTGTTTGGGCTGCTATAGCAAAATATCATAGACTGAGGGACTTCATAGTCCTGGAGTCCTATTTCGGTGTCTGGTGACGGCCCTCTTCTCTCTGTATTCCCATGTATCTAAAAGAGATCATCCGTCTTATGTCTCTTCTTATAAGGGCACTAATCCAATCATGAGAATTCTACTCTCATGACCTAATTATGTCCCAAAGACCTCCAAATACCATTACCCTGGGAATTAGGGCTTAAACATATGCATCTCAGGGAAACATGGACATCCAGTTCATAGCAATAATAATATATATATAAAGTGTAAAATGAGGATTTGGGCTTTCTTTAGAAAAAAAGACCAAATTATTCTGTGTCTAGATAACAGAGGTTTTTTTCAGTCACAAAAATATTCTACTAAATCCTGAAACTTTTGGAATATTTTGAATTGCTTTGACAGAAAGTTCCCTTTTTTGTTGACAAAAATTAAGTTTTTTAGTAATCATTGTTACTTTTTTTTGTGAGTTAAAAAATTTCTTTATAACTATTTTTTTGTCTTTGAATATCCTGACATATTTCTATTTTGTTGCCTTTGATACCTCTTCTTGACTTCCCATTTCTAAGGTAAAAATCACCAAATCAAAGCAATCAAACTGTTAAGATACATTTTAAACAAAATTCATCTTTGGGTTTCATGGTATGACCACTAAGTAGCACAAAGACTGACTCCTTCACCTTATAAAAGAAAGGGTATTAGAAAAGGAGCTTGCCTTTATAACCAAGGTTTTTAAGAAATAGAGCTTGGGAAAGATTTAGGCAATGGTAGTGTGTATTTGGAGACTATTTCACTTTTTTTCAGACCTTACAAATAAAGGTCACTGCATTCCCTCATCCCTACATTCTTTTGCTTTGCCCTAACCTGATAATCTCTACATTGCAAATTCCTGTACCATTTGATAACCTCATTGGAGTATATTACTTGAAAATAGGGCATTGGATGACCCCTAATGTCTGTTACTAAATTTGTAGTGTAAAAGTGTATTGGTGACTACCCACAAATTGGACATAGATTTGTTTTCTCCCTAAACTGTTGTTTGCATTCAGGATAGCCCCTGATATCATCCAGAGTCTGTCTTGAAGCATAACTTTCTCTTCTTAGAAAAAAAGATCTTTAAATAATTTAATTCAAGAAGGAGAAAAACTGGGCCTCATTTAGCATTCAAAGTCTTTAACGACTCAAGTAGAACTCTGAACTGCCTTCTTTTGTCTTTAAGCCCCTTTATTTCATGTTTTACAAGAGACTCACAAAGTGGGAGAATCATACATGCTATGGTTCAGAAAAGAATGGGAGAGCTAGACAATGTCAACAGGACCATAGGACATCTTGCCCTAAAGGCTCATGAAATTTGGCACATAGTGGTTTGTGATCTATATAACACTGTCTCCTTGTAGAATGCGTGCTAGGAGGATGTCTCCTCAGACTTCTCTAATGTGTTTAATATTACTAACAAGATCTAGGACACACACACATAATCATGAAATTATGTAAATAGGCTAATTCCTCCATATCTGGTTCTTTAGTGTTTTTGGATTGGGGTTGGGAGCTATTTTCTTGATTTCATTTGTGCATGCTAGGATTCTAGCTTGAAAGTGTACTATAAACACTAATTGTATAATTTCTTCTGTCATAGTCTATTTCTGCTGCTATAATGGAATACTTGAGATTGGATAATTTGTAAAGAAAATAAATTCACTTGGCTAATGCTTCTTGAGACTTGGAAGTCCAAGATCAAGGGGCTGCATCTGGTGCAAGTATTCTTGCTATGTCATCCCATGGTGGAAGGCAGACGGGCAAGAGAGCTTGAGATAGTAAGGGAAGTCTGAACTCTCTTATAACAACCTACTCTTGTGATAATGAACCCACTCTCACAACAACAACATTAATTCATTCATGAGGGAGGAGCCCTCATGGCCTAATTACCTCTTAACACCATCACAGTTACAAATTTGAACATGAGTTTCGAAGGGAACATTCAAGCAATAGCATTCCACCCCTGGACCCCCCAAACTCATGTCCTTCTCACTTATAAATACATTCATTTTATCCCAATAGCCCCAAAATCTTAACTTGTTCCAAGTCAACTCAAAAGTTCAAAGCCCAGTCTCAGTCAGATATAGATGAGACTCAAGGTGGGATTCAAACCAAGGCAAATTTCTCTCCCTCTATGAGCTTGTGAAATCAAACTGAGTTACATGCTTCCAAAACACAATGGTGGGACAGGCTTAGGTTAGAGATTCCCATTCCAAAAATAGAAAAATAGGCAAGAAGAAAGGGGTAACTTGTCACGAGTCCAAACCTCAACAGGAAAAACGTTAAGTCTTAAAGCTCCAAAATAATCTCCTTTGACTCCATGTCCCACCTCCAGGATACACTGGATCAGGAGATGGGTCCCCATAGTCTCAGGCAGCCCACCCCTGTGACATTGCTGAGCTCCATCCAGCAGCTCTCACAAGTTGGAGTCTTGTGCTTGCAGCTCACCCAGGCTGATCTTGCAAGCTGGTAGTCTACAGTTCTGGGGTCTTGGGAGTGGCCCTACTCCCATGGCTCCACTGGACATTGCCCTAGTGGGGACTGTGTGGTGGCTTTGACCCTGTTT
This sequence comes from Homo sapiens, assembly GCF_000001405.40. Lineage (NCBI taxonomy): Eukaryota > Metazoa > Chordata > Mammalia > Primates > Hominidae > Homo > Homo sapiens. The sequence continues at coordinate 122,430,904 of NC_000011.10, read as the reverse complement.
CCATTCAGCATTGCCCTAGTAAGGATTCTCTGCAGCAGTGGATTTGCTCATGTAGAAAGTCTCTGCCTGGACCCCCAGGCTGTCTATTACAACCTTTGAAGTCTAGATGGAGGAAGCCGTACCCTCACAGCTCTTGCATTCTCTGCGCCTGCAGGATTAGTGCCATGTGGATGCTGCCAAAGTTTACAGCTTATGCCTTCTGGAACAGTGGATTGAGCAACTCTTGGGCCTGCTTGAGCCAGGGCTGGGTGGTTGAGGAACACTGTGCTGAAATGCAGGGAGCAGGGATCTTGAGGTGACCACGAGCAGCAAACCCCGGGCCCATCCCTTGAAACCATTCTGCCCTCCTAGAGGTCTGGGCCTGTGATGGGAGAAGCAACCCTGTAGATCTCTGAAATGCCTTCAGGGTTATTCTTCCATTGTCTTCAATTCCTTCTAATCTGTACCAATCTCTTTAACAAATTGTCACTTGGCCACAAGTGACCATTTGCTCTCCTAAACATGCCTTTTATTTATTTTCATAAATAGGCTAAAAATTCTCAAAGTCTTTATTTATTTATTTTTTTTTGAGAACAGGTCTTGCTCTGTCGCCCAGGTTGGAGTGTATTAGTGTGACCATGGATCACTGCAGCCTCATCCTCCTGCACTCAATACTCCCACTTCAGCCCCTGAGTAGCTGCGATTATAGATGTGTACCACCATGCTCGGCTAATTCTTTTTATTTTTTCTTAAAGATGGGGTCTCACTCTGTTGCCCAGGCTGGTCTCAAACTCCTGGGCTCAAGTGATTCTCCCACCTCGGCCTCCCAAAATGCTGGGATCACAGGTGTGAGCCACTGTGGTTGGCTCAAAATCTTTTTGTTCTGGTTCTCTTTTAATTATAAATTCCATCTTTAATACATATGTTTCACCTTGCATCTTACTGCATGTGGCTAAAAGTAGCTACTCAGTTCCTTAGATATTTTGCTAAGAAATTTCTTCTGCCAGATACCCTCATTCATTGTTCTTAAATTTTGCCTCCCATAAACACATGGGAGTGCATGAACACAATTCAACCAAGTTCTTTACCAATTTATTATAAGGGTGGCCGTTACTCCAGTTTCCAATGAGATGTTTCTTACTTGTGTTTAGGTCCTCATCAGAATGGCTGTTAGTTGGTGTGCTGCACCCATATGTAACAAACCTGCACGTTGTGCACATGTACCCTAAAACTTAAAGTATAATAATAATAATAAAAAAGAATGGCTGTTAGTGGCCATGTTTCTATGAATGTTCTGATCACAACTACTTAGGTAATCTCCAACTAGATTCAGATTTTTCCTATAGCTATTCTCTTCTTCTGAGCCCTCACCAGGATTGCCCTGAATGCTCAGTTTAGACTTTTTCTAACCTGCTCCTCCAAATTCTTTCAACCTCTATCCATTAACCAGTTCCAAAGCTGCTTCCACATTTTCAGTTATTTGTTATCGCAACAGCCCCACTTCACGATATCCACTTCTCAGTATTTTCTTAGTCTGTTTCCTGCTGCTATAACGGGATACCTGAGACTGGATAATTTATAAAGAAAAAACTTTGATTTTGCTCACAGTTCTGGAGGCTTGGAAGTCCAAGATGAAGGGGCTACATCTGGTGAGGACCTTCTTGCTATGGCATCCTGTGGTGAAAGGTAGAAGGGCAAGAGAGCACAAGAGAAGAGGGCCAAGCTTTGTTTTATAACAATCCACTCTCATGATAGCAAACCCACTCCTGCAATAACAACATTAATTCATTTTTAAGGGCCCTCATGGCCTAAACCCCTCTGAATGGTCCGTACTCTTACACCATCATAAAAGCAATTAAATTTCAACATGAGTTTTGGAGAGGCATTCAGATCATAGTGCCTTCTCTTAGAATTTGTTCATCTTGCAGTGCTCAGATGTTTGGTTTCTAGAGTCTTAAATGCTACTGTACACCAGTCAAATGATCCAAGAAATTATATTCCCAAACAACAACAACAACAAAAGAAATGCTGAGAGTTGGACTAACTACCATCGAAACTCCATCTAACACCTTTGCAGATCTGAATTCATCATTCCATAAACATGAAGAATGACAAAAATTGGGAACTTAGAAATAAAACAAATATGCTTTCCTGTTCCCATGCTAAATAAGTCTGTGATTAAGCATATCTTCCCATTTTTGTGCTAAACAACAGTGGGACCAGCAAAGAAATAACTTAGCTAGGTAATATTGCCTCTGGGATTATCAGACTGTTGACCAACTAAAAGGGTTTATTTATCAAAACTAATAGGTGGCACCGAACACAAAGGGTCACATATTGCATGATTCCATTCATAGGAAATATCCAGAATACATAAAACCCCAGAGGCTATGGGAATGAGAAGTAGTTGCTGTGGGTAAGGCTTTTCCTATTAGTTTTGGAATTTGATAGAGGTGGTGGTTGTTCAACACTGTGAATGTACTAGTTGCCACTGAGTTGTTTACTGTAAAATGGCAAATTCTATGTTATGTGAGTTTCACCTAAAAAAAACCTAACAAGATGTTTATCAAGGCTCATTTTAAGGTCATTGACTTATCATGCCCACCACTGCAAAGCTCCTGTGTCATAAACTTCACCCAATTTCAACCAGTTTCACGCCTTATAAGACCTACTTTAAAACCATGCAATCCAGACCCTTTAACCCCGTAAGTATGTTCCCTGAATTACTCCATTTGAGACACATCTTGTCTCTCTTACTATAGTAGTTCCAGTAAACTTAGATTTGCTTGTTCTGTAGATTTTTTGGTGGTCTTTTGGAAGGTCAAAATAATTACTAAAATCCCTTCCAAGGGTAAAAAAAAATATATATTTTTGATTCTCTTTTCTATCCTCAATATTAGATAGGCATCAGTCTTCTGATTATAGATAGATACATGATTGGCTCAGGTTTTCACATAGTAGCTAGAATTAGAGATTCCAGTTCTAGTTCTCTAAGAGAGGGGTTAGGCAAAGATTAGGCATAACCAAGTAGCCAGCATTTAATACAAATCTTCAGCTATTTTGGAAGCCAAATAACAAGCAAATGATTCTTGTTTCAGGGATTACACAAAGTCAGCAGTAAGAGAAAAGCCCAGAAAAACTAATGTCTGGGGCTCACTCTGGATATGAGACCAAGGTTATAGAGAAATCAGTTTTAGCCTGAAGCAGTAGCTCGCACTTGTAATCCCAGCTACTCAGGAGGCTGAGGCAGGGGGATTGCTTGAGACTAGAAATTTGAGACCAGGCTGGCCAATATAGTGAGATCCTGTCTCTATAAAAAAATAAAAATATTAGACAGGTGTGGCTATAGTCCCAGCTACTCAGGAGGCTAAGGTGGGAGGATCAGTTGAGCCCAGGAGGTCAAGGCTGCATGAGCTATGATCATGCCACTACATTCCAGCCTGGGCAACAAAGCGAGACTCCCGCACCTGCTGCCCCATCTCTTAAAAAAAAAAAAGAAAGAAAAAGAAAAAAACCCCAATCAGTTTAGATCAGTTTCGTTAGAAGAGAAGGATGTAAAACTACCAATATATTATTGCCTTGATCCGATCTAATCTTGATCTTAAAAAATAGTCAGTGCTGAGCCCATATATGAAGAGTCTTACTACCTATAGATGACTAGGATTGATTGAGTTTTTAAAATGTGTACAAGTAGAGAGAGAGAGAGAGTGTGTGTGTGTGTGTGTGTGTGTGTGTGTGTGTGTGTGTTGTCTAGGATGATGTATTAGGTATCTATTCTGGCATTTTAAATTCCCCTAAAACATAGTGGTTTAAAATAACACACATGTATTACTGTGGCACATCTTAGCTGGTCTTCTACTTTAAGGCCTCTCCAGGCTGCTATCAAGATGATGGCTGGGCTGTAGTCACCTCCAGGATTAACTTGGGAAGCTCAGCTTCCAAGCTCACATCGCTCTTGATAGGATTTAGTTTCTCATGGGCTGTCAGATTGAGGGTCTCAGTTCCTCACTGGATGTTGTTGTCAGACCACCCTCGGTTTCTTGCCATGTGAGTTTCTTCTGCATGGCATGTTGTTTCATTAAAGGATGGAGACTAAGAAGTTGACAGAGTCTAGCAAGACATAAGTCACTGTCTCTTGTAATCTGATCAAGAGAGCACATTCTGTCATTTTTGCTGTATTCTATTTAGTAGACACATGTCATTAGCTCTTTCCAACACTTAAGGGGAGGGGATTACACATGGCGTGAATACCAGTGGGGGTCTTTAAATGCCATATTTGAAAACTGCCTACCACAGATGATCATCATACCTAAATAAAATACCACATCCATCCTATTAACTATAGAAATTTGAAAATTAGAGTGAAATTGTTTTTCTTTGGTTTAAAGTTATCTCTAAAATATCACAAGTAAATAAGAGTCATAAAAGTTTTATCTCGAAGCTCTACAAGAGGTCAAATACTAATACACACATTGGTTTTCAAGATTCCAGACCTGTCTGAAAGTAGTATTGCCTTTTTCTCAGGGAAGTATCAAATAGTTTTAAAACAGAAGTGTCTGAAAAGTTGTGTTACTCAGTATTTACTGTTTCTCTTGAACACTATAAGGTATGTGCTCTCATCAGCCTCCTTCCAATTAATTAGCTGGGTTTATAGACCTCTCCCTGAAGCAGCTTCACTGCATGAGTCAAGTGGTTGACAATTAGTGAAGTATCTCAGAACATAGGAAGTCGTCTTGTTTGCTTCATAAACGGGAGGGGTTATTATATTTTCTTACCATCTGAACTTATCTAACTATAGAAATAGAAACTTGGTTTGTCCCTATCTGTTAGATTGTCAGCAGGTGTTAAATTCATTCTCTCTCAGAGATGAGATCTTTGGTGAGTACAGTGTGTGTTCTAGTGGATCAAGAATTAGATAAGCGATTAAGAGACAAAAGCATAGGTAGAACAATTGTATAACATATCTGAGAGGGCCCTTAAAACATCCTTCTCATTTTACCTTTGAAGTAATCAAGGCACATAGAGCTAAAGTTGTCTATCCAAGAAGATAAAGCTAGTTAAAGGCATATTTTTTTTTTGTTGATATCAAGTCAATTCTTGGTCTATTTCAGCTTCATACTACAAGCACCGTAGTGGAAAGTGCACTGGACTAAGACCAATATTCAAATCCCACAAACTTTGTCATCGTGTTCCTCACTATATCCTGTAACTAAAACTGGGCTGACTGACTTGGCTGGTTACTGTTCAGTAATACTTGTTGAATATATGAATGAATGAATAAATGAATGAATGAATGAAATCCTAGCTTCGTGATGTACTGATTGAGTAACCATGGACCATTTCTTCCCTTCTCTCAGCTTTAGTTTTCTCATATTTAAAATGAGAGTTTTGATCTGGTTAAGTTTTTAAAATTCCTTTCAGTTGTAATTTTCTATTATTTTATAATAATAATTATAATCAGAAGAGGAAGAAGAAACATCTGTTAAGCCTTTGTATCGTGTACTGTGATTTACATAATAATGCCATTTAATCCTCATAACCACCCTAAGATACAACAAACCTATGAAAAAAATAGTTAATAGCTAATAGTTATTTTGATTTTACTCTGAGCCAGACACTGTTATTAACTCATCTTAATCCTCATCTCCATCCTATGCGATATGGAGAGGTTTAATTTATCCAAGGTTATGTAAGTATTAAGGGGTAGAGTGAGAATTTGAACTCAAATTGTTCAATTTCAGAGTCTCCCTTTTTAATCACATTGTTAAACTAAGTAGTAATGTAAGGTAAAGATCGGGGCAGTGGTGGGGGCAGTTCTGTTCAGTTAAACCTCATTTCAAGCTTCTTTTTAAAATTTCCTGTTCATAAAAATTATATCTACCCAAATACATTGGTCTTTACATTTCCTTCTATTTTATAGTCCCAAGCAAGCCTTAAATTACTAAATATGTTTCTGATTTGATAAATCTTCTGTAATACTACCCAGTCATTTAAATGGTGGGTGGAAGCTACTATAATCAGCATCAGGCTGTTTTAAAGACTGGGAACGGAAAAAAATACTGTTCTGAAGTCATGTCTGGAGTATAGTGGGTGGATGCTTGGCTTGTTCTGAGAAATTTAGCTGAAAACTCCAGAATTACTCAAATGTTTGGACTGGTGAGGCTTAATGTTCTAGTCAACTGGCACCAGAAAGTCATTAATCAAACCCAGGAAGAAAGAGGAAGATGAGATTTGGGTGGTGTGGTCCATATCTGTTTTATTTTTTGTTTAAATTTCCTTAGTTTCCAACTCAAGAAATCTGAGTTTTCATTTCTGACTGCGTATTATGACTAAGAATACATTAGTGGCATATCTGTACAGAAAATTTGATGTGAAATTAAAGGCAGTTTTCTAAATAATTTAACATTTTTCTTCAAGAAAATTGGGACCTACTCTGCCTGAATCCACTGAGTATCTTATCAGTGCTTGCTTCAATTCAGCTAGGCTGTGCATTCATATCCATATGGCATTGTGTAGGGTAGTGTTAAAGAGAAATAACATACTACAAGGCCAAAGATTAAGTGCTTAGTGGAAAAGTTTATTCTCAAGCAGGGAACCTAGTATGATAGAGTCTAGACTCCAGGGAATAAGATTCGGGAGAGAAGTATGAAACAGGCCTTTTAAAGCTAGAAGGTGTCCATTTTCTCTGTCTCACGTTAAGACAGCCATGTCTCTAGGTGATGCTTATTGGCTGGTGATGCTGCACATTTCCCTTTAGGTAAGTCTCAGCTGGCTGGTCGAGGGTGGCCTGCTGTGTGTATGGGGTGCCAGCCTCAGGATTGTGGCAGCTGCCTGCCTGCCCTGAAGGTGATGAACCACTGCTCTCATACTATGCCACCTGCCAATGTCCGCAGGCTATGTGACCAGTCTGAACTTACTAGGAGTGAGCCTGCAGACTGCAGAGCCTCACCTGGGATTAAGGAGTCCTGGGTTCTAGTCTTGGCAATGCCACTGACTTAGCTGTGTGGCTTTGGGCTTACATGAAACTTCTCTAGGCCTTAGTTTCCTAATTTGTAAAATGAGATTGTGGGCATAGATCTGTTGTTTCTTGTACTGCCAGATATTTCAAGGGTTACTGCAAACTACCATCCAACAAAGAGCATCTCTGCATTTCACAATTTTGCAAATGGGGCTTCCTCTGTGGAGTTCCTTCAAAGAATAGCTCTCGTTAAAAAAAAAAAAAAAAGGATCTTTAAGGTTACATTCTATAAAGGATTTTAGGATACATTCTATAAAATCTAGTTTGAAAACATTTAACCTAATTATTATTTTTTTAAAAATCCAGTATATTCTCACTGGGAACATCATTTATGATGATTCTAAATGGAGGAGGAGATGAGTTTCGGTGTCACTTTTTTTCTTCCAGCTCTTAAAGACTGATGTGCTGACATGCCACTGTGCATAATTGGAGGCCTGGAATTTCATGTAAATTCACATTGTGAAACCTGATTTAAAAGTCTGGGAAATGTGACTGTATGGAAGACATGGTGTTCACACAAAGTATCCTTGCCCTATGTTTTTCTTTGGTAAATATCTCATACAGAAAGGTGCCATCATTTTCTCTAAAAGTTTTCTCTCCTCTTCAGTCCTCAGAGTGTATTTTTAGTGAGCTCTTTGGAAAAATTTTTTCAAAAAGTTAAAGAAAACCACAAACAGTATATCCATTCAAAGTGCCTAGTGTCCCATCGGAGCTCTTGGGGAAGAGTAAACTCTCCTAGCAAGCCCAAGTGATGCTGGGGCAGCCTGTAGCCCCAAGATCTCTGGTAGCCCCAAGATCTCTTTTAGCCCCAAGATCTCTGCCTGTAGCCCCAAGATCACTGGTGCTGTTAGCCTATCTGTATTTTATCAAGGCAATTAAATGGAATTTGCTGTGCTTCAGTCTACTAGTGATTTGGCAAGAAATATTAGGTATGCTGCAAAACTCATTGACTATAAAGGTTCATTTTTTAGTTCCCAAGTGCGTCATTCTTGCGTAGGCAAATTCCATTAAGGTGAGTGCTCTCCTTGTGTGTTCTCTTGATGTTTTAATCCTGCCAGGAGTTTCCGTGAGGTTTTTTCAGTGGGATTATTTGTGTCCCTGTGGCTCTTCAGGGAGCTTGCAGAATTCTAGCTAAAGATAAGAAGGGCATCGCTTCAAATGGGAGGCCAATCAATGCAGCATTAGGAAGGCTTCATTCAGCTCAGCACCACCTTGGGTAAGTGCAAAACTGAGTTTTCAGCTACTGTCTGCTGACAGGCAAAACATTTCTTTGGCAATGAAGAGTAAACAGACACCTGTCTGGATTTGACACTCCTGGGGAATATAAAGATGAATTAGTAGCTGCCTCTCCCTTGAGGATCTTACGTGGGTGCTCTTGTTATCTCTTGCTATATAATAAACCACCCCAAAATTCAGTGACTTGAAATAATGACAATCATTTATTTTGCTTATGAATCTGCCATTTGGGGTTTCCAGAGTTACTCTTCTCAGAAGCCCAGGTTGAGTCTAAAAGGCTTCTTATGACCTGGCCTCAGAGGTCTATCATTCAGGCAAATCATTAAGGCCAGACCATATTCAGGGGGAGGGGAGTTGTCCTCCAGGTCTCCATGGGAGTAGCAAAGAATTGGCACAGCACTAAGCCTGTTATGCATGTTTTCCCTAATGTTCACAACCACCCTGGGATGAGAATGTTACAAATGAAAAAAGTGAGCCGTGGTGGCTCAACTAACTTGCCTATGCCACTCACGTCCCAAGTGGCAGGGTAGATTCAAACCTAGTACTCTGGTCTTGCTAGAAGAGAACTTGTGGGTCTTTGGTTCAATTTCCTTAATTTTCAAATAGGAAAAACAGACCAACAAAAAACAACTAAACACAAAGAACGAAAAGAAAAGCCTGTTTGGTGTAAAATTTGACTTTAGGTCAAATTTGACTTTAGGTCACTTATGAGTTTCCAAGGAGGAGCTGTGAAAGAGTTCAGGCAGCCAGATCTTTCAAGTCTGGGCATGGTTATGTTGAATGTTTTTAGATGAGGTAATGCTGTAGATAGTCAACAGATAGCATGTTACTGTGCTCTCCAATCGCTGTCAATTTCAGGAAACTATAGGAACACTAGGAACAGACGCCTAAATGACTTTGACCTCAAGTGCAAGTACTTAGGGTAAAATTATCTCACACTGTGATGTAAATTTCTGCTATGCTCTGTTTAATTGTATTTTATTTTCAGATTTCATCAGGTTTGACATAAATGTATTTATAATGATTGCATTAACTGGGATTTGAAGCTCAAAATGAATATGCTTTTTTTTTTTGAGATAGGGTTTTGCTCTGTCACCCAGGCTGATAATATACCTATAAAAAGAAAGAAGGAAGTTTTAAAATGTCTTGTGTTAGAGAGGGTTGCTTGGGATGCCATTGTTTTTAGATTCACCAGCACTTAGCCACTGGAAGTCTTAGACGGTTCACGTAAGAAGAAATAAGTCTTTATTGTAAAGGAAATTAAGCTTTTCTGATGGCAAAATATGGACTTGTGTCATACTGTTGATATGGATACACACTATGGGTCTATGGTCTCTCTTTTTTTTTTGCAATTGAATGGTGAAGAAAAGCAATTTCTTCTTTCAAAGAAAGAAGATAGAAGTGTAGATAGTGTGCTGAGCACTGCAGGGAAAAAGATAAAGAGAGAAAAAGAGCAAGAGAGACAGCCAGCCTTGGCTATCAAATTACTTCCTTTTACAGGAATCAAATCTATAATGGAAGAGATATTGCCGGGTTTTTATACTTGGTGAAGTTGTTGAAAACCTCAAAAAACAGAGACGATTGAAGAAGTCTAGTCTCAAATTAAGAGATCCAGTTGTAATTACTGTACAAACTTGGAGAATATCTGGAATAGATTGATCAGTGACTGCAATAGCTAAGAATTTGTGTATATAATGTCTCAATACACAAAGGGGTTGTGTGGTGAGTGCTCTGTATGTTTGAGAGTGTATTTCAGTGAGTTCATTTCTTTGTATCTGCCTGCAAGTGTTGTTAGCAATTAATGATATTAGGGTTTTTGTTCCTGTTTTTCAACAAAATACTCTTTTTATTTATATTTTTTTGAGACAGAGTCTTGCTCTGTTGCCCAGGCTGGAGTGCCGTGGTGCAACCTCAGCTCGTTGCAACCTCCACCTCTCAGGTTCAAGCAATTCTCATGCCTCAGCCTCCCTAGTAGCTGAGACTACAGGCATATGCCACCATGCACAGCTAATTTTTGTATTTTTTAGTAGACATGGGTTTCACCATGTTGGCCAGGTTGGTCTCGAACTCCTGTCCTCAAGTGATCCACCTGCCTCCACCTCCCAAAGTGCTGGGATTGCAGGTGTGAGCCACTGCACCTGGCCAGAATACTCATTTTTTAAAAAGGATAAACGAGGAGGAAAGTAATCTGTTTGCCTCTAATTATAATGGGAAACAGCATAATTTGAATAAGACCAAAGCTCACATTGAGAGCTGTGATCTCTGCTTTTCAATAAACCCAGAATATCCATCAGAAAGTTTCCATCTAGATTATTATAGATATATTTGTTTTAACTCTGAGGACAGCATACTTGTTTTCCATGTCATACTCATTTGTAATTTTAAAGTTCTAGAATTTGATTCCTTTCTCTTCTGACACTAAGAACAGTGCCTTGAGCATAGGTGTTACGAAGGGTGTGCTTCAGGGAAGAGGTAATAGGATTTTTGTACATTTTAAACAGTTGCTACTCTTGTGCTAATCACGGTTGAAATTGTCTGTTGACCTAAATTGTCTACCAAGAGCCAGTTAAAGAAATGTTTGTGCTCTGGGAGCTAGGAAGAAGGCCCTGCGATGTTCTCCCATAGGTGGCAAGGAAAAACTTCCTCTTTGCCCTCTGCAGGTTCACTGAAAATAAACTGACAAAAGGCAGATTAACAGAAAAAAATGCATACAAAATGTATTAAGAGGCACACATGTGCACTGGAGTCATACAAAATATGAAAACTCAAAGAAAAGACCAGATGGTTGATTCTTTTGTTAAATCAAGTTTAGTCCAAAGCTGCCTTCTTACATATTTTAAGTTTGGCCTAAAGATTTCTCTGTACATCGTGAACTATAACCTAAATGCAGTTGTAAACAGACTGTAGCCTACTCTTGTGCCAATCACAGAGGTTTGGCCAATCAAAGGAGGTCAACTGTTCAAACCGTGTTTAAATAAGGCAGATGCCAGGCTGTAACCAACTTGGCTGTTTCTGTACCTCATTTCTATTTTTCTGTACATCTCTTTCCATTTTTTTTTGGGACAGGGTCTCACTCTGTCACCTAGGCTGGAGTGCAGTGGAGCAATCTCGGCTCACCACAACCTCTGCTTCCTAGGTTCAAGAGATTCTTGTGCCTCAGCCTCCCAAGTAGCTGGGATTTTAGACATGCACCACAATACCTGGCTAGTGTTTCTATTTTTAGTAGAGACGGGGTTTCACCATGTTGACCAAGCTGGTTTGAACTCCTGGCCTCATGTGATCCACTGGCCTTGGCCTCCCAAAGTGCTGGGATTACAGGCATGAGCCACCATGCCCGGACCGTCACTTTCCTTTTTCTGTCCACAAATCTTCTTCCACTATGTGGCTGTGTTGGAGTCTCTGAGCCTATTCTGCCTCAGGAGGCTGCCTGATTCATGAATCATTCTTTGCTCAATTAAACTCTGTTAAATTTAATTTGGCTAAGGTTTGTTCTTTTAACACTTTTATACCATCTTGAGGTTACAGAAAGAATAGATGCACAGAGCATGGCAAGACAGGTACTGGGAGGGAAAGAAGAGGAAAGGCAAGGCTGGCAAAGGTGGCCTTGTTATTGTAGATGATACCTCACAGGTAGCAGCTCTCAGAAAGTATAAGTTACTGTTAAACCCCCAAAGGTGTGAGACTTTCAGTCACTTTCTCTCGTGAGCCAGTCCTTCCTAGATCTAGACAAGGGAGTGAGCAGAGAAAGCCTGCCTGTTGATTTCACGGATGGAGATCTTCTCTAGAGATGCAAATCTCCTCCACAAAAGTCAGCTTTTCAGGGCTATTCTGTCTGCAGGCCCTCTGAATAGCCATCTCAAAACATGTCAAAGAAATATTTTGGGGTGAATATTTTTATTTTCCTCTAGTCCCCCATTTGAAACTTTTATTTTTAGAGTGTCACATATTAAAGCCCAAGTTGGTAGGTTTGGGGAGATTTGGGTTAGAGATTGTGAGATACGAAGTTGGTAAAAGGGGAAAAGAAATCCCTATTGAAACAAGCATCCCACATCTTCTTGAATCAGTCTCTTAGTCATGAGAATAGGTCCGTTCAGTTAAACAGTTGTGTTCCCTATGATGGCATTGCAGATGGGCTCTTGTAAGGGCCAAGGAAAACCCCCCCCCCCCTTTGACCTCTGAAGGATCACTGAAAAATCACTGACTAAAGGCAGGTTAATAGAAGAAAAGGCATATAAATTTATTGGGTCATAGTTTTATGTGACACAGCAGCCTTCTAATGAAGACCTAAAGATGCAGGGAAAGTTGTCCATTTTTATGCTAGGTTTAACAATGTATGGACAGCCATGTAGAAATATGATTGGACAAAAAATGTGTAATATAATGGTAATAGACTGAGCGGGGAAATGCAGCAAGGCCTGTCTGGTTAGATTCTTCTTGGCCTTTCTGCGGAGCATTCCTTCCTTCTGAGTCTCGGGCAGGGCCCTCTCTGGAATGGAGGTCTTGGGACCTACAATGAAACAAGACAGATCAGGTAATTTCTTTTTGGTCAGTTTTTACACAGAAAGGTGTGTGTTGTGGAGGTTTGGGGGAGTTAGAATAATATTTTTACATTTTATGGTTGGCTTTGGGGAAAAGGTATTCTGGTTTCTATGAACTACCTCAGGGAAAAAGGATTCTGGTTTCTATGGCTGACCTTGGGAAAGAAGGAGACGCCAGAGACAGAAGGGTGGGAGAAGGTCAGAGAGAGCAGATTTTGAGGACTTTATTTTGGGGTGTCATTTTCTGAGCTCCTACATTTTCAAATCTCAGCCTCTATATGTGATGCAGGAAAACAGATCTTTAATAAGAGGCATGTCTATGGAAACAGAAGAAAAATAAAAGTTAATGTCTGGAGTCGTCTATAAGCTAGTTTTTCTAGAGTCTCCGAAGCATCTTTAGTTGGAGTAGGCAGGCAGTGGAAGACTGGCAGATTTTTCTGGATTGCAGTTTGAATCAGATGTTCCAATGAACTGTCTGGATAGTTCATATATCAGCAGGCACAAAAGCCATTTACATATAAATTGCTGTAGTGATTTCTTTCAAAGTTTATAACAAGTAATCTAGCTTTACTACTTAGGCCTTTAAGAAAAGCACAGTTTTAATTTCTGTCAATTAAAGTAATAAGGGTGGGAGAAAAATGGGAATCATTAGTCTGAAGGGTCACAGCCAGATATTTGAAGGAACTAACGTCTTAGAATTTGGTTTGGATAGGAGGTAAATAATAAAACCTCAAACAAACAAACGAACAAATGAGGCATTGTTACCTAATAATGGGTGTATTATAGGTTTTCTTCCAGAACATAATTTTTTCTCTTTTCAGTCCCCCATTTCTACCAAGAATAAGTAATAGTGAGACCTTTATTAGCCAAATAAATGTTAGTCTCATTATTATACTTGGCTTGATTGTTTGCATAAAGTGTACCAAAAATAGTGATATGCCATATGGGATCTTTTTAGATTGGTTTTGCTGGAACATTGTTCCAGCAAATCTGTAAATAATTTCAGATATGACTTTTGAAAACCTGGTGATGCTTATGAGCCAAGCCAAAGGTTCTGTAATACCTGTACAAATAGGATGAGTTCCTCTTTTTTGAGGTCCCCTAAATATCCCGAGGTTCCTGGGCCTGTCAGAAAGTGACGTTCTTTACTTGCCACAAGGAACCTTGTTAGAGAACCACGTAAACAAGATACTAGGCTTGTGTTTTCCCAAGTCTATTGGTCTTATAAATTCAACCTCAGTTCCTCAAAGCAATCTGGTCATGTTTGAGAATATTACATTCCAGTCAGAGCCATGGTAAAATAACCAATGTCTCCAATTGTGTTCTGTTACAAAAGAAAACAGATTCTTACTGAATTTATACAAACATTTATGTTGCCATAAAATAAGAATACTCATGAATAGTATTCAAATTCTGGAAGGATCAGGTAGAGAGAAAAGTAAATAAGTTTTGCTCACAGATACTTTTTACCCAATTGCTACAAGCTATAGATAACTTTGAAAGAAAAAAAGTTTTCTTGACTCTGGAAAACAAAATATAAAAAGAATCAATAATGTTTTAAACAAAAAAAGGCAAAAAAGTCATTTTAGTTTTCCATAAGTTTCATCCCATGTCATTCATTCTTATTCTGGTTGATGTTATGTTAGAAATTTTATAAGTCCATTTTTCTTTCCTTGGAGTTTTTGAAATTGTTACCCAGTTCAATTATATGATCTCAAAGTTGTCAGAAATCTGTATTTAAGAGTACTTGTTGGCCAGGCGCAGTGGCTCACGCCTGCAATCCTAGCACTTTGGGAGGCTGAGGCAGGCAGATCGCTTGAGGTCAGGAGTTTGAGACCAGGCTGGCCAAAATAATGAAACCCAGTCACTACTAAAAATACAAAAATTAGCCAAGCGTGGTGGCGGGTGCCTGTAATCTCAGCTACTTGGGAGGCTGACGCCGGAGAATTGCTTGAACCCAGGAGGCAGAGGTTGCAGTGAGCCGAGATCATGCCACTACACTCCAGCCGGGGTGACAGAGTGAAACTCCGTCTCAAAAGAGTACTTGCTGCAGTCTTTTCCATAAATGTCCTTGAAGACACAATACTAAGATTTGCAACTAGCTTTTAGGAAAAAAGGCATCAAAATAAAGCAATTAACTGTGGATGACAAGACTTAAAATGGCCATGATTAAAGACACAATTGACAAGGAAATTTGGTTATTTTCTATAAAAATTTAACCAAATAGTCATAATTATGACATAAAATATACCAAGGCATATCAACATTTTAGGAATCATATAATTTTGGAACACCTGTTAATAATATGCATATACAAGATAACTCAAAGAAGGTTAAACATCATTTCTTTACTACTACAGTTTTTGCTTCCTATTAATACTACACAAACATCTTTTTCAAAAGAGAAAACCAAATTTTACATGTGTTTGTGTATTCATACTAAACCTAATTTTAATAAAATCTTATAAACAAATTTATCCAGTCTCAGTAAGCTTTGACTTACTGAGATTTCCATAAATCTTTTATACAAGATTTTATACAAGATTTTACACAAGATTTCCATAAATCTTTTATAACCTCTTATATTTTTCTATCCTCTTTTTATATCTTTTTAGTTTTATCCATATCATTTTTTTATTCCTTCAATTTGAAACAACCTTTAAATTACTTCTAAACTAGACAAAATCATGTTTTCTTTAACAATAAAACCACATTCTCCTGCCTTTTTTAATAACTTTCTCACCAAAAACATATCTTGTCCCCCTCTTTTTGGTGCAATTTGCATATAGAATTATTATTCTCACATTAGTGGTCTTAATTACATATACTAATATAAATCTTAACACTTATTTACCATAATTTCTAGTGAAAATCTAGGAAGTTTGTGCTTTTGAACTGTTTTATATCAGAATTTGTAGTTAAAAACTATTTCATAATATCTTAGAAAGATATGTTTTCTCAATTTTTTGTTTATTGACAAATCTAAATATATTTAGCTTTTCTATAGCATAAAAAAACAAGATATCAAAGTATATAAACTTAACTTTTGTTTAGTAATTAATGTTTCAGTATTTTAACTTACTTGGAAATGACTCAGACGTTTTATGATAATCTATTACATAATTTAATATAACATGACCAAGATTTTAAATTCTAAAAATAAATTTGAAATTATGACACAGATACCCATCCTAATTCATTTCTCCAGTGCCCACATGGCACCCAGGATGCCTATGAAGAGCAAGGTCTGTCTGGCCCCATCCTCCCAGGTCCAGCTATGCCTCCTGGCCAGGATGGGGCCAAATTGAGCTTGGCTTTTCCTTGCAGCTAATTGTCAAGGCACTCTGGACACTCATGTCCCCAGTCGCCGCCATGGCCACCTGTTCAGACTACAGAATTCAGAGGCTCAAAATAAAAAACATAAGCTTATAGCAAGATGTGTGCAAGGATTCAGGAAAGCCTAGCAGTCAGACTTTACAGCTTTAGCTTACAGATAAACCAGGCATGTATATGAAGTATTACAGAAGTAGTTTCATGAACTTAAAACATGTATCAGAGACAGCATAAACCTATCTGACCAGTAGATCCAGGCAAAAATGTCTGAATTATATTTAATACCAACAATTCTGAAAACATTTCTATTTTATTTTACCAACAACCTTAAAACTAGCTTTATTTACCTAAGATTATTTCAGATCACATGAAATATCACATATGCATATAGATATACAAACAGAAGCAGATCTTAAAGCTTTCATTAAGTTTCTGCATTTGCCAGCTTCTAGCTAGTTTTTGTTTTTCCCCATTCAGATCATTACACTTCTAATTACCTGTTTCATTGCCCCAAGCAATTGTTAACTAGGCAACTCTAAATTCACACTTCCAAAAGGATAACTCTTAGGTAGAACAAGAAGAAAATTTATATCTCAAAGGCACAAAACTTAGATATAAACATCATTATTTACCAAGACAAAGAATGGTATGGGTAAAAGCCCGGTTAAGGTAAGATGGTCAGGAAAAGGACTTTAAACAAAGGTAAGGTTTTCTATGTAAACTTTTAAGTAAATGTCTTTCCCATTGTAACAGTTTCTAGTGGTTTATGTAGAGGAAGATGCCCTTACAAATGGAGATTTTCTTTATAGATATAAATTTCTTTTACAAAGAGTTTAAAAAATAGCCAGCTAAATGCCAGAAAGTTGTACTTTGGAAACTGATTTATTTGGATAGGTGGCTAAAAAGCTTAGTTTCTGTTTTTAACTGGATTACTGAGTTCAGGGCAAAGCTCATTAAAAAATAGTGCTGAACCTACTCATGACTCTTGGGGCTCCATGAGGAAGACAGGGACCCCTAAAAAGGTCAGTGGTGCTTTGGCTGTGTTCCTCATAGGAACTTAGAGTCTCTAGAAGCCTCTTTCAGATATCTTTATGCAACAACTAAACCCATCATATTTCCTTTCTATAATTTTTAAATCTACTGACTACCAAATGGAGGAAGTTGGGGATGACAAAGGTGGCAAAAGGAAGGGCAAAAGCAAATGGGCGAATGAGTCTGAGGGGAGCCAATTTGGGAAGATCTTAAGCTTCTCACAAAGGCCAATACAATTTTATATTTTTCTTTTAAAGCAAAAATCTTGTCAACAAGAAAGGAAGCTAACAGAAGGGCCAAACATAAAATTAAAAAGGGTTCAGTTGACTGAAAAAATACATGAGAGAAATAGGATCCAAAAGAGAAAAGAGGAGCTTTTTTTTTTAATCAGTCTGAATATCAGCTTTTAATTAAGCTGACTTTTGACCATAGAGCTCTTAAAATATATATATATTTTTAATCTTTCATTACCAGATTTTAGTCAGGACAAGTAGCCAATATTCCTGGCTTTTGAACTTCTTTTTCTCTCTCTCTTTTTTTTTTAAATCAAATGTCACTATCAAGCGACTCAGAACCAAAACCAGCATGCTTTTTATAATTTCACCATGGATGCACTAGCCATCTCCAAAGAGCAGCAAAAAAGCAGTGCTCACAAGATCCAGAGCCACTCCAAAGAAAGCTGGAAGAAAAAAGAGACTTGGAGATGAACAGGAAAACAATAGCTGTCCACAGAAGGGAAAAGGATCAATAACAAATGAATATCTTAAAAAGTTGAGTCACACAAATATAAATTCAAAACAAATAATTCAAACTAATTCTTGTAGATGTTTCTTTTTTTTTTCTCCTGAGTTAAAGGATTTACATCCCAAAGGAACTGACTCTCTGACTGGAAATTAAACTCATGCCTCAGCAGTGAATGTGTGGAATCCTTGACACTAGACTGCAGGCTGGATACCCTTCCTTGAAGATCCTGTGGGGGATCCAAAGCAGGCAGTTTGAATGTACGAAGGATTTTAACTTAGTTTTAACTCTGATTTCTGCTTTTTTCAAATCCTGCCAAGGAAGTTTTTAAGGCTATATTTCTTTCATAGGTACTGATAAGATAGCTGTTTAGGACAAGAGCTCTCTTAAGAGTTCTCTTTTAAATCTAGCCAATTTATTTATTCCATCAGTGACTCAAGCCAATAAGCCTTTTCCATGGAAAGTCCCATGGGTAATTTTCCAGGTTTACAATACCATGGTCATAAGTGGCATTTTAAAAATGGATGCAAAAGTTGCACCTCCCCAGTGATACCCGTCTCACAAATTTAGTCCCAGAAATAAACTAAGATAGCAAAAGACTCTTGTCATAGACAGTTACAGCCGCTATTTATGCCTATAGTGTCTCCAGTATCTCACAAATTTGTGAGGGTCCACCAGACATGGACCTGTTAATCTGTGACACTGGATAGGCCCTCCTGGGATTGAACTGTCCCAGTTCTAACCAGGCAACAAGAGTTAAGGCAACAAAAGCCCCTTATAGAAGGAACTCCTTATTAAAATTCCCCTAAGAGCTTGGCACACTTAGAACACAGAGTCTGCTGCTTAACATTTCAGGTTCCCAGTCGTTTCAGGCTGGCCACCAAATGTGACCCCATGGAGATCAGAGAACAAGAGAGAGTTACTTGGTTACAAGTCAAGCTCTCAAGGACGTAAAATGAGAGGGACTCTTTATGACAAATACCATAGAAAGATACAGACAAAGGAAAAAAATTAATTTGGAAAAGAGAAAAGAAAGAAACAGTGATTTTTACCATCTGCTTCACTGGATTTCACAGACAGACACCCAGGAATCTCACTGGTAAGAAATTTGTGCCCTTCTGCTGGCTTGTCAGGTTCTGGGTAACCTTGACTGCAGCTTTCAGAACAGCAGGATAGTTCTGATTATCCTGCTCACAGTACCAAAAACTGTAGGGGCCAAGGAAAACCTTCCCCTTCACCCTTTGAAGGTTCAGTGAAAATAAATGGACAAAAGGAAGATTAATAGAAAAAAAAGGCATACAAAATGTATTAACATGTACACATGTGCATGGAAGTCATACAAAATATAAAAACTCAAAGAAAGGCCCAGATAGTTGATTCTTTTATACCATCTTGAGGTTATAGAAAAAGAGGCATGGAACATGGCAAGACAGGTTTTGGGAGAGGGAGAAGAGGAAAGGCAAGGCTAGCAAAGGTGGTCTTGTTATGCAGATGAAACCTCACAGGTAACAGTTCTCAGAATAGGTTTCTGTCAGACATCCAAAGGTGTCAGACTCTCAGTTTCTCTCTCCCATGAGACAGCCCTTTCTAGATCCAGATGGAGAACAGGGGGCAGAGAAAGCCTGGCTATTTATTTCACCAATGTAGATTTTCTCTACAGATGCAAATCTCCTCCACAAAAGGCAGCTTTTCAAGGCTATTCCTGTTTGCAGACCCTCTGAATAGCCATCTCAAAATATGTTAAAGAAGTATATTTTAGGGTAAAATATTTTTGGTTTCCTTTATTCCTATTAGCACATCTGCCAGGCAGTTTGTTGTCAGTTGTTTTTTCATTCTGTTCTAAGAAGCCAGGTTTCCTTACACAGTGTCCCGAGAGGATGACAGGGGAGGGAGACACAAGGAATGTGGACATTTTTTGCCTCTCTTCTGCTGCAACCAGAGAAGACCCCTTGCAATGGTTTGGATGTTTGTTTTCTCGAAAACTTATGTTGAAATTTGATCCCCAGTGTTGGAGATTGGGTCTAATAGAAGGTGTTGGGGTCATGGGGGTGGATCCCTCAAGCATAGGTTAATGTCTTCCCTTGGGGGTGAGTGAGTTGTTGCTCTTAGTTCTCCTGAGAACTGGTTGTTAAGACGAGCCTGGCACTTCCCCACTCTCTCTTGCTTTCCCTCTTGCCATGTGATTTCTGCACAGGCTGGCTCCCCTTTGTCCTATGCCATGAATGAAAGCAGCCTAAGGTCTTCGCTAGACGCCTATCTTAAACTTTCCAGCCATCAGAATTGTAAGCCAAATGAACCCCTTCTCTTTATAAATTACCCAACTTCCAGCATTTCTGTATAGCAACACAAAATGGACTAAGACACGTCTTCTACCTTTTCATATACTTATTTGTTATTTGTATAAAAGGCATTTAGCTACTTTTTTTAAAGTTCAAAAATGACTAGAATATGAGATAGGTGTGGAACTTACTGCCTGTAGCCCCAAGGCTGTGAGACACAGAACAGGAGGAGTGTCCTCATAAGGCAAGATGAAGGGAAAGTGATGACCCTTTATTGAGGGCCAGCACCAGATTCCTCTGCCAGCTTGGCAGGTCCTAGCAGACGGGCAGCTAAGCTAGTGAGCATGGTAGCTCTACGTGTTGGGTGGTTTGGGGTGGGGTGGTAGTGAATTTTTTATTCTGAAAGAAACAGCTTATGAGGAAAGGGATCTGCTACTGATCACATTATTTTTGCTGCTTTTATTCTCTTCTGACCACGTCTATCTTTGTTGCTTCTGCTTTTCCTCCACTTGTGATGAGCAAATGTGTTGACCAGGTTCTGAGACTTTCTGGAACAGCCAAAAGGTGATTATGATGGATTTTACAAACATAAAGTAATCTCATAAAAAGAGTTCTTCAAAATAGGGTTAAATTCTCCAAATAGGGTTAGATGATGCCCTTCTGTCCTTGGGCCTACAAATCTATTCAATCATTGTTGCTTTAAGAAAACAGTAAGAGGAACCAGTTAATTGAATTACATTTTTTGTAAAACCTTTAATCCCATAATATTATTTAAAGGCATCCAGGATGGAAGAGCACTTTGATCTAATTCCCTTCTTGCTAGACATTCTGGGTCAGGCTGTTCCTGGTTGACTTGACTAGGACACAGTGAGCAGTGCTAGATTCAGAGAAATGGAGCACCTCTATTCACTCTGCTGAGTAGTTGGCCAGCTAGATGACAAAACTTCCATCTCTGAGACTTCTTTCCCTCCAAATGTGTAATGCCAAGTGGCAATTTAATGGGAAAAGCTTCTTTAAATTTCATATTTAGACCTTGCCAAGGAATTTAGCATCAAGATGAATGGGTTTTCTGAAGATGACATGAATTAAGAATGTCCTTTCTTGCAATATTTTCCCATCTCTAGCCTTCCTAGTCTAATGTCATCTTGGCTCCAGCCTACTTTTTCATTTTTCTAATCCCATTAGGGTTTCTTCCTTTCACCCACACCCCCATCAAGGAACTGGCTAATGATCAGGTGGCAGGTTTCTGTGGTCATGCCAACATTAACCTGCAGGTGATAGGGAAACTCTGAGTACCCTCAGGATGAGCTATGTCCTAGTGCTGTTCTTTCCCTGATGGTTTTGGACCGAACATTTGGCTGTATAAGGATGAAAAATGCTTCTGATTACAAGTGCTGGCTTTTAGATTCCAAAAGAGATTTATGTAGTTCAACCTGAAGCTTTTTTGATGTCTTGACTAAACCCACACTTAGTTTGAAAGAAGCTAAGAGTCTGACTCTAGACCAAATTAAACAAAATTCCTTTCACTCATTGTTGATTTGGTATCTTTGCTTTTATACCTGATGTATTTGGTAGTTTTCTTAACAAATGGATATATAGTAGAAATTCTCTCATCCAACCTCCAATTAACTGACTAGACAGATGAAATAAGGTGCCCCATTCTCTCTGTAAAACGTAAGTGGGTGCTATAGATGCAAACCTAATGCAGTGCAGCCAGTACACCAGCCTGCCTCTCCGTCAGTTGAGTTCCCAAAAGCCACTAATGTTTGTTCCTATTTTTGCCAGTTTTACTTGCTAAGTAGATATAACTTAATTACATGTTACATGAAATGTTGTTTCTACAAAAACTATGCCGAATGCTTTGCAAAGACATGGGAAAATAGAGTCACTAAAAGTTTGTTTTTGAATTAAGTATGGTAAAGACAACTCTAAAGGTAAGGGACATGTTCTAAATATTTCTAATTGTTCTAGTTACTTTTGGTAATTACTCCAGGGCAACAGCTTCAAAGTAGGACGGTCCTGAGCAAATTAGTACATGTCAAGGAGATATGGTTTACCAAACCAGCATATGGAGAATAAAGAATATTTCAATAAGGGGAAACTGTATGAATAAAGATGTGAAGGAGGGCGTGTGTGTGTGTATGTGTGTGTGTGTGTGTGAAAAATGAAACTTGGTTTGGTAGATCCTGGAAAGCCATGCAAATTATTGAGTAATAAGAGGAAAATGTACACATTGTTTTGTTTTAACTTTTTTACTAAAGTATAATTTATATATGGAAAGAGGCACAAATCATTAGTGTAGAACCTGATGAATTTTCACCAAGTAACCATACCGGTGCATCCAGCACCAAGATTAAGAAACAGAACATTACCAGAATCCCAAAAGCTATTCTTCTAACCCTGACCAGTCGATATCTCCTGTAAGGGAAACCACTTATCCTGAATCTGTGCATTATAGATTCATTTTTGTCTGTTTTAGTCTTTTATATAAATTAAATCTTGCAGAATGTATTCTTTGTGTTCCTGGCTACTTTCATTCAACATGTTTCTGAGATTCATTCATGTTCTGAGATTCAGCACATAGTAATACTTGAGTCACATTTGTTGCTGATTAGTATTTCATGATATGATTACAGCACAATATATTTATTCACTGTACTTTTCATAGACATATGTGTTGCTTTCTGGATTTGGATATCACAAATAATGTTGAATGAATGGATATTCTTGTATATGTACTTCATTGAATATGTATACAAGTCTCTTTAGATGTATACCTAGGGATAGAATTTCTGGGTATAGGTTACGTGCATGAGCAAGGTTAGTTGATATTGGCAAACAGTTTTCCCTAAATGGTTGCACTAATTTACATGCCCATCAGTGGGTTTCAGAGTTCCAGTTACTCTACTTTCACACCATCACTAGGTATTGTCTTTTTTATTTAGTCTTTCTGGTGACATATGCAATAGCAATTTATTGTGGTTTTAATGTTTATTTTCTTAATGAATAATGAAGTTAAATATGTTTTCACAGATTTACTGTTCATTTGGATATCTTCCTTCATAAAATGCCTGTCAATTTTCTACTGAATAAATTATTTCTTTATTGTTCAAGGAATTTGTTCTATATTCTGATTATTATTCTTCTGTCGTTTATGTGTATTATACACATAAGCCACTCTATGATTGCCTTTTCATTATTTTGTTTTATTTTATTTTAAGACGGAGTCTCATTCTGTCGCCCGGGCTGGAGTGAGGTGGCGCCATCTCGGCTCACTGCAAGCTCTGCCTCCCAGGTTCATGCCATTCTCCTGCCTCAGCCTCCTGAGTAGCTGGGACTACAGGCGCCCACCACCACGCCCAGCTAATTTTTTGTATTTTTAGTAGAGATGGGGTTTCACTGTGTTAGCCAGGATGGTCTCGATCTCCCGACCTTGTGATCTGCTTGCCTCAGCCTCCCAAAGTGCTGGGATTACAGGCGTGAGCCACTGCACCCGGCCCTTCATTCTTTTTTTTTTTTTTTTTTTTGAGATGGAGTCTCGCTCTGTCGCCCAGGCTGGAGTACAGTGGCTCGATCTCGGCTCACTGCAAGCTCCGCCTCCCGGGTTCATGCCATTCTCCTGCCTCAGCCTCCCGAGTAGCTGGGACCACAGGCACCCGCCACCACGCCCAGTTAATTTTTTGTATTTTTAGTAGAGACGGGGTTTCACCGTGTTAGCCAGGATGGTCTTGATCTCCTGACCTCGTGATCCGCCCGCCTCGGCCTCCCAAAGTGCTAGGATTACAGGTGTGAGCGACCGCGCCCGGCCCGGCCCTTCATTCTTTTAATGCTTCTTTTGAGGGACAGAAGTTCTTGATTTTAATATAGGTCAATTTATTTATCATTTTTTTCTTTTTGGCTTTTGTCTAAAAATATTTGCCTGTCCCTCAGTCATGAACATATTCTCTTATTTCTTATGTTTCCTTTCTTCCGTTTTGGAAGCATATTGAGGAAAAAAACAGTATTTTAAGAAGATAAAGGTGGCATATACGTGCAGGATCAATCTAGGGAAAGGTTGGAAACAGGAAAAACAGCCCGGAGGCTGTAGCATGCACCTAAATACCAGGCATTATGTCATCCCAGACTAGGAGATTTGAATGGAAAGAGAAGAAGAATAGACAGTGTAGGGCAAATTTTCCTGCTTGATTGAAGGTGAGAGAAATGACGATAAAAAGCCTACAATAACTGAGATTTGCTTGGAAACAAAGAATGTTTCCAAGTATACATTTTTTATTGCAGAATCCAGCCTTTTAATAAATATACTTTTTGAGATAATGTGGCCTCTGTTACTAAAAAGATGACGTTGAGCAAGTATTTGCCGTATGTGGAGGGCAGAAGAAGCAGTAATATCTTCTTATAGAAAGTATGTTTAGAACAAGAAAAGACTGAAGAAATCTACTGGGAAAGAGCATAGGTCTTTATCTGAGAGATATTTAAAGTGGAACTGACCAGCCATTTATTGTGGGGAGTAGATAGATAGCTGACTGGGGCAGGGAGTTGACTTAAGTAACCCTGTGGGCTCTCTGACAGGTTTAGAGACCTCTCATCTGCCTTGCAACTGGAGGCTGAGTCATGGAGACCATTTACCACTATGAAGACAATATCTGTTTAATGCCAAGAAGGGATGGATTTGCCAAGTTTACTTTTTTGAAGTAGTAATAAATTCCACCAAAAGTCCTTCTCCTGTCCCTCTCCCCTAAAATACACACGTCACATTGAAATTGCTTATGCTTTGAGACTGTCTAATTACACAAACTTTAACATAATAACGTCATGAGGAAAAGATCTGTGTAAACTTTTCAGAGAATAAAGGCTAGAGTTTAGATATTTTTGTTACTACTACATTTTCACTGTGTTCCAGCAAAATATGTGTTTCTATGATTCAAGTAAACAATTTTCTTCATCAGATTGGCGATTGATGTAAGAGTGCCCCTAACTTTTGCTAGGTCAGGATGTTGTGGCAGACTAAAGTTTCTGCTAGTTTCTACTGGCAATTGTGTTTAATTCGGAGGAAGCAAAGGAATTAGCAGAGTATGAGACATGCAGAGTATGAGGCATGCAAAACAAAATTCTAATGTCATTTCTGAATTTTAATCCTAATTATCTGTGTGGGTTTGCTTGTTTTTGTTCCTGATCTGTCCTTATGGGACCGAAGAGGAGTCAGTTTCCTTCTGCAAAAGACTGTAGTCCCATTGCAGATACAGCTTTATCTACAGAATCATTTCTTTGTTCAAAGTCATATCCTAAACAATCACATCTGGATTTCAACCTTCTGGACAGTCAAGTCCTTGACTTAGTTTTGCTTTTCCTAAATATTCTATAATAGTGTCTGTTATGGTTTGGAAATGGTCTGTTTATCCCATTATCAAATGTCATGTTAAAACTTGATCCCCAATGTAGTGGCATTGGGAGGTGGGGCCTGGTGGGGGGTGTTTGGGACATGGGAGTGGATCCCTCATGAATGGCTTGGTGCCATTCTTGCTGTAGTAAGTTCTTGTTCTAAATTAGTGAGACTGAATTAATTCCCATAGGAATGGACTAATTCCCGCAAGAGTGAGTTGTTTTGAAACCAGCACGTTCTTTGAGTTTTGTCTCTTCACAGGTGTCTGCTTTCCCTTTGACCTTCTCTACCATGTTATGATGCAGCATAAAAGCCCTCACTAGAAGCCAGGGCCATGCCCTTAAACTTCCCAGCTTGCAGAACCATGAGTTAAATAAACCTCTTTTATTAATAAATTCTCCACTTTTAGGTATTCTGTTATAACAACACAAATGGACTAAGACAGTGCCTTACACATAGAAAATAATTAATAAATAGTATTGAATAAAAATTGGTTGAGTAAAACAGGGACATGGAAGTGAGAGATCTAGGCATTGAGTCTTTTGTGATATGGCCCAAGCTTGTGTGTACACCCTTATCTCTGACCACAGCTCCTCATGCAGTCTATGCAATAGTCACAATTTCCTCATTGTCATTTCTTTAGCATTGCTCACTTGTGCACCTGTAATGTACACCTGTAATTATATCAGATAGTAGAGAAATATTGAGGCAGAAAAAAGATTTGAAGTAATAATGCCAAAACTGTTCAAATTTGATGAAAAAATACTTAAACCAAAGCACCAAAAAGGTCAATGAGCTTCAAGCTAAATGAATGTAGAGAAAAGCACATTTCTCACTTTGGTGGTGACTTGCACATTTCTGTTCCTTTAGCTTGAATGGCCTTCTTTCTTCGAGGCAAAGCCTCCGTAGGCATTTCACTCAAAAAAATATCCAAAAGCTAAGCATATGAAAATGTCCTCTGCCTCAGTACTTATTGAGACATTAAAATTAAAACCACAAGGAGACACCATTACATTTCCATAAACTGGCTAAAAGTAAAAAGACTAACAGTACTAAATGCTGGTGAGGATGTGAAGCAAATGGAACTCTACTACATGACTGGTTAGTAAATTGGCACAACTACTTCAAAAAAACTGTTTGGCAGTATCTAGTAAAGCTAAACACACATATTCTATAATTAATTAGTGAATATATTTCCCGAAAACATGAGTGCTTATGTCTATCAACAAACAGTCATAAGAATGTTGACGCCAGGCGTGGTGGCTCACGCCTGTAACCCCAGCACTTTGGGATGCTGAGGTGGACGGATCATGAGGTCAGGAGTTCGAGACCAGCCTGACCAACATGGTGAAACCCCCGACCAACATGGTGAAAAATTAGCCAGGTGTGGTGGTGCGCACCTGTAGTCCCAGCTACTCAGGAGGCTGAGGCAGGAGAATTGCTTGAACCCGGGAGGCAGAGGTTGTAGTGAGCCGAGATGGTGCCATTGCACTCCAGCCTAGGAGACAGATCAAGACTGCCTAAAAAAAAAAAAAAAAAAAAAAAAAAAAAAAAAAAAAAAAAGTAGTGAGCACCCAAACCAGTAAACACAAATTTATTATACAATTGTTATAAGTGCCATTATAAAATGAAATCTAATATAAACAATTAGAAATAAAATATATTGTAAGAACAAATTTATAGCAAGAAGACAGCTTTTAAATCTAGATTATCTTGACAATATTTGGAAGCAAGGGTGACAAGTGGGAAACTGAAAGCAAAATCAATCAATCATCTTATAGAAAAAGATAAAAAATACTGATTTTAAGTGTAGAATGTGTGCTGTAGAAAATAAATTTAAACATTAAAAAAAAACATTTGGTTGCCTGATTTGAATTTTCTCTGTCAAAACACACAAATGAAAAAAACTGCGTCTTGGCTGGGCGTAGTGGCTCATGCCTGTGATCCCAGCACTTTGGAAGGCTGAGGCTGGCAGACCACTTGAGGCCAGGAGTTCAAGACTAGCCTGGCCAGCACGGTGAAACCTTGTCTCTACTAAAAATACAAAAATTAGCTGGGCCTGGTGGTGGGCGCCTGTAATCCCAGCTACTAGGGAGACTGAAACCTGAGATTTGCTTGAGCCCAGGAGGTGGAGGTTTCAGTGAGCTGACATCATGCCACTGCACTCTAGCCTGGGCAACACAGCAAGACTCTGTCTCAAAAAGCAAAAACCAAATTACTTCTTTGTTTTATTTTTTAAAGTTTTACATTAGATAGTAACAAATGCTATTTTTTAATTGCAATCTTTGAACTTGGAGCTCTCCTCTGTGATTTCTCTCCCTCAGCAATAGGCTTAAGAGATGTACCCATTGTCCGGGGTTTCCCTGCCTGGCCTCTCTGCCTCACTGCAGCGTGAAATAATAACCTGGTATGGTGGACAGAGAAAATATGACCCCTGCTGCTGCACTGCTCCCCAGTGAGTTGCATTTTACAAAGGGAGTGGGGTAGCGATTATATCTGATTTATAAAGACTAAGGCAGAAGTTTTTGAAGGAAATCTCAGGAATCAAGTTTCCTTCAATTCTTTATCCAACTTACGTCACAAGGGCTTCCTATATTCTTCCCTTTTTTTACACTAACTTAAGTGTGAAACAGTAGCTTTTGCAATTCTACAGAGTACACGATGCTCTGACCTACCATGATCTTAGAGCAGGGGCCACAGGCAGAAAGAAATTTTCTTAAGCTATATCTTTGCTGTGCTGTTCCTTTCTGATTTCAAATCCAGCTAGTTTGGAATGATGCTTGTCTCTAAGGTAGCACTGCATGAGCAGTGGCAAGCCTCCTAAAACAGCAGCTTTGGAGGGAGCATTGTTTAATTAATCCTCAAGACACCAAAGGGCACACATGAAGTCAGCAACTTTGCTGCATAACATGGATTGCTATTATAAAACTAAAAGCAAACACTTTTTAAAAAATTCATCTTTTTATTTTCTTCAACTTTAAGTTCTGGGATACATCTGCAGAGTGTGCAGGTTTGTTTCATAGGTAAACATGTGCCATGGTGGCTTACTGAACAGATCAACCCCTCACCTAGGTATTAAGCCCAGAATCCATTAGCTATTCTTCCTGATGCTCTCCCTCTCCCCGCCCCATGACAGGCACCAGCGTGCGTTATTCCCCACTATGTGTCCATGTGATCTCATTGTTCAGCTCCCACTTATAAGTGAGAACGTGCCATGTTTGGTTTTCTGTTCCTGAGTTAGGTTGCTGAGAAAAAAAACGACAGCTCCATCCTTGTCCCTGCAAAGGACATGATCTTGTTCCTTCTTATGGTTGCATAGTATTTCATGGTGTATATGTACCACATTTTCAAGTTTGGGTTCATTCCATGTCTTTTCTATTGTGAATAGTCCTGCAATGAACACATGTGTGCATATAGCTTTATAATAAAATGATTTATATTCCTTTGGGTATATACCCAGTAATAGGATAGCTGGGTCAAAAGGTATTTCTGGTTCTAGGTCTTTGAGGAGTCATCACGCTGTCTTCCACTGTGGTTGAAATAATTTACACTCCCACCAACAGTGGAAGTGGAAGAACAGCGTTCCTTTTTCTCCACAACCTTGCCAGCATCTGTTGTTTCTTGACATTTTAATAATCGCCATTCTGACTAGTGTGAGATGGTATCTCATTGTGGTTTTGATTTGCATTTCTCTAATGACCAGTGATGGTGAGTTTTTTCCACATGTTTGTAGGCCACGTGAATGTCTTCTTTAGAGAAATGTCGGACATGAACATTTGCAGTCCTACTTTTTAATGGGGCTGTGTTTTTTTTTTCTTGTAAATTTGTTTAAGTTCCTTATTGACTCTGAATATTAGATCTTTGTCAGATGGATAGTTTGCAAAAATTTTCTCCCATTCTGTAGGTTGTCTGTTCTCTCTGATGATAGTTTCCATTGCTGTGCAGAAGCTCTTTAGTTTAATTAGATCCCTTTTGTCAATTTTTGCTTTTATTACATTTGCTTTTGGTGTTTTTGTCATGAAGTCTTTGCCCATGTCTGTGTCCTGAATGGTACTGCCTAGGTTTTCTTCCAGGGTTTTTCTGGTTTTAGGTTTTACATTTAAGTCTTTAATCCATCTTGAGTTAACTTTTGTATAAGGTATAAGGAAGGGGTCCAGTTTCTGTTTTCTGCATATGGCTAGCCAGTTTTCCCAGCACCATTTATTAAATAGAGAATCCTTTCCCCATTGCTTGTTTTTGTCAGGTTTGTCAAAGATCAGATGGTTGTAGATGTGAGGTGTTATTTCTGAGGCCTCTTCTCTGTTCCATTAGTCTATATATCTGTTTTGGTATGAGTACCACTCTGTTTTGGTTACTGTAGCCTTGTAGTACAGTTTGAAGTCGGGTAGCGTGATAACTCCAGCTTTGTTCTTTTTGGTTAGGATTGTTTTGGCTGTTTGGGCTCTTTTTTGGTTCCATATGAATTTAAAATTTTGTTTTTTAATTCTGTGAAGAATGTCAATGGTAGTTTAATGAGAGTAGCATTGAACCTATAAATTACTTTGGGCAGTATGGCCATTTTCACAATATTGATTCTTCCTATCCATGAGCATGAAATGTTTTCCATTTGTTTGTGCACTTTGATTTCTTGGAGCAGTGGTATGTAGTTCTCCTTGAAGAGGTCCTTCACTTCCCTTTTTAGCTGTATTTCTAAGTATTTTATTCTCTTTGTAGCAATTATAAATGGGAGTTTATTCATAATTTGGCTCTCTGCTTGCCTGTTGTTGGTGTATAGGAAAGCTAGCAATTTTTGCACATTGATTTTGTATCCTGAGACTTTGGTGAAGTTGCTTATCAGCTTAAGAAGCTTTTGGGCTGAGATGATGGGGTTTTCTTAGGATTACGTCATCTGCAAACAGAGACAATTTGACTTCTTCTCTTCTTACGTGAATACCTTTTATTTCTTTCTCTTCAGGCAAATATTAAAAAATCAGAAATAGATTATATTGATATTATTTGAAAGTAGAGTTGAAAAGTGAGAAACCAACAACAAAATAAATCAATCCTCTTATATAAAAAGATGCGCACTACTTAATTTTGACTTAGACAATTCCACATTGTAGGGTCCATCACTTGCAATATGTTATGCCTGTAGCAATTCTCTATGAGGTAGTTTGCCATTGAAAGAACTCAATATTGAGGAAATTTGTCACCAAATTTAGTAGGAATAGATTCATTAGAGAGAATCTTTTTCAAGGTGCACAATTTCCTCAACATTGCTAATTCCCTTTAATCCTTCTTACTTTTTTAATGGAAGATGGCATGTTGCCTTTCCTATGCAATATTGCATCTTCTGCAGAATATTTCAATTCAGTGTCAATGGGAAGACGTTCATATTCATGGCATTCTTCCAATGATACAGTTTCTTCCTTTCACTTTCCCCCATGTCAAACTCTTGACCTTTGTGATTGGTCTCTGTTTCCTTAAACTCTTTCTAGTTGACTCCAGCATTTTAGCTTGTCCAGAAATTCTTTAACTGTTTGATAAACAAAGGTAAAGAAAGATGTTCAGCTTTAGCAGAAAAAATATACACCATTATTAGTAGCATAAATAATTGGTGACCCACCTAGGAAGAAGGGCAGTGATAACATGAACTCTGCAGTCACGGGCAGAGTGCCCTTGGCTAAACAGAGGCTAAGGCAAAAGCTTCTGAACTACCACTTGATTAAGGTATACAATGTCAAGGAAGAAGGAGTGGTGAGGCAGATTAAGAGGGTGAGTCAATATGAGGATATGTTACCAAGGTGTCTGCTACTTGTAATTAAGTGAACTGAAACTCAGAGTATTTGTTGTTGCAGTGGGATCTGGGGTGGAACAAGTGGTTAGAAGTATCCAAAACTGATGAGGCTGAGAGGATCTGAGATGGTGCAAAATAAGTGACTAATAGTGTAACCCTTGCACCATTAAAGTCCGTTTGGGGCCTCCTATTATATCTGGCTCACTATTACAATTTAGTACCTCAATTTTTGTGAAAACAAAACATCCTCACTCATGTTCTGATAGGGGAGGGACAAGCCCAACCAGTGACAAAGACCCCTTCAGGAGAGTGGCCAGCAGCAATTTGGGAGAGGACTGACAGCAAGAAGGATATGGAAACAAGCTGCATCTGGTCCCAAAGCCATCCTTAATAATCATCATCACTCCTCTCCTCCATTCATTTTAGATTTTTCTTCCCATCAGCCAACACTTTAGCTGCTGAGTTTTCTCCCTGGTGGGGTAATCTACAGTTCTACTCCTGAGGGGTTTGCAGCCTAAATTGCCTTGCCTTTTTGAGTTATGGTTGCTACATTGCTCATTTGGTCTTCTTCTTTTTTTTTTTTTTTTTTGAGAGAGAGTTTCATTCTTGTCACCCAAGCTGGAGTGCAATGATGGCATGATCTCAGCTCACTGCAACATCTGACTCCCAGGTTCAAGCGATTCTCCTGCCTCAGCCTGCCGGGTAGCTGGGATCACAGGCATGTGCCACCACTCCTGGCTAATTTTTGTATTTTTAGTAGAGACAGGGTTTCATCATGTTGGCCAGGCTAGTCTCTAACTCCTGACCTCAGGTGATCTGCCTGCCTCGGCCTCCCAAAGTGCTGGGATTACAGGCATGAGCCATTGCATCCAGCTGCTCATTTGCTCTTATAATTGGGCATGGAAGCACAGAGAGAAGTCTCAGTGGATCTCTGGATTCTGGGAATTCCTTAG
This sequence comes from Homo sapiens, assembly GCF_000001405.40. Taxonomy (NCBI): domain Eukaryota; kingdom Metazoa; phylum Chordata; class Mammalia; order Primates; family Hominidae; genus Homo; species Homo sapiens. The sequence goes on along the minus strand of NC_000011.10, from coordinate 122,398,639 downwards.
ACTTCTTACCCTTATTGTGGGGCAGCATTCCTAACTTTTCATAGTCATCAGGTTCAATTATCACTAGGAATACAGTAATTCTTTTCTTTGACTTTTGTCCATTGGGATGAGGAGTAAAGAGTGGCATAGCTGCTGTCTCGGCCTTCAATTCAGTACAACTCCTAGTGGAAACATTCCCTCCCAGGAGTCAGGACCTCTAATCTGTCAGAGTCCAATGATGTAAGAAGGAGAAACACAAATTCTGCAAGTAGGTCACTGGGAATGATTCAGAGAGGTTTCAATCTTACTACTATCCTTTGCTTTCAAGATTAATGAGTTCCAGTTTCTAGAGACACAGGCAGTTTCATCTTTGTATTTGGCTGGCTGCCTCTGGGTGAGGGGTACATGGTAACACCCACAAGTCCCATAGTTATATGTCCATGGTTGTACCTCTTTGGCTGTAAAATATTTCTCTTGGCCTGAGGCAACATGGAGTGTCATACCGTGTCCATTGATTAGGCATTTAGACCATGGTGCTGGTAAAAGCTACATGGTGAGGAGCAGGGGAGGAGAATCCATTTTCAGAATAGATATAGCCTTGGATAAAGAGGAATCACTGCCCATGTCAGGCTGGAAAGGATCTGATGTACGTGATCTGCCAATAGGTGCTGGATAATTTTCTAGGGCAGTGATTTCAAAACATAATCCATGGATCTGGGCTGGTCTGCACACTTTTACCAATCTGTGATAAGTATATAAATTGTAAATGTTTAGGAACATTTTTAAAGTAATTTGACATTGCTACAATGTCTAAGCATCTGATAATTTTTCTGATTATTTCCATGATGATTTCATTGAATTATATAAAAGTATTTTCCATAGCATTTGGTTATTTATTTATATATTTGAGACAGGGTCTTGCCCTGTTGCCCAGCCTGGAGTGCAGTTGCACAATCACAGCTCTCTGCAGCCTCAACCTCCCCAGGCTCAAGCAATTCTCCCACCTCAGTCTCCTGAGTATCTAGGACTACAAGTGTGCACCACTATGCCCAGCTAATTTTTGTATTTTTTTTTTTTTTTTTTTCGTAGAGATGGGCTTTGCCATGTTACCCAGGCTGATCTTGAACTCCTGGGCTTAAGCAATCCCCCAACCTTGGCCTTTCAAAGTGCTGGGAGCAAGCAATTTGCCCACCTCAGTCTCCCAAAGTGTGCCTGGCCAGTGTTTGGAAGTTTTTTAAAACAGCAAATATAAAAACTGTTTACTCACCAAAGATTAAGATGTTCTGTCCGAAAGGAATAGAACCATGTCAAGTGATTATAATCAGTCTCTAATGCTGGCAGATTGAGCAGTATCAAGAGCCTTGGTGAGAGGGAACCCAGGTTGTTGCAGCCATGCAGTTCTCCATCTTTGCCATCATAGCCACTGGCTCAAAGGCCCAAGACAGTATTAAACCATGAAAAGAGGCTGGTTGATGTCCACAGAAGGTTATGCCACCTCCCTGGGGACTGAGAACCTTTTCTGAGGTGAATACATCTTGGTGGGCAGCAACACGAGACACAAAGATCCTTGTACCTTTTGCGTCCATTTCCATAGGTTCAGCTACAAATGTCTTCCTAAAGTCTACCGGACCCAGATTGTGGTAGGCTGATAATACCCCCAACAAATGTCTTCCTAAAACCTACCTGTCCCAGATCATGGTAGATTGGTAATGCACCCCAACCCCCAAAGATATCAGATCCTTATCCCTGGAACCTGTAAATATTACCTTATATGAAAAAATAGTCTTTGCAGGTGTGACTAAGTTAAGGATCTTGAAATAGGGAGATTATCCTGAATTATCCAGGAGGGCCTTAAATAAAATCACAAGTGTCCTTAGAAGAAGGAGACAGTGGGAGATTCCACACACACTGAGGAGCACATGATATGAAGAAGGAGACAGATTGGAGTGATGTGGTCACAAGACCAACAAATGCCAGCAGCAAGCAGAAGCTGGAAGAGGTGCAGACAACTTTCTTTCAACCCAGTGATACCGATTTCCAACTTCTGGACTCTAGACCATGAGACAAGAAATTTCTGCTGATTTAAGTCACCAAGCTTTTGGTAGTTTTTGACAGCAGCCACAGGAAACTAATACACAAACATTCCAGTCTTGTTTCCTTGAGCCAGGTAAGTTGTCACTTCTCAGGAGTCATATATATATATACATATATATATACACACACACATATATACACATATATACATATATACATACACACATTTCAAATTTTCTTCCATAGGAAGTGAATAGCCCAGAGTAGTGCTTAAAGCTCTGACCTCTGGGAGAATTTTCCTTTGCTAAGATCCCTTAATGTCACTCCTGAGTGATGCTGTAATGTATCAGCTGTTCATTTTTTTGCTAGCACCCAATATAGTGTAGTCCCAGTCTTTTAATTGGACTTGAACTATTTTTTACTCTTTATAGATGTGAGTTGAGAGAGAAACAGAGCAAGGGGATGTAGAAGTCTGGCCACTTGCTCATATCATTTACTTGTACCTCCTGGAGTTCTGTAGGCCTGATGCTCAATTTCTATTACATAGATATTACTTCCTTGACCACCTGATCTTATGAATCAGTTGCCCAGACAATCTCCAACTTTGATGAGCAGCCCTGGTCACATAGACACTTGGTATCCTACTCTCATTCAGTTACTTATGAGCTTCTTTTCATATGAGAATAATTTTCTGCTGCAGAAGGCATGGTATTCCTCCACAATCATAGATCTGTGCTTTGAGTCTCCAAGTGGGGCTTGCAATTCTACATATCTTCTTTATCCACCTCCAACACTTCTATACCATTGGATCTAGGCCTGAGTGGCAAGATGATTTGAACTGGAGCCTGAATCTGCAGCAGAGCCTTATCTTACTCCGGACCCCACTTGAAACTCCACTTAATATCAAGAGGTTCAATTTCATGGTTACATCTCCTGTCAGTCCTGTTCTACAGAAGACAGTCACCACTGAGCTCCTCAGAGATGTAAGTGACCCCTGGAACTGTGCATTTCTTTTTGCCTTAATGAAGAATATGTTCTGGACCCTCCCAGAATTATGGCTTCCAAAATCTTACAATCCAGTACCTTCACTGCTAAGGCAGAAATATTCAGAGGGTATACAGGTGGACCCACTGGGTTTTGCTGAGTCAGGAAAGAGAGTTGGAAAGCCTTTGGCCTCCTGCCTGTCATTATTTGAGTCCGGTGATAAATAGCATATCACATTGGGAAGAAAGTAGAAGGGATCAGGACCTGAAGTAGGAATCCAAACAGATAATTAAAGCAATGTTACCTGAATTGACTTGGATGCAATTTTGGTAATCAATAAAAATATATAATATTCTCCACATATTTCTTACCACATGTATTTGGCTGCCATGACAAGAGAACCCACAAAAAAAACAATGGCATTACATCTCTGAAAACACTCACCCTCCTAACGCTTATAAGGCAATGGTCTCCTTTGCTCTCCTGCCATCTTTGAGGACTCAGAAGCACTTTTGGTTACCTGTGGGCTCACTGTGTGGAGAAGGTCACATGGCCTTGAGTCTGCACTGGGCGGAGAGTCTTCTTTGCGTGTGTGTCCATTCTGTCTCTTTTTCCTGGGATCATCTTACAGCATGGTTCTGGCAAGACTGCTTCTCCACAGTCTGCAAAATTCCAGGGGGTGGTGAGGCCTGAATTCTATTCTAAGAAAGAAAGAAGGAAGACAGGTAGGTAGGTTACCTTACACATCCTGAGGATTTAATAAGTCATTCCATGCTCTGACTGGCTGAGTTAGTTCTGAGAAAGAATGATCTTCCATTGCCTAGCTAGGCACAGGAAACAGTTGTTCCCAGCACAGGTTGTCAGCGTTTTGCTTGCAGCTAACTCTGAGGTGGAACAATTCTCCTGACTTGGAATAATTAGCTTCTGAGACAAGGAATGATGGCCAAATGCAAAATAATTAAGAAGACAAGGTCTATGCATTTCAGTAACTTACTTTCCCTTTCCTTTTGCCCCTCCCTGCAATGGGCCAGAGCTGGAATCCTTTCCAACTGGAATGAGAACCTGTCTCTACTCTGAGCCAAGGCAGAGTTAAATAAGCCATTGTGCCATGTGCTCATGGGTAATTAGGCATGAAAAGAATCTGCAGTTGGCTCCCTCCATTGTTTCTCTCAAGCTGTCCTTTTGCCATGTGCCCAAGCCCCCGGGTCTCAGTGCTGGCACTTGTACAGGGATATGGGTGCCGTCGTCATGGCAACTCCTCATGCTAGGCAACTTTATAGTCTAATATTATTAAGGGGGCAGGGGTCAAAAGCCAGTGAGGGACTTTGTCTGTGAAGCCCAGGGTAATTGTGTCAGGGATGGAGTAGGATGGGGAGCTCATAGGAGAAGAGGGGACCTTAGGAAGCACGAGGTTGAGTCCTCCAATGAACACCTTTGAGGCAGAGAGATGGCCACGCGGAGAGGTCAATAAAATGTGTCTGAGGGTCCCAGTTTCTACTCTCCCATGTTGCTTCCTCGGTGCTTCGCTCTCTCCTTTTAGGTGCTTGGTCCCCTGCTACTCCCTCTTGGGAAAGGATCTACTTTCAGTAGTTTCCATCTGAAAGTGAATTTTATTTGCTGCCCAATTCTACTTTGTATTTGTATATCCAATCCTATTTCCAACTGTGGAACAAAAAGCATTGTCCAGGAAAATGATGGAAAAAAATTGGAGAAGAAAGATCTCCTTCTCCAAAACCCTTACTTTTTGCAGTGAAGAAGCTGCCTTTTCTGTTTTAGCATTTCTCATGAAAAATTTCATTCACCAAAGTAGGGAGCATAGTATAACAACCCCTGTGAACCCATCACTTCAGCTGCCTTCTTTACATATGTTCACCATGCTTGACAAGTAAATTCAGAGCTGAAAGGAGCGCTCTTACCCTTCTCTTCCCCACCTCAGCCTCAGCCAGGGTGAGTTGCTCAACAGCCCAAGGATGAAGATTTCTCTAAGGGTGACACAGAATAGAGTCCTGGGCACTGCTGGGACACTTCTAGAGCACTGGATTGTGGACTGCATGTTAGCGCTTTCCTCTCCCCATCCCCGGGCGGTCAGGAGACCTGAGAATGCATTGAGAACCCACCTGCCCAGCCAGTGAGGGGTTCATGGTGGCTGGCTTCTTAGCCATTCTGCTGTTACTCTTGTTACTGTTCCCTGGTTTGAATGAGACTAGCCTCACAGATTGCATCACCAAGTAATCTCTTCTGAACCAGCCAACTGACTTCCTGTGTTGACCAAGAGGAGGGCTCCAAAAATTGCTCTTATCTTTGAATAAAGCAATATGTTTCTACATGAAGTAACAAAATGTACCCATTTTCTAATAGCATCCCAAAATTATGCTACTGCTGTAAAAGTTTTCACAGCACCCTAAATCTCCTTTTGAATTAGCTCTTGGCCTCCATGAGCATGGAATTGGGGTCTATGCAGTTCGTGAGACTGTGTTATAACAATGTTATTCTCATCTGTCTGCTAATTAATTAGATTGTTGATGCTCTCAAATTATATTAAAACTTGGTATAATGGCATGAAAAAACTCTGGTCTAAAAAGTATGGCAAAAGGGTGAACATAGGACTCTCTGTAAGGTACAAAGATATAAGAGCTAAGCTCAATTTCAGATTAATAAATACAATTTTCTATAGTGTAGACAGCTATTACTACGCCACCAGTACTTACTATTATCACTACTATGGCCACTACCACAGAACATTTTCTGTTTCTAAAGTGCTCTGTTATAGCTGGAATACTTTTTTGAAGGTGAACAAACACGTTGGAGCTTTTCCAGGTGAGGTTTGTTCATTATTCAGTTATCGGACATTAGTAAAACTCAACCAAAGTAAAAGATAGCAATGGCAGAGTATCAAAGAGCTTCAAGCACTCATGAAAGAGATAGAAAGAAGTGGGAGAGGCAGGCGGGTGAGATAGGGTGGGTGCAGTACTGTTCAGTAAATATAAATCATTACTCTTATAATTGATATGATTCACAATTATTAACATCTCACATTTTCACTTTTCAGTGTAATAACTTGTCTTTCAATATAACCATCCATCCTATGAGATAAGTAGATAAATGTTTACATTTCCACATTTTAGGGAAGAAAACTAAGACTTATTGAACAACCAGCTGTTAGGCAAGCATTACATCTCTTGTCTTGCAAGTCCAGAGCTCTTTAGAAACAAATCAATAAGACAAATAAGCTGGCCAAGTTAGTCAGAGTAGCTCATTAATATTTTCTCCTTTCATTCCGTTATATATAGCTCAAATGAGCCTTGTTCTAATATCTGAGCTTTTTCCTTTGTTTCACAGACAAGCTCCCTTTTTAAAAAGTTTGTTTTATTTTAGAAATTATTATTATTTCAATTGACAAATATTGCATATATTTATGGTATACAGCATGAAGTTTTGATACATACCTACAATTTGAAATGGCAACATCAAGCAAATTAACATACACATTACCTGATATACGTGTCTTTTTTTTTGTGGTGAGAACATGTAAACTCAACCATCTTAGCAATTTTCAAGTATACGATACATTGTTATTAACTACAGTCACCACAGAGTAAGGTGGATCTCCTGAGCTTATTCCTCCTGTCTAACTGAAATTTTGTATTCTTTGATAGCATCTTCCCAATCACTATTCTACTCTTTGCTTCGTTAGTTCAACTTTTTTAGATTCCATTTGTAAGTGAGATCATGTAGTATTTGTCTTTCTGGGCCTGGCTTATTTCACTTAACACAATGTCCTTCAGGTTCACAAGTGACAGCATTTCCTTTTCTTTTAAAGGCTGAATAGTATACAGTGTGTATAAGTACCATATTTTCTTTATCTGTTTATCTGTTGATGGACACAGGTTGCATCCTTATCTTGGCTATTGTAAATAATGCTCCAATGAACATAAGGCTGAGATATCTCTTCAACAAATTGATTTTATTTTCTTTGAATGTGTACTCAGATCATATGGTAGTTACATTTGTAATTCTTTGAGAAATTAAACATACACTTGCTGACTTTACTTCTTCCATACTGTTTTCCACAATGTCTGTTCTAGTTTACATTCCCACCAAGAGTGTCCAAGAGTTTCCTTTTCTCCACATCCTCACCAACACTTGCTATGTCTTGTCTTTTTGATAGTAGCCACCCTAACCAATGGGTGGTGATATCTCACTGTGGTTTTGATTTACATTTCCCTGATGGTTATTGTTGTTGAGTATTTTTTCATATACTTGGCCACTTGTATGTCTTCTTCAGAGAAATGCCATTTCAGGTCTTTTGTCCATTTTAAAGTCAAGTTATGTGTTTTCTTGCTATTGAGTTGAGTTTCTTATATATTTTGGATACTGATCCCTTATCAAATGTATGACTCATCAATATTTTCTCTCATTCCATAAGTTGCCTTTTCATTTGGTTGATTATTTTCTATGCTTGCATAAGCTTTTTAGTTTTATGGAATCCCACTTGTCTATTTTTGCTTGTTGCTCTGACAAGCTTCCTTTAAAAATAACTTTAGTTAGGCCCTTCCAGTGGCAAGGAAGAAACATTCAACTCAAAGTAACTTGAGTGAAAAAAAGCTTAATGTGAAAGCATTTGAACAGGACACAAAAAGCTCTCTGGAGCTGAGGGAGTAGTAGAGATTGGTGATTCCTTATGTCTCGTTTATTGCCTATCTTCTCTCTCCTACTGGATTCCTTTTTTTTTTTTTTTTGAGGTGGAGTCTCACTCCATCTCCCAGGCTGCAGTGCAGTGGTAAGATCTCGGCTCACTGCAACTTCTACCTCCTGGGTTCAAGCAATTCTCCTGCCTCAGCCTCTCAAGTAGCTGGGATTACAGGCGCCAACAACCATGCCCAGCTAATTTTTGTATTTTTAGTAGAGACAAAGTTTCACCATGTTGACCAGGCTGGTCTTGAACTCCTGACCTCAAGTGATCTGCCTGCCTCAGCCTCCCAAAGTGCTGGGATTACAGGAGTGAGCTACCACACCTAGCCTGGATTCCATTTTCTTTCTACCAAAGGATTCGCTATTTCAGAGCTCAGTCTTCTCATAACTTTGGCATATGTGTGGTCCATTATGGCTATTCTAGCCTCTAAAAGATAAGCTTTCTTCAGTTTTTTTCTACTGCCAAGTAATAAATTCTTATGGTATTCTCTTGCTTAAAATCTCAGCAGAGAAAATAGGATTGCCCTTCATACTGAGAGTTTAAAATGAGCTGTCCTTGGGTCATATGTCCATACCTGGGTCAGTCAAATGAGGCCTGAGTTACCATACATGTAAGACAAAATATGGTGGCTTAAACTTCATATGGAAACAAAAAAGAGCCCTCATAGCCAAGACAATCCTAAGCAAAAAGAACAAAGCTGGAGGCATCATGCCACCTGACTTCAAACTATACTACAAGGCTACAGTAACCAAAACAGCATGGCACTGGTACCAAAACAGATATATAGACCAATGGAACAGAACAAAGCACTCAGAAATAACATCACACATCTACAACCATCTGATCTTTGATAAACCTGACAAAAACAAGCAATGGGGAAAGAATTCCCTATTTAATAAATGGTGCTGGGAAAACTGGCTAGCCATATGTAGAAAGCTGAAACTGGATCCCTTCCTTACACTGTATACAAAAATTAACTCAAAATGGATTAAAGACTTAAATGTAAGACGTAACACCATAAAAACCCTGGAAGAAAACCTAGGCAGTACCATTCAGGACCTAGGCCTGGGCAAAGACTTCATGACTAAAACACCAAAAGCAATGGCAACAAAAGCCAAACTAGACAAATGGGATCTAATTCAACTAAAGAGCTTCTGCATAGCAAAAGAAACTACCATCAGAGTGAACAGGCAACCTACAGAATGGGAGAAAATCTTTGCAATCTACCCATCTGACAAAGGGCTAATATCCAAAATCTACAGAGAACTCAAACAAATTTACAAGAAAAAAATAACCCCATCAAAAAGTGGGCAAAGAATATGAACAGACACTTCTCAAAAGAAGACATTTGTGCAGCCAACAGACATATAAAAAAATGCTCATCATCACAGGTCATCAGAGAAATGCAAATCAAAACCACAATGAGATACCATCTCATGCCAGTTAGAATGGCAATCATTAAGAAGTCAGGAAGCAACAGATGCTGGAGAGGATATGGAGAAATAGGAACACTTTTACACTGTTGGTTGGAGTGTAAATTAGTTCAGCCATTGTGGAAGACAGCGTGGCAATTCCTCAAGGATCTAGAACTAGAAATACCGTTTGACCCAGCAATCCCATTACTGGGTATATACCCAAAGGATTATAAATCATGCTACTACAAAGACACATCCACACACGTTTATTGTGGCACTATTCACAATAGCAAAGGCTTGGAACCAACCCAAATGTCCATCAATGATAGACTGGATTAAGGAAATGTGGCACATAGACACCATGCAATATTATGCAGCCATAAAAAAGGATGAGTTCAATGTCCTTTGCAGGGACATGGATGAAGCTGGAAACCATCTTTCTCAGCAAAATATCACAAGGACAGAAAACCAAACACTGTATGTTCTCACTCACAGGGGGGAGTTGAACAATGAGAACACATGGACACAGGGCGGGAAACATGATACACCAGGGCCTTTTGGGGGGTGGGGGGTTGGGGGAGGGATAGCATTAGGAGAAATACCTAATGTAAATGATGAGTTGATGGGTGCAGCAAACCAACATGCCACATATATACCTATCTAACAAACCTGCATGTTGTGCACATGTACCCTAGAACTTAAAGTATAATAATTTTAAAAAAAAGACAAAATACGGTGGCTTAAACCTACTTCTTCAGGGTGATTTACAGGACAAAGGAGTGTAAGGCCTGAGTCAGTGCAGTCAGCGTACACTTGTTAACTTTATTTCTTCTCCTCTCATTTACTCCTTAGCCTGCATGGGACTTGGGTGAAGCCAGTGAGGCACCTCAGGTGCCAGATTTAAGGCTGCTCTCACTCTCAGGTGCTGACCCCATGTTTGCACAACTTTGAGAGTGAGTGCCGCCTTAAATTTTCCTCCTTGGGTGCCTTTCTTGACTCACTTAGGCCTATCACTTCATTAAATGTATTCTTAGCAAGGTCACAATGATCTCTATATTGTTAAATTCAATGAACATGTTCAGGCTTTGAAAATCTCATTCTTGGTCTCTTTATGTATTTGACATTCCTTCATTGAAACTCTCTTCCTTTATCTTTATGGTCACTCTATTCTCCTCTTCTGTCTCCAGATACTCTTGGTCTCTTGCATAGGTTTCCTTTTTCAACCAGTCTTCACATTTGGGCATAGCATATCTGGTTGTCTGTTAACATACTCTCCTAGGACAATTTATCTCTACCCATGGTTTCCACATAACATTATATGTTGATGTGGTTCTCAAGTTCACACCTTCCAGATAGATCTGTCTCCTGCTTGACTGTCCATATTCCATTTGCCTTCAAACTTCTCCCTTGGTCTCGTGCAATATCAAACTCAATATGACCCAGCACAGATTTATAACAGTCCCACAAAAACTTGGTCAGTAAAAAGAGTTCTGTATTATCCATATCAGCAAATCCACTAGAGCATCAAAACAGTTGACTGTGCCATCCATGACCCCTCCCCATCATAGCCAATTGGTCATGAAGCCTTTTTCTATTTCCTGTATATATCTTGCATCTGTTTATTTCTATTCATCTTTGCTATTGTTGCCTAACTTAGACTCTCATTCATCTTCATTTGCATAACACACTTGTCAACAAATTGGTCTTTCTGAGTTCAATCTTCCTCACCTTCCAATCCGTTCTCTATATTACAACTACAGTCATCTTTCAAAAATAAAATTCTGAACATGTTAGTCCCTTGCTTAAAGTTCTTAAATGGCTTATCGTTGTCTAAAAAGACAAAATCTAAACTTTCTAGCATGGACTTCAAGATCCTTCATAACCTGATCTCTTACTATCTGTGAATCTCATCTATCATTACACATCCTCTCCAATCCTATGATTCAGCCATATCCCATTACTAATAGTTCTCCCCAACCCAGGCTGCTTTGTGACCCTATCCTTTTTATATGCCCTTCTTTCTACCAATTCTCATTTGTCCAGAAAACTACTCATCCTTTAAGACCTACCTCAAATATTACTGCATGACACCATCTCATTTAGCCAGCACTACCTAACCAGAGCTGAATGCTGCCTCTATACTATGATGTGTTCATAATTCTGTTATCTAGTACTTGTCCTACTTGTTGGCATTGATTTTTCCCATATTAGATTTTAAGTTCCTTTCAGATTAGAAATTTGTTTTACTCATCTTTGTAGCCCTGGTGCTTAATTCTTTCACAGAGGTAGTGTTCAATATACAATATATGCTTGGACTTGCTTTTACTTCTCTGGGCTCAGTGAGTGTTGGAGAATGGTGTATTCTAGTCTCCAAAGCATTTTCACATGATTCATATTGTGTGGCCTCTTCTATTCACTCAGCCTTTTCTGTATTGGATTACCTAGATTGTGGATCATGCTTTTACCCAGAACTGATCCTTGTGAAGGGCAATATGGAGTGGCTGGAAGGGAACCAAGGCTTTCCCCAAAACTGTCTTTGGTGATGGTGTCACCCTGATGCCCATTTCATTCCTTTAGTGGAGTTACCTCTTCTCAGGCGTCCAGTATATCCATGCTCTTCTCCTTAATTCTCTTCTTAAGAAATCCTCTTTCTATTCTCAGGAAGTAATCTGATAAATTAATTCACCCTGAGGTCAAAATCTTCTATATCATAGCAATCAGGCAACCACTAAACAGTACTTTCTGCTTGGGTTTCTTACCCTTAAATTTTCTTCCCACAGCATGAGGTTACTTAGTTGCCTGAATTAAAAAATATGTAGTAACTTACAATTTAATATTCAATCATCAATCCATTAACTTTTACTGGAATCTTGGCACAATTAATTGGCTATATTATCTTTCTTAGCAAATGCCTGAGGGAATAACTGTCTGACCAGGAGGAAGGGGTATGGAGGCAGAATCTGGGACCGGGAAACAGACACTGCCAATAAAGTCTGGTCAGCAGGAGGCTCATGGATAATTTTGGAATGGAAGACTTAGCTGTCAGTTTTGGGTAGAGGTAAGGGGTGATGAAAAGGGGGAGGAGGGAGCTGAAAGAAGAGAGAATGTGTTTGGTGATTCATTCAACACTTTTATTGAATTTTATGATGGGCCAGGCACCAGGGATTATAAAAAATAATAATATGATGATTTTGCATTGCAATAACTCATTATCTAATAGGAAAATTTGATACCGTAAGTCACAAAGCAATATTATAAGCAACAGCAGAGGTTAAATGTAATGTGATCTTGGAGCATAGAGTGGGAAGCAATAAACTCTATAGAAGATGTAAATACAGAGAGAAAGAAGAGAAAGCAGAGAAAGCAAAGAACAACAAGAAGCTACAGAGAGAAAATAATATTTATTTGCATCTGAATGGGTAAACATATTTTGCAGATAGAGAACAGGAGGAATAGCATTCTAGGGAGAGAAGATTGTAGAGGAATTCATTCTCCAAGTATGTATTTATTGGACACCTACTATGCATTACATGCTTTTCTAGTTGTTTGTAATATATCAATGAACAAACAGACAAAAGTCCACACTTAGGGAGTTCACATTCTAGTTAGGGAGACAGAAAATAAATAAGATTGATGATTAAAATATACAGAATGTTACATGTAGGTGGTAATGAGAAAGAATCAAGCAGGCATGAGAGATATGAAATGCCGGGAGGGGAACTAATATTTTCAGTAGAATGACCTGGAAAGCCTCCCTGAGAAGGTGATTTCAGAATAAACCTATGAAGAAAGTAAGGGAACTAATCATATGGCCAACAGGGATAAGGATGCTTTGAGCAGAGGAAACAGCAAGTGCAGAGGCCTGAGCCAGGTGCAGATGTGGGGTCTTTGGGAGACAGCAAGGAGGTCAGGATGAGAGAAATGGAAAGACTGAGGAGTGGGGACTAGGAGGAAGTGAGATAAGAAAGGTAAAGAGAGGGGAGAACCTGGGACCTTGTAGGACACAGTAAGGACTTTGGCTTTTCCGTAGAGCAGATTGAAGAGCCATTACAGGGTACTGAGCAGAGGAGAAATACATTCTTTTTTTTTTTTTTTTTTTTTTTTGGAGACAGAGTTTTGCTCTTGTTGCCCAGGCTGGAGTGCAGCGGTGCAATCTCAGCTCACTGCAACCTCCGCCTCCCTTGTTCAAGCGATTCTCCTGCTTCAGCCTCCCGAGTAGCTGGAATTACAGGTCTCTGCCACACTCCTGGCTAATTTTTTGTATTTTTAGTAGAGATGGGGTTTCACCATGTTGGTCAGGCTGGTCTCGAACTCCTGACCTCAGGTGATCCACCCCCCTCAGCCTCCCAAAGTGCTGGGATTACAGCTGTGAGCCACCGCACCAGGCCGAGAAATACATTCTGACTAAGATTTTAATAGAGTCACTCTGGTGGTGGTTATGTTGAGAAATGACTGCAGGGAGTCAAAAGCAGAAACAGGAGGATAATTTGGGAGGCTAGTTTTACAATCCAGGTCAGAAATTATGTTAACTCGAACCAGAGATGTGGGGATGGTGAGAACGGTTCAAACTCTAGATGTATTTTGAAGGTGACTGACATAAATTAATAATATTTTGAACATGAGGTATGAGAGGAAGAAGAGTCAAGAATAGCTCAAAGGTCTTTTAAATTTTAAATTTTTGTGGGTTCATGGTGTATATACTTATGGGGTGCAGGAGATTTTTTTGATACAAGCATCCATTATGTACAGGTATAATAATCACATAATGGAAAATGGGGTGTCCATCCCCTCAAGCATTTATTCTTTGTGTTAGAAACAATTCAGTTATGCTCTTTTAGTTATTTTGACTATAGTCACCCTGTTGTGCTAGCAAATACTTGGTCTTATTCATTCTTTCTATTTTTTTTTTTTAGATGGGGTCTTGCTCTGTTGCCCAGGCTGGAGTGCAGTGGCGTGATCTCAGCTTACTGCAACCTCCGCCTCCCAAGTTCGAGTAATTCTCCTGCCTCAGCCTCCTGAGTAGCTGGAATTACAGGCACCCATCACCACATCTGGCTAATTTTTGTATTTTTAGTGGAGATGCGGTTTTGCCATGTTGGCCAGGCTGATCTCAAACCCCTGACCTCAGGGGATCCACTGCCTCGGCCCCCCAAAGTTCTGGAATTACAGGTGTGAGCCCCTGCGCCCAACCGCTTTCTATGTTTTTTGTACCCATTAATTATCTCCACTACCCCTGCCCCACCAGCCCCTACTATCCTTCCCAGCCTCTGGTGACCATCCTTCTACTCTCTATCTCCATGAGTTTAATTGTTTTGATTTTTAGATACCAGAAATAAGTGAGAACATGCCATATTTGTCTTTCTGTGCCTGGTTTATTTCACTTAACATAATGACTTCCATTTCCATCTGTGTTGTGGCAAATGACAGAATCTCATTCTTTTCATGGCTGAATACTACTCCATTGTGTATAAGTACCATGTTTTTTAAAAATCCACTCATCTGTTGATGAACACTTAAGTTGCTTCCAAATCTTGGCTATTGGGAACAGTGCTGCAATAGACATAGGAGTGCAGAGATCTCTTTGATATACTGATTTCCTTTCTTTGGGGTATATACCCAGCAGTGGGATTGCTGGATAATATGGTAGCTCTATTTTTAGTTTTTTAGGTGTCTGAGGAAGCTCCAAACTGTTCTCCATATGGTTGTAGTAGTTTACTTTCCCAATGACAGTGTACACGGGTTCCCTTCTCTCTACATCCTTGCCAGCATTTGTTATTACCTGTCTTTTGTATAAAAGCCATTTTAACTGGGGTGAGATGATATCTCACTGTAGTTTTGATTTACATTTCTCTGGTGATCAGTGATGTTGAGCACCTTTTCATATGCCTGTTTGTCATTTGTGTGTCTTCTTTGGAGAAATGTTTTTTCAAACCTCTTGCCCAGGCTGGGCATGGTGGCTCATGCTTATAATCTTAGCACTTTGTGGGGCTGAGACAGGTGGATCACTTGAGCCTGGTAGTTTGAGATCAGCCTGGGCAACATGGCAGAAACTCATCTCTCCAAAACATACTAAAATTAGCTGAGTGTGTAGCTCCTGAAGTTCCAGCTACTGGAGAGGCTGATGTGGGAGAATCAGTTGAGCCCAGGAGGTCAAGATTGCAGTGAGTCATGATTGCACCATTGCACTCTGGCCTGGGTGTCAGAGGGAGACCTTGTCACAAAAATAAATAAATAAATAAATAAATAAATCTCTTGCCCGTTTAAAAATTGGATTATTGGATTTTTAAAAATAGAGTTGTTTGAGCTCTGGTTATTAATCCCTTGTCAGATGGGTAGTTTGCAACTATTTTCTCCCATTCTGGGGTTGTCTCTTCACTTTGCTGATTGTTTCCTTTGCTGTGAAGAAGGTTTTTAACTTGATCCCATTTGTCCATTTTTGATTTGGTTGCCCATGCTTGTGGGTGTTACTCAAGAAATCTTTGCTCAGTCCAATGTCCTGTAGAGTTTTCTCAGTATTTTCTTTCTGTAGTTTCATAGTTTAAGGTCTTAGATTTAGGTCTTAAATCCATTTTGATTTGAATTTTGTATATGGTGAGAGATAGGGATCTAGTTTCATTCTTCTGCATATAGATATCCAGTTTTCCCAGCATCATTTATTGAAGAGACTATCTTTCCTTCAGTGTATGTTCTTGGCACCTTTGTTGTAAATGAGTTCACTGTAGGTGTGGGGATTTATTTCTGGGTTCTCTATTCTGTTTCATTGGTCTATGTGTTTGTTTTTATGCCAGTATCATGCTGTTTTAATTACTATAGCTCTGTAGTATAATTTGAACTCATGCAATGTTATTTCTTCTTTTTTTTTTTTTTTTTTTTTTTGCTTAGGATATCTTTGGCTATTCTGGGCCTTTTGTAGTTCCATAGAAATTTTAGGGTTGTTTTTTCTATTTCTGTGAAGAGTGTCATTGGTATTTTGATAGGGATTGTATTGAATCTGTAGATTGCCTTGGGCAGTATGAGTATTTTAACAATATTGTTTCTTCCAATCCATGAACATAGAATCTTTCCATGTTTTGGTGCCCTCTTCCATTTCTTTCATCAGTGTTTAATAGTTTTGATTGTAGAGATTTTTCACTTGTTTGGTTAAGTTAATTCATAGGTATTTAATTTTACTTGTGGCTACTATGAATGGGATTACTTTTTAAATTTGTTGTTCAGATTGTTCACTGTTTGGGTATACAAATGCTATGAATTTTTGTATGTTGACTTGGTATCCTGCAACTTTACTAATTTTTTTTATTAGTTCAAATAGTTTTTTGGTGGAGTCTTTAGCTTTTTCCAAATGTAAGATCATGTCATCCACAAACAAGAATAAATTAATTTCTTCCTTTCCAATTTGGATGCCTTTTCATTCTTTCTCTTGTTCGGTTGCTCTAGCTAGGCCTTCCAGTACTATGTTGAATAAACAGTGGTGAAAGTGGGCATCTTTGTCATGTTTCTGATCTTAGAGGAAAGGCTTTCAGTTTTTCTCCATTCAGTATGATACTAGCTGTGGGTCTGTCTCATATGGCTTTTGTTATGTTGAAGTGTGTTCCTTCTATACCCAGTTTTTTGAGGGCTTTTATCATGAAGGGATGTTGAATTTCATCAAATGTTTTTTCAGCATCAGTTGAAATGATCTCATGACTTTTCTTCTTCATTCTCTTAATATGATGTATCAAATTGATTTACTTGCATATGTTGAGCCATCCTTGCATCCCTGGTATACATCTCACTTGGTCATGATGAATGGTCTTTGTAATGTGTTATTGAATTCAATTTGCTAGTATTTTGTTGAGGATTTTTGCATCAATATTTATCAGAAGTGTTGGCCTGTAGTTTTCTTTATTTGATGTGTCTTTGTCTGGTTTTGGTATCAGGGTATTACTGGCCTCATAGAATGAGTTTGGAAATACTCCCTCCTCTCTTTTTCAGAACAGTTTGAGTAGAATTGGTATTAGTTCTTCTTTAAATGTTTGGTAGTGAAGCCATTGGGTCCCAGGCTTTTCTCTACTGGGAGACTTTTTGTTACAGCTTTGACCTCATTACTTGTTATTGGTCGGTTCAGGTTTTGGATTTTTTTATAGTTAATCCTGGTAGATTGTATATGTATAGGAATTCATCCCTTTCTCCCAGATTTTCCAATTTATTGGCTTATAGTTGCTCATAGTAGCCACTAATGAGTCTTTGAATTTCTGTGGTATCAGTTGTAATGTTTATTTCTAATTTTGTATATTTGGGTTTTCTCTATTTTTTTCTTAGTCTGGCTGTTTGTCAATTTTGTATAACTTTTCAAAAAAACAACTTTTTGCTTCACTAATCTTTTGTATTGTTTTCTTTATTTCAATTGTATTTGTTTCTGCTCTGATCTTTGTTTTTTATTTTCTTCTACTAATTTTGGGTTTGGTTTGATTTTTTTTTTTAGTTATTTAAGATGTATCATTAATTTTGCTTCTTTTTTGATGTAGGCACTTATAGCTATAAACTTGTCTCTTAGGACCATTTTTGCTGTATCCCATAGGTTTTAGTATGTTTTGTTTCATTTATCATCTGTTTCAAAATATTTTTCAATTTCCTTTTTAATTTCTTCATTGACCCACTTTTCATTCAGGAGCATATTATTTAATTTCCATGTGTTTGTTTAGTTTCCAAAATTCTTCTTGTTACTGATTTCTAGTTTTACTCCATTGTGGTCAGAGAAGATGCTTGATATTATTTCCATTTCTTGAATGTTTTAAGACTTGTTTCATGACCTCACATATAATCTATCCTTGAGAATGATTCATGTGCTGAGCAGAAGAATGTGCATTCTGCAGCCATTGGATGAAATTTTCCGTAAATATATATTATTAATAGATCTATTTGGTCTATAGTGTAGATTAAATCCAGTGTTTATTTGTTGATTTTTCTGTCTGGAAGATCTGTCCAATGCTGAAGGTGGAGTGTTGAAGTCTCTAGCTATTATTGTATTGCAGTCTCTTTTTCTTTAGGTCTAATGATATTTGTTTTATATATCTGGGTGCTCCAGTGTTGGGTGCACATATATTTATAATTGCTATAAACTCTTGCTGAATTGACCCCTTTATCATTATACAGTGACCTTCTTTGTCTTTTGTAGTTTTTGTCTTAAAATCTATTTTGTCTGAGGTAAGTGTTGCTACTCTTCCTCTTTATTGGTTTCCATTGGCATGAAATGTCCTTTTCTTTATTAATTTATTTTTAGTATATGAGTGTTTTTATAGGTGAAGTGTATTTCTTGTAGGCAACAAATCATTGGGTCTTGTTTTTTGAATCCATTCAGCTATTCTGTCTTGATTGGAAAGTTTGGTCCGTTTACATTCAATATTATTATTCATAAGTAAAGACTTACTTTTTCCAGTTCGTTATTTGTTTTCTGGTTGTTTTATAGATTTCTCTTCCTTCTTTTGTTTCTTTCTTTTACTGAAGGTGATTTTCTCTGGTGATATGATTTAGTTTCTTGCTTTTTAATTTTTTTGTGTATGTGTTACATGATTTTGGTTTGAGATTACCATGAGGCTTGCAAATACTATTTTATAGCTCCTTATTTTAAGCTGATAACAACTTAACAGTTTCTCCATAAACAAATAAGCAAAAAGAAAGTTAATAAAAACTCTATGCCTTAACTTTGTTCCCCTAACTTTGTAATTTTTTGTTGTTTCTATTTATACTTTATTGTACTATGTCTTGAAAAGTTGTTGTAGTTATTATTATTTAATCATCTTTGATGTTACTTTTATATATTTTTATTTTTTATTTTATTTATTTTATTTATATTTTCCACAGGTTATTGGGGTACAGGTGGTGTTTGGTTATATGAGTAAGTTCTTTAATGGTGATTTGTGAGATTGTGGTGCACCCATCATCTGAGCAGTAAACACTGCACCCTATTTGTAGTCTTTTATTCCTCACCTTTTTCCCACACTTCCCCCCAAGTCCCCAAAGTCCATTGTGTCATTCTTATGTCTTTGTGTCCTTGTAGCTTATCTCCCACATATCAGTGAGAACATACGATGTTTGGTTTTCCATTCCTGAATTATTTCACTTAGAATAATAGTCTCCAGTCTCACCCAGGTAACTGCAAATGTCATTAATTCATTCCTTTTTATGGCTGAGTAGTGTTACATTGTATTTATGTATATACCACAGTTTCTTTACTTGTTGATTTATGGGCATTTGGGTTGGTTCCATGATTTTGCAATTATGAATTGTGCTGCTATAAACATGTGTGTACAAGTTCTTTTTTGTATAATGACTTCTTTTCCTCTGGGTAGATACCCAGTAGTGGGATTGCTGGATCAAATGGTAATTCTACTTTTAGTTCTTTGAGGAATCTCCACACTGTTTTCCATAGTGGCTGTACTAGTTTACATTCCCACCGGCAATGTAGATAGAAGTGTTGCTTGATCACCGCATCCATGTCAACATCCAGTGTTTTTTGATTTTTTGATTATGGCCATTCTTGCAAGAGTAAGGTGGTATCACACTGTGGTTTTGATTTGCATTTCCCTGATCGTTAGTGATGCTGATCATTTTTCATATGTTTGTTGGCCATTTGTATATTTTCTTTTGATAATTGTCTAGACATTTATGTCCTCAGCCCACTTTCTGATTTTTTTTTTTTTTACTGATTTGTTTGACTTCATTGTAGATTCTAGATATTAGTCCTTTGTCAGATGTATAGATTGTGAACATTTTCTCCCACTCTGTGGGTTGTCTGTTTCCTCTGCTGACTGTTCCTTTTGCTGTGCAAAAGCTCTTTTGTTTAAGTCCCAATTATTTATCTTTGTTTTCATTGCATTTGCTTTTGGGTTCTTGGTCATGAAATCCTTGCCTAAGCCAGTGTCTAGAAGGGGTTTTCCAATGTTATCTTCTAGAATTTTTATAGTTCCAAGTCTTAGATTTAAGTCCATAATCCATCTTGAGTTGATTTTTGCATAAGGTGAGATATGAGAATACAGTTTCATTCTCCTACATGTGGCTACCCAATTATCCCAGCACTATTTGTTGAAAAGGGTGTCCTTTCCCCACTTTATGTTTTTGTTTGCTTTGTCAAAGATCAGTTGGCTGTAAGTATTTGGGTTTATTTCCAGGTTATCTATTCTGTTCCATTCTATGTGCCTATTTTTATACCAGTACCATGCTGTTTTGGTGACTATGGCTTTATAACATAGTTTGAAGTCAGGTAGTGTGATGCCTCCGGATTTGTTCTTTGTGTTTAGTCTTGCTTTGGCTATGTGGGCTCTTTATTGGTTCCATATGAATTTTACAATTTTTTTTTTCTAATTCTGTGAAGAATGATGGTGGTATTTTGATGAAGATTATGTTCCTCCTGTGGCGTTTTACCCCATGCCTCTGGCCACTGTCCCGAAGGGCCCCTGTGGTGCCAGGCAGGAATGGCCTGCTTGGGGACCCAGTGAGCTCCCAGGGCCTTTCTTGCTGCTTCCTCTACCCCTATATTTTGCTTGGCTCTCTAAATTGACTCAGCCCCAGGTAAGGTCAGAAACTTCTCCTGCAAACTAGACCTTCATTTTCCCCAGTGGTGGTGTGTGTTCAGGAGTGGAGGGTCTCCCTTCCCAGCTCCACAGTTTGGGCACTCACAGTATTTGGGGTGTCTCCCGGGTCCTGCAGGAGCAGTCTGCTTCCTTCAGAGAGTCTGTGGGTCCTCTCGGGATTCCTGGTTTGTTCTTGCAGTTGTTCTGGAGCTAAAATTCATCATGTGAGCCTCTGCACTCTGCTCTGTCTGTCCAAATCGGGGCTGCAATCTAGTCCTGCCTTCTGTCTGCCATGATGATCTGTAATTATTATTTTTGATTGATTTATTGATTAGCCTTTCTACTTAAGAATAGTTTACATATCACAGTTACAGTGTTATAATATCCTGTGTTTTTTTGTATACTTACTATTACCAGGGAGTTTTATGCCTTCAGATGATGTCTTATTGCTCATTAATGTCTTTTTCTTTCTGATTGATTTAGTATTTCTTGCAGGGCAGATCTGGTGTTGATTCATCATGTTTTGTTTGTCTGGAAGTCTTTATTTCTCCTTCATGTTTGAAGGATATATTTTTTTCCAGATATACTATTCTAGGGTAAAAGTGATTTTTTTTCTTCTTTCCCTCCCCCCCCCCCCGCCTCCTTCAGCATTTCAGCACTTCAAAAATGTCATGCACTGCCTCCTGGCCTATAAGGTTCCCACTGAAAAGTCTGCTGCCACATGCATTGGAGCTCCATTGCCATGTTGTTTGTTTTTCTCTTGCTGCTCTTAGGATAGTTTCTTTATCCTTTGGGAGTTTGATTATTAAATGCTTTCAGGTAGTCTTTGTGTTAAGTCTACTTGGTTTTCTATAACCTTCTTGTACTTGAATGCTGTTACCTTCCTCTAAGTTTGGGAAGTTCCTTGGTATTATCCCTTTGAATAAACTTTCTACCCCTATCTCTTTCTCTACCTTCCCTGTAAGGCCAATATCTCTTATATTTGCCCTGATGAGGTTATTTTCTAGATCCCGGAGGCATGCTTCATTGTTTTTTATTCTTTTTTTCTTTTGTCTTCTCTGTCTGCCTATTTTCAAGTAGCCTGTTCCAAGCTCACTAATTTTTTCCTCTCCTTGATCAGTTCTGCTATTCAAAGACTCTGATGTATTCTTCAGTAGGCCAATTGAATTTTTCAGGTCCAGAATTTCTGCTCAGTCCTTTAAAATTATTTCAGTATCTTTATTACGTTTATCTGACAGAATTCTGAAATTTTTCTCTGTATTATCTTGAATTTATTTGAGTTTCCTCAAGACAGCTCTTTTGAATTCTCTGTCTGAAAAATCATATATCTTTGTTTCTCCAGGATTGGTCCCTGGTACCTTATTTAGTTCATTTGATGAGGTCACGTTTTTCTGGATCATCTTAGTACCTGTAGATGTTCATCTGTATCTGGTCATTGAAGAGTTACATGTTTAGTGTAGTCTTGGCAGTCTGAGTTTGTTTGTACCCGTCCTTCTTGGGAAGGCTTTCCAGATATTCACATGGAGTCGGGTATCATGATCTAAGCTGTATGTGCTTTAGGGAACACCCAAAGCTCAGTAACACTGTGGCTTTTATAGACTCATAGAGGTACTGCCTTGATGGTCTTGGACGAGGTCCAGGTGATTTCTCTAGATTACCTGGTACAGACTCTTGCTCTCTTCTCTTACTCTCTCCCAAGCAAATGGAGTCTCTCTGTCTTTTTTGAGCCACGTGGAGCTAGGGGTAGAGTGACACAAGCACCCTGTGGTTACCACCACTAGTACTGTGATGAGTCAGACCCAATGCCAGCACATCACTGGGTCTCACTCAAGGCCTGCTGTAACCACTCCCTGGCTACTGGTTATGTCTGCTCAATGCCCTGGTCTCTGCGACTAGCAGGTAGCAAAGCCAGCCAAGCCTGTGTTCTTCTCTTCCGGCCAGTGAGGTCTCCCAGGTCCTGGGCAGGCCTGAGGTGCCACTTGGGAGCCAGGGACTAGAGTCAAAAATCTTAACAGTCTACCTGGTGTTCTATTGTACTGTGGCTGAGCTGGCACTCAAACCACAAGTCTCAGTCCTTGTCACTCTTCCTTCTTCTTTCCAAAGGCAGAGCAGCCTCACACCATGGCCACCACCACCACAGGCCCATAGGGACTACTGCCAGACTACTGCTGAGGTTCCCTTAAGGCCCAAGGGCTCTTCAGTGAGCTTATGGTGAATGCTTCCTGGCCTGGGATTCACCCTTCAGGGCAGTGGGCTCCCCTCTGGCCCAGGGAAGGTCCAGAAATGCCATCCAAAAGCCAAGGCTTGGAACTAGGGACCCCAAGAGCCTATTTGGTGCTCTACCTGCTGTGGCCAAGCTGGTACATAAGGTGCAAGGCAAAGCCCTCTTTACTCTTCCCTCCACTTTTCTCAAGCAGAAGTCTCACCCCATAGTCACCAGAGTTGGGGATGTGCTGAGTCTCAGCTGAAGCCAGCAAAACTGAGTCTCACCCAAGGCCCTCAGTGTAGTACCTGGGTGTCACTGCTGGTTATTCAGGGCCCAAGGGCTCTTCAGTTAGCAGGTAATGAATGCTGCTAGGACTGAATCCTTTTCTTCAAGGCAGCAGGTTCCCTTCTGGGCCAGAGTATGTCTAGAGATGTTGTCTTGGAGCTAAGGACTAGAATGGGGAGCTCAAAACTCTGACTGATGCTCTATCCTCCTGTAGCTCAGTTGGTATCCAAGATGGAAGGCAAAGTCCTCCCCACTCTTCCATATTTTCTCCTCATGCAGAAGGAAGGAATTTCTTTTGGAGCTACTAGCTGTGCAGCCTAGGGTTAGGGGAAGGGTGATGCCAACATTTCCTTAGTTGCCCTGGCTGGTGTCTCAGTAGGTCACTGCCCCTGCAGTTCTCTGCCTCTTAGCTCAGCTCAGCACTAGGACTCACCTAGGCATTGCAAAACTTGTGGCCTAGACTGGCTTTCAAGGTTTTTTAGGGCTCCAGAAAACTTTAACTCATGATGGCAAGCCTTGCAGGAACTCTTAAGTTCCAACTGCTGGAATCTGTAATTCCCCTCTTCCTTGGGGAAATGATCCCTCTTTGGTCAAGCATCAGCTGAGCTTGGTTTTGTTTATCTTTCTGCTATAACAGGGCAGCACTGAGTTCAATGCCTCACAGTCACTGAGTTCTGCCTCTCCCCAGTGCACAGAAACACTGTCCACACCATGCCACCCCTACCAGGAGATGGAGGACGGGTGGGTCGGCTATTGAAGACTGTTTTTCCTACCTTTTCAGTGCCTCTTTCAGTGATATGAAGTTAAAACCAGGTACTATGAGTGCTCACATCATTTTTGAGTCTTATGAAGGTGTTTTTATTTTGTGTGTGTAGATAGTTGTTGAATTGGTACTCTGTTCGAAGAATGATCAGTCCAGCTTCTATTCTGCCATCTTGTTCTACTTCTGTCTTAGCTTCAAATTTTAAGTTGCCAGAAATTGAGAAAGGAAAGGAACTAGTTTGGGAAAAACAGTAGGAGCTCAGTTTGGGGCATGTTTAATTTTGCCTCTTAGACATCCAAGTGATGTTAAATAGTTAGTTTCGAATATGTGGAGGGATCCAGGTTGAGGATATAATATTGAGAGTCATCATAACCATATAGATGGCACTTAAAGTCATGATTCTAGGAGAAGTTATGTAGATCCTAGATGAGATTGTATAGGGAATGAGTGTAGATAGTAAGAAAGAATATATTCTAGAAGTGAGTCTTGGAGAAATCTAACATTTGGAAGTGAGAGAGATGAGAAAACAAACAAACAAACAAACAAACAAACAAACAGGAAAAGGAGCTAAACAGGTGCAACCAGAAGTGAAGGAGGAAAACAAAGACAATGTGGTGTTCTGGAAGCCAAGAATACAGTGTTTTATTGAGAGAATTTTTACCCGTGTCAGAAACTACTGATAGGTAAAGAAAAATAAGGACTGAGAAATGGTCTTAGAATGTAACAAGGTGGCTGTTGGTAGCCTTGTGAAGAATCATTTCAGTGTAGTGATGGAGAAAAAAGCTTAATTGGAATGTGTTTAAGAAAGAATGGGAGCACATGAAAAGATAAATGTCCAACATAATGGAACACAAAGGAAACATCAAAATCACAATGAGCTACCACTTCATACCCACCCAGGATGGCTGTGATAAACACTGTAGGTGATAACATGAGTTGAGAAGGACATGAAGACATTGGGACCCTCATGCACTTCTTGAAGGAATGTAAAATGGTTCAACAACTTAGAAAATGATCTGACAGTTCCTGAAAAAGTTAAACACAGAGTTACCGTATGACCCAAAAATTTCATTCCTAGTATACACTCAAGAGAAATAAAAACATGCATCCACACAAAAACTTGTAAGTGAATGTTCGGGGCAGTATTATTTATAAGAGCTAACAAGGGAAGATAATCTAAATGCCCATCAACTGATGCATACATAAATAAAATGTGGTATATTCTTATAATGGAATATTATTTGAGAATTTAAATGAAAGAAAACTGATACATGCTACAGTGGTGAGCCTTGAAAACACTATGCTAAGTAAAAGGAGCCAGTCACAAATGACCACATATTGTATGCTTTTCATTTATATGAAAAGACCAGAATAGGAAAAATTTATAGAAATAGAAAGTATATTTCTGATTTCCTGGGCCTGGGGATAGAGGATGTAGATAAATAGGAAATTATTGCTAATTGGCAGGTTTTTTGGGGGTAATAAAAATATTCTAAACTTAGATTTTGCTAATGCTTACACAACTTTGTGCATGCTAAAAGTTTGAATTTTATATAATTTTATGGTATGAAAATTATATCTCATGAAACATTTTTTAAAAGAAGAAAGAATGGGAAGACATATTAGAAAGATCTAGTAGAGAATGCTTTCAAGAGTGCTATAAGAAAGCGATAATAATACATCATTAGTTGAAGAGGAAATCTGGATTAAAGAAAGGTTATTGTTTTTAAGATGAGAGAAATACCAGTGTATTTTATGATGTTGCAATCAATCTAATAAAAAAGGGAAGTTTGATAAAACAAGAATGAGAGAAGACTTCGTGGAGCAATGTTTTGAAGTAGGAAGGAGAATGAAGATGTAGTGCACAGGTGGAGGGATTTGCTCTGCGGGAGGATGGACAGTTCATCCATAGTAATAGAAGGGGAGGTGAAGTATATTCACTCTGATTCTGGCAGGTGTGTAGATTTTAGGTTGAGGTTTTTGAAAATTCTCTTATAATTGCTTCATTTTTCTCATCATAGTGGAAAGCAAGATTGACTACTGAGAATGATGGTGAGGAACAAGTGTTGGAAATTAGAAGAGAAAATTTGAAATACTTGTTCTGGAGAGTGAAGAAAAAATAGATTAGGGAAAGAAAGGATGATTTCTGGGGTGAACTCTTGTGAAGTTTAGTGAGCATGAGTATAATGTGAGAACAGTTGACATGCTTGTGTATTTTTCTCCAGCTATCTTCAGCTGCATGAATTCAGGCATGGAGTAAGTGAAGAGTTGAATTTATCCAGGGTTTTTATTTTGCTGGATTATATTGGGTTTCCAGACAACATACTGTGAGATCGAGATTTGTATGCAGGAGTTTACTGAGGAGTGTTTTCAGAAGCAACATCTATAAGGGATGGAGGGCAGGAAGAATGAGCAGAGGAGGGGTTAAACAGAAGTGCAGTTGTAACAGGTCTCAGGCAATCCTACAGGGAGCTGTGGAGCTGGAACAACCCTCTGATTTGTCCCAAATTGGAGTAAGGAGGCTTGGCATTTGTGCCCCTTTTTGACACTTAGACATGGAATTCCTGTGGTCACAGAGGCTCCCAAGAAGTGAGGGTGATTCCTCAAGAGGGACTTGGCTGTGAGATGACAGAAATTAACACTCCTAGTAGGTGCGGTAGTAAGTGCCTTAGTCCTGAAGGGAAGGTAATAGATGGCACACCACAGAATCTGCTACAGTTCGCCATTTGCACTGCTTGCTTGTGTACTAAGCTTACTCCTTCTAAGAAGACCTCCTCCCGCATTCTGATAAGTTTCTTTTCCTAGAAAGTCTTATTACATGAGGAAGGTTAGTGGGACTAATCCTGCCTCTATGACCGGTCTAGAGGCTGCCATTGATACTCCTCATTTGTACCACCTCAATGTACTATCCATTCTAGATTCTCCTCTTTCTTGGCTAGCACCTCTGCTTATCTAGGTAGCTTATCTGGTGGTATGACCCAGATTCTTATATAAGAGGTGTCTGAGCCCCTGGTTCCTTGGCTACCAAACCATTTTCTAGAGTTGACTGTTACGTTTGTGCATTTACTCAAAATTAGGCATAGTCCACAATGAACCATAACGTAAAACTGAAGCTGGACACCTTGCATTAAGAATGGGAAACCAAAAAGATAGAAGGATTTGGGTCCCAGGTAGTCATGTTTTGAACTCTCAATCACAGATTTTTTTTTTTAAATGAGAGAAAAATATACCCTTAGGTGTTTGACTATTATCAGGTCCCTATTAACAGCTAAATAAAATTCCCAAGTAAAATAATAGTGTAGGATGGATATCCCCCTAACCCTCAACTCCATATTCCATACATCCAGTAAATATTTGAGTTCACCATGTGCCAGATATTTCTTTCCCTAGATTTCTCCATTTCTGCTTAAGAGACCATCATTCTCCATTCTCACCATCTGCTTAAGAACCCATGTGAGGTTTAGTGAGCAAGAGTGTAATGTGAGAACAGTTGACGTGCTTGTACATTTTGGTCCAGCTATCTTCGGCTGCATGAGTTCAGGTATAAAGTAAGTGAAGAGATGTCTGAGCTCCTGATCTACTGAGAGCTACTGAGACCAGAAATCTTAGCCTTCCCCTTAAATGCCTTCTCACCCTAATCTGCACATCCAGTTAGTTGTCAAAGCCTGTCATTCTGCCTCAATAATATCTCTCGGCCTGGTACGGTGGCTCACACCTGTAATCCTAGCAATTTGGAAGGCCGAGGCCTGTGCGTCACCTGAGGTTAGGAGTTTAAGACCAGCCTGGCCAACATGGTGGGACCCTGTCTTTACTAAAAAGACAGAAATTAGCTGAGCATGGTGGTGGGCACCTGTAATCCCAGCTACTTGGGAGGCTGAGGCAGGAGAATTGCTTGAACCCAGGAGGCAGAGGTTGCAGTGAGCTGAGATGGCACCACTGCACTCCAGCCTGGGTGACAGAGCAAGACTCCATCTCAAAAAAATAAATAAAATAAATAAATAAATAAATAAATAAATAAATAAGTAATAATACCTCTCATTGCTGTCTTCTCTCCTCCATCAGTATTTGCATTGTCCTAGATTAGGTGTTCTCCTCACCTCTGCCAATCTTGGCTCTTCCAAAAGCTTTGGTCTTTTCATGCTCATCCCCAGTGTATCCTACAAACTGCTATAAAGAATAGTCATAGTCAAATTAGTAAAATAATTCTTCTCAGAAGCCCTCAATAGCTTCCCATTATATACCATATGAAATCCAAATGCATTAGTGTTGCATTCAAGGCTTTAATCCAGCCATGCCACATATTTTTTTCATTTTAACTTATATTGGATTGGTTACTAATGATTTTCCCAAATATTTATTCCATTTTCCTGATGCTCTGTCCCTCAGCCCCCAACACACATGGCTTGTTTCTTTCTCATCATTTCCCTTTTAGTTCTTTCTTAGACTTATCACAGTTTGTAAATGTATTTACTATTTACATCTTGAATTTTTTTTTGAAACAGAGTTTTGCTCTTATTGCCCAGGCTGGAGTGCAATGGCGCAATCTCGGCTCACTACAACCTCCGCCTCATGGGTTCAAGTGATTCTCCTGCCTCAGCCTCCCGAGTAGCTGGGATTACAGGCATACACCACCACGCCCAGCTAATTTTGTATTTTTAGTAGAGACGGGGTTTCTCAATGTTGGTCAGGCTGGTCTTGAACTCCCAACCTCAGGTGATCCACCCGCCTCGGCCTCCCAAATTGCTGGGATTACAGGCGTGAGCCACCGCACCCAGCCTACATCTTGAATTTTTTCCATTAAACATCTAATGTTTTCCATTAAACATCTAATTGCCAGAATGTAAACTCCCTGAGTGCAGGAACATTGTCTTAGTCACGTCCCAATTTCCAGCACCCAAATGAATGTCAGTGTAGGGGCTCAATGAATATTTGCTAATTGAATTAATGAGTGTGATGGCACTGTAAAGACTATCTCAGCTTTACACAGAGTGGTTTTAACATTCAAGCTGGAAACAGCATGGTTCTACTCAGGCTCCTGTGTTTCCTACACAGGCTTCTGTGTCTCCCCTTAGCTTCAGGGGAGAGAGTCATCCTCATGGAAGGAGACAAAAGAAACTGCACCCCGATGGCAGGGAGGTAAGCTGTCTACAGAGAAGGGTCCCTGTACTCTGTGTTGCGGGACCTTGTCTCTAGGCAATCTCTTTGAGTCAAATGAATAAATGTCCTTCCTATTTTATACTTACCTTATGTGTGGTCACGAGGATTACTTAGCCTTTCAAAGCCTGATTTCTCTTGGGCTTCGTCTAACTGCTGAAAACTTAGTTTGCTCTTGTAATATAAATAAGCACACTTGGGGCAGGGGGCTACATTTTATTCTTCCCTTAGGCAAAGCATAAAAACAAACAAAACAACCACCATGCCTAAAGTCTCCAAAAAGCTCATAGTTACCACAAGGAAAATATGTCTGCGGAGATTTTATTTATTGAATAGTGGGCAAAGACGTATTTTATGCTACAAAGATCTTCCATAGGGAGAACATATCATGGCAGCTCAGCAGTGGGCTGCGTAAAGTGTTACAGGCATGGAGAGGCAACGGATTTACGTATCAGGTTCATAGATGCATCCTTTATTAATCCAAAGAATCAATGCTGGCCAGGCAGGCTTTGTATTAGACACTGGGCACGCCATATTTCTTGGAGACTTAGAAAATTTCTATTGCCTTTTGATGCTTTGTGACATCATTTTTTTCAAACCACAAATTGGGGTGTGTGTTTTTGTGTGTGCATGTATGTGTGTGTGTCTAGGCAAATAAGCATTACAGTTCAAATGAGTATTTAATAATATTTATAACTTGTAATTTGATACATATAAATGGCACCCTAGAAATATCAAATGGACAACAAAAAAGTACCTTATTATTAATTTTAAAATCTAAAATGCCCTTCTTTTACTATGCGGTCTATATCAGGCCCTCACCTGCTTATCCTCCCCTTTCCCCACTCCCCTGATTTTTTGGCAGAGCAAGAATCTTGCCTTCTCAGACTGTCAGAAAAGTAATCTATTTTTAAATTTTCAGAATTTCAGGTCTCCTGTCATTAAACATGACAGAGGGATTTAGGGAAAGAGAAAGCATTGTTTGAAAAAGAAAGTCAGTTTTTAGTGTGACCTAAATGTATACAAGTCCAATGTTTAGACAACATAGCAGGTTAAAGCTGGATTTTGAACATATTTTCAGAGAGTGCTTTGGCATGCAGCATTTTTGAGAGAGGTGTTATGTAAGTTATCAAAAAGCATACATTTGGGGTAGGACTTTTGTTTTATCCAGAAGCTAAAAATCATCGAGTGTTGTGTTTTAATATGCAGATGACCCTTATTCTGATTTCAGTTTGGAAGCTTGATCAGGAAAGGTCTTTACTGTGGTGTTGAGGACGTCATGTTCTTCAGAAAGAAAGCTGTCTGTTTTTCTTTTCTCCAGAGGAACTGCAGTTTAGGACAGGCATAAAGCTGGCAACATAACCAAGGGCAGAAAAAAAATTCACCCCTATGTTCTATTTGTCAAACTGACCGGCAGGTCACAACCTGAAAGTTTATGGATCGGTGAGGCCTTGTCTCCGCATAAGCATGTTTTCTGGACTTTGGCTGAAGCTAAATTCCTGACTTCTGAAAGAGGGGTGGGTGTGGACTTCCAGCAGGAATAGCCAGTGGGAAGGAAGTAATATTCATTAAGAGTGTCTCATGCAAGCAGTGCGGGGCTAAGCATGCTCAGTGTAAATTCTCCTGGAGCCTGTCAAGCTATGTTTGAACTCGTTCCAGGATAGTGGATTTACTTTTTTTTCCCCACCAGGAAGAATACTCGATTAGACTGCATTTTGCCTTGCTTTTCCTTCTCCCTTTCTCTCTCTTTCTTTCTTTCTTTCTTTCTTTCTTTCTTTCTTTCTTTCTTTCTTTCTTTCTTTCTTTCTTTCTTTCTTTTTCTTTCTCTCTCTCTCTCTCTTTCTTTCTTTCCTTTCTTTTCTTTCTTTCCTCTTTCTCTTTCCTTCTTTCTTTTTTTCTTCTTTCTTTCCTTCCTTCCTTCCATCTTTCTTTTCTTTCTTTCCATTTTTTTTTTCCTCCAGAAGAATGGAAACAGTATTCTTTTCCGATCAGTTCAGTAATACAATGTCCTTCAGTGTCCATATGAGCATTTCAGTGGAGAAGAAAAGAAACTTTGCTACCTGGGAACTGAAGACTACTTAGGTCAGTAAATGCTAATAAAGTTCTTAAAGACTTATGGAGCCAGGAGTTAACTTTTCTTAACTGTTAAGGTAATCTACAGCTAATGTAATTGCCTTTTCAATTAGTGGGTGTACACTGATTTTTTTTTTCCACACAAAAACTATGTTTTTCATGTATTGGAGTGATTTCCCAAACACAGGGAAAATATGTCTTTTGGTTAATTTGCATTTGAAAGAACTTCTTTTTGTATGAAAGGTTCTTTCTCTCTACCACAAATTATGTGTTTTTTAAACAAATATTGTGGTGAGCTGATGTAGCCGTAATGGTCTGAATGTGGATGTGTTGTTCTGTGTTATATTAATTCTTGGCTTGGGTAGGTTTGGTGAAAGTTATTGCTTTTGTTGCTGCCAGAGATGAAAGAGAGTTTGTTTTGTTGTGGATGTTGTTTTGGAACTTTTGGTGAGCTTTGAGGCTGCCTTGGGAGCCCCTTATAGAGAGGAGAGCCATCTCTTTCCACGTTTAATGTGCATTTTTCAAAATATTCAAATTTAACTCTAAGACGGGAGTATAGCTTTTTAAGAATCTGTGTAGGAATAGAGTTTTCTTAAAAATGTAGTTTTGGAGGGAAATGGTTTATAGAAAGGTTTGTAATAAAGAATTTAAATCAAGACTGCCATGGTGAATATAAGCAAAAAATGCAAAAAAATACTGCATGCTATGTACATACTGATTCAGTTTAGGTTAATAATTTTACTTTTTAATTTTAAAAAAGTATACCAGGCCTTAAAGGGCTGTCTTATAATATCAACTGATAACACAGAGGACTCATTGGAGAGATGTTAGGATCTCAGAAAATATCAAGTTAGCAAAGGTGGCCCCTTTAAAAACATCTGAGGACTGAGGTTATGAAACCACATGGCTTCGTGTAGGAGCAGTGCATCCTAGGCTAAAGCACTTTAATTTTATTCAAGAATTTTAAGAGTAAAAGGGGATTTATTTCTTTTCAAAAAAGAACAGCCAGGCGAGGATTATTGATCCGTCAGGGATTAAATATTTGCTGGAATACAAAGCATCACATATTATCAATGTGTAAATCAGACTCGCCAGCTATTCAGGGGATGTAAATGAAACGACCATAGTTTCAGCCAGAATCAAATGCAGCAACACCCCTGCCCTGCTTTCTTCATCTTTATGTCCCAGAAAGGGATGATAGAGGTGGGGCAGGGTGTGAAATGAGACTTAGCCAATGAGCTGACCTTGCTCTTTTAACTTCTGTCCATCTGTTCTTACCGGGCAGCTGAAGCAGTGAGCAAAGTGGGACGGGACCTCAGCGGGGACCAGGAAGCAGAGGCCAGACCCAGCCAAGGCTGTGATCTGTTCCCCACCCTGCAAGTTAGATATCAGGAGGAGCTAAGTGGATGCGTCTAAATCCACTTCCTTCTGCTCCCAGAGCTTTGATTTAGTACCAAATGCTGCTCTTCTGCACCTGCCTCTGTTTTTCATAAGTAAAAGCTTCTCCCCATGTGTAGATGGTGGTTTATTCGATACAGATCAATCCCTAAGGAGATAGCTGAAGTAATTGAGTCTTGTTTTGTTTTTTTCTTTCTTCTCTGACATGTGGCATTGATGAGGTTTAATTGAAACAACAAACCTTTTCTGGGATGCGAGAGCACAGTTTTCCATGGAAGAGTGTGTGTGAGCGTGTGTGTGTGTGTGTGTGTGTGTGTGCGCATGCAAGTCACTTGCAGTCTGGACTCTGGGACGCTGCCTCTTGGAAGGCTTTGCAAGGCTGAGGGCATTTGTCTGGAGCCAGGGATCTTTTCATCACCTTGTCTCTGCGTTGGCAAAGAGGAGGTGCACATTCTGGAGCATGCTGTAACTCTTTACCCTCAGTCCTCGTTCCTAATACTGCAGTCTCCCCACAGCACCCCAACTGTTTCCCCTTCATGACCTGTGTCTTGAAGCATAGCACCAAAACCTTTTGAGGCACAAAGGAAAACCAAAGAAGCAGAGAATGAACAAAGACAGGCCTCTTCATGTTCACATCTGGATAAAATTTAGATTGAGACAAGGGAAAATGAGTGGGAGAAAAAAAATCTGACACCATATTAAAAAATGCATATAATTGACTTTCTAGAGTTTTTCTCGTCTCAAGTTTTCTGAGTGTTTTTGTCTCCTGCTCAGACCCTACCCATAGGATTCGGGAGAAGGTAGGTATCACATCCATATTTTGTAGTGAAGTGCAGTGATTTGCCCCAAGCAGCGCCTAGGCTGGAGCAAGCATACAGATACCTGGAGCTCCAGTCCAAGCCTCTGCTTATACAAGAATAGAAATAATCTGGGTTCCACTTCTGCACCTTGAACTCAGTTTCCCCATTCATTTTAAGATTTTGGACAAAGACATTCTGTGCAGTAAGTTCTCCAACTGAATCCATTACTGTAATAATTTGAGAAGTATTTGAAGCTTTTCAGAAGACTTTGACATATTTCCTTTGATCTTATCTTCAACACTACCTGTTAAAATAAATTGGGCCAGTGTTGTCATTTTCTTTTGACAAATGAGGAAACCGAAAGATTGAATGACTTGCTGCCTAAGGTCAGGATAGAGGCTACATGGGAATTCAGGTTGCCCAACTGGGGATTTGAAATTCTAGACCATCCTGAATCCCTGGGTTACTGAGGTAGATAGGATATAAAAGAGGAGTTCCATGATTCATGAAGGTGGAAAGTGTGGCAGCACCAGGGACTTTGGATATTGTCACACTACGAAGGAGAAAACTCCAGCTGGAGATGGTATGTTAGTCACACTCAAGGAGTTGGAGACTTGAATTTAAATCCTATCCGTAGAATCCCAAAGTGTGTGTTCTATGGTATGGTGACTATACACATGGGCTTTGCTAATTTCTCTGCATCTCTTTTTCATCATGTGTAGAATGGGGATACCAAGGGGTTGCTATGAGGATTATATGAAAGGATTCATGTAAAGTACTTAGCACGGTGCCTCACACAGCAGACTAAACCCGAAAATGTTTTGATTGGCATATGCTCTTATTTGTTGCTTGTGTTGTATCACCCAAGGTAAGCATGAACTATTCTTACTGTGAATCCCAGTCAGCTCTTAGCTCAACCCACAGATCCTCAGGGCACTTGTGTTGGTAAATTAACACCACAAGAGGAATAGTGCTTAAGGCATATTTATTGAAAATACAAAAATGTGCTAGATGGCACAGAGAGTTAACTGAGGCAGAACGCTTATTCTTCTTGCTCTTAGTCCACGGAGAGACCAGAGGGAGGCTATCCAGGCAGATATGTCTGAGATAAGTGCACATTTGTTGAGTCAAATCTAGTTATCTTCCATAACTTTCCAATGCGGCTAAGCAGGCTGCTCGGAAGTGAGGAGTCTCTCTGAAGGGAAGGGAGTCAATTACAGTCTCAAAGGTTCAGTGGGAGTCAAAAAAGAAGTAAAGGCCGGGCGCCGTGGCTCACGCCTGTAATCCCAGCACTTTGGGAGGCTGAGGTGGGCGGATCACGAGGTCAGGAGATCGAGACCATCCTGGCTAACACGGTGAAACCCCGTCTCTACTAAAAATACAAAAAATTACCTGGGCATGGTGGCGGGCACCTGTAGTCCCAGCTACTCAGGAGGCTGAGGCAGCAGAATGGCGTGAACCTGGGAGGCGGAGCTTGCAGTGAGCCGAGATCACGCCACTGCACTCCAGCCTGGGCGACAGAGCGAGACTGCGTCTCAAAAAAAAAAAAAAAAGAAAAAAGAAAAAAAGAAGTAAAGGCACATATGCAGACAGGTTTTGGAAATGTCAAGATTTCGGGTTTTATGGGGGGTCTTCTGACCAGTGCTGACCAGGCTCTTGAGGTGCACTGTCTGGGCTCCGAAGTTCCTGGCTTACACATATCATTACGTTAGAGAAATCCCTTTAGAGAGATGAATCTCAAGGGCCTGCTTCTGAGCAAATCAGTGATCCGTAATGGACTGTTCTCTGTAGAGAACCGGGAACTGTAAGTGCACAGTCACAGGGCTGTAAGACCAAATGGAAGGAGGGGCCACTCCCTCAGAGCATGTGCAGTCTAAATGAATAAATGGTACACAGAAGTGCACAGAGCACTCAAATGCAGACCAGTAAAACAAGTCTGTTGGTGCAGAAATGTGAGGCAAACTTCAGGGACAGCAGTTGATGGTTAAATATTCTAAGTGTCTATTCTTAATTTTTTTTTTTTTTTTTTTTTTTTTTTTTTTTTTTTTTTTTTTTTGAGAAGATGTCTTGCTCTGTCACCCAGGCTGGAATGCAGTAGTGTGATCTCGGCTCACTGCGACCTCTGCCTCCTGGGTTTGAGCGATTCTCCTGCCTCAGCCTCCCAAGGAGCTGGGACCACAGGCATGCGCCACCATACCTGGCTGATTTTTGTAATTTTGGTAGAGACGGGGTTTCGCCATGTTGGCCAGGCTGGTCTCAAACTCCTGACCTCAGGTGATCTGCCTGCCTCGGCCTCTAAAAGTGCTGGGATTACAGGTGTGAGTCACCTTGCTTGGCCTAAAATTCTTAAATTCTTTACCACTCAGTTCAGAGTTCTCTTTCAGATGCCTCTTCATGGTCTTTACCCACTTGTCCCTGCTGGGAATGAAAAGCTACTCTGGGGATACAGCAGCGAGATGGCAATGGGTTTTGGTTTATTGAGCATCTATTACACACCTGATGCTAGGTTTCATGCTTTATCAATATTATATTTAAAGTTCACAATACCCCTGGAAAGTTTAAAGAGGAGGAAACCTATCCCCATAGGAGATAGGTTTCCCCCCGGGCAAAGAGGAGTCACATGATTCACCAGCTGAGCATAGGATGTCATGTGTCACACAAGGCCTTCAAGAAACATTCTAAGTGGAAAGGACTGCTGTTGTCCAATAGACTACATTCCTTTCATGGGTGATGCCTATGTCTTGCCTCATTCTGGGTCCATTAACATGTATTGTCCAGAGTTGAGCAAGTCACGTCCCATGAAGTTAGTGCTTGGTGAAGTCTATGTACTGCCTGCCTTTAGGGAACCATTCCTCTTCAACAGCAAGCTCAAACCACATTTCTTTTTTGTTTGTCTTTTACAAATAGGTCCTTAAAAGTTTGGCAGTTTCAAAAGTAAAGAGCTTAGTAATCTTTAGGTCGTATTGTATGGTGAAAAAAAAAAGGGATTTGGAGTGATATGACTGGGTTTTGGGTCCTGACCCTGGAATTTACTTGCTGTCTGACTTTGGATAAATGATTTCACTTCACTGTGCCTCAGTTCCCACATCTGAAATTGTCAATGGGAATTTTCTCAGGTGAGATGCTCAGATCTGCTATTCAACATTGTACCTATAGTCAACAATACTGTATTGTACATGAAAAATTTGTTAAGAGGGTAGACCTCATGTTAAGTGTTCTCACATACAATAAAATAAAATTAATGAAGTAAAAAAAATTAAACGATGTTTTAAAATTTAGCCTGCTATATGAGAGCTGTTACTTTTATTCTCCAAGCTATCTCAGTGTTTTCTAGTAGGTTCTAGTGCTTTTACCTTTTCTGTTCTGAAAAGGCTTTCCTGTCCGGGTGCAGTGGCTCACGCCTGTAATCCCAGAACCTTGGGAGGCAGAGGCAAGCAGATCACCTGAGGTCAGGAGTTTGAGACGAGCCTGGCCAACATGGCAAAACCCCATCTCTACTAAAAATACAAAAATTAGCCAGGTGTGGTGGTGCCCGCCTGTAGTCCCAGCTACTCCGGTGGCTGAGGCAGGAGAAGCGGGAGGCAGAGATTGCAGTGAGCTGAGATTGTACCACTGCACTCCAGCCTAGATGACAAAACAAAACCAAAAGGCTTTCTCCTTCATTTACTGAGATTGAGGGTAGCATGAGTAACTGGGCTAGGCAAACTGCTTTATATCAGAGTACTGAAAACTCTTGAATTGTTCAACTTAACTTTACATTTCCTGAATTAATGAAAGATAGAAGACTTGGAAAAGACAGAGACATTAGACAGAAGCTATAGCCAGAGCAGAATCTGGTTGACGTTAAGAATTTCCTGTATGCAAGGAGGAATGAACAAGTCAGGCTACCAAACAAATGGTTGCCACACATATACAGCCCCCATTTTCCCAGAGAAGATACGAACCGTGAAAAGATGTCAGAATGGTTACTTTCAAAAAAAACAGAAAATAACAAGTGCTGACAAGGATGTGGAGAAGTTGGAACCTTCGTGCACTGTTGGTGGGAATGTAAAATGGTGCAGCTGCTATAGAGAACAGTATGATGGCTCCTCAAAAATTAACAAATAAAATTACCATTTGACCGAGCACTTCCACTCCTGGGTATATCCCCAGGGAACTGAAAGCAGGGTCTTGAAGGGATAGTTGCACACCCATATTCATAACAGCATTGTTCACAATAGCCACAAGGTGGAGACAACCCAAGTGCCCATCAAAGGAGGTATGGATAAACAAAATGTGGTATATCCATACAATGGAAAATTATTCGGTGTTAAAAAGGAAGGAATCCTGACACATGCTACGACATGGAAGAAACTTGAGGTCATTACGGTAAGTGAAATAAGACAGGACTAAAAGGACAAATATCATATGATTCCACTTACAGGAGGTTCCTAGAGTAGTAAAATTATAGCAACAGAAAGTAGAATGGCGGGTTCCAGGGGCTGTGAAAAGGGGTGAATGGGGAGTTATGATTAGCACGTACAGCGCTGTACATGAGGAAGGTGAAAACGTTCTGGAGATGGATAACGGTGATGTTAACACAACAATATGAATGTACTTAATGTCACTGAGCATACACGTAAAAATGGTGAAGCTGGTCAACTTCATGCTCTCTACATTTTGCCACAATTAAACATTTTAGGATGGAGATTATTTAAATGTTTATTTTCTAGATAATTTATAATGGCTTCTCACTGTAACTATTTGTTTTATTACTGAAATTCAGCTGTGTGTGAGGAAGAAATCAGGCTCAAACTGAGGAGGAAAAGATATTAAAAATGCAGTTTTCAGGAGAAAAAAAAGAGCAAGGGAAGACAGGAGAAAAATCGGCTCTTGGTATATAGCAATGGAAATTTCAGGATTTCTAGATAGGAGGTGCTCAGGGGCAGGATTGTATTCCATCCCTGCATTTGCATAGCAGGCACACTGCTTTAACTTAGGTGGCTTATTTGGGGTGGCATTTGGCAGCTGATCGAGACTGTAGGGCACCGAAAGTCCTGCTGAGCACCTGTTTTTGCTAGACATTGCTTTTGCCATCAGAGAAAAATTTTATGAGGGCCTGCCATTGTGAAAACTCTGTGGGGAGAAGTTGTAGAACTCCAGAGACATGACGAAGCCGCTTACTATCAGGCAGGGGGATGGAAGGGAAAGCAACTAGCATTTATTGAGTGCCTATTTTGTACTAGGTGTTTATGTGTGTTATTCATTTAATCCGCACAATTGCCTCTAAGGTAGACCTCCTATTGCCACTTTATAAATGCAGCTTTCCCATTTTTGCTACCTAGTGGTGAAGCCAGGACTGGAACCCAGGTCTGCCAGAGCCTAAAGCCTAGGCGTTTCCGACACATCACACTAAATGACTTTAGGAATTACACCTCTTCAGGTAACTATCCAGCCAATCCCTCTCTGGCTTTTGCTGTCAGCAGCCGTGGATGAGGAGGTCTTCCTGGAACAGATGTGTGTCTCACACACTCAGCTTACGGTTCTCCAGGGGTTTCCTGGGGGCTCTGGCTTTAACATCCACGATCTGAACATAATTTTTCATTTTCACCAACACTCGCCCAGCAACATTGAGCCTTCCTGAGGAAAAAAGCCCAGGTATCTGCGGAGCGTCTTTTTCTGCGGTGCTGTCTCAGGTTCAGGTGTTAGAATAAATGAAGCCCAGTGCGCGAGTCCCTTCCGGGAAGGCTGTGCTGAGACTCCTTTGTTTGGTTTATGTATAGCCATCAATGCATCATTCCTTCTGCTTCAGCTGTTTGAGAATCCCATCTTCTCTATTGATTTCCCACGGAACGTTTACTGCTCTCCAAGGTGTGACCTGTACCTCTAGCTAATTTATTTCTGTCATGGCTGCAGGATTTAGGATGAAGGGGAGGCGGGGAGAGGGGACTGGAGGGAGGGAGGGAGGGAGGAGAGAGAGCGACGACGTGTCCAAGATGTAGGAAATAAATTCAGCATTGAGCCCCCCGACCGGCGTGCCTGCAGCTCTGGAGGGCAGTTCTGTGCACACAGCAAGGGGACTTTGTTTGAAAATCTGCTCAGTAAGATGGAAGCTGCAGCCACGGGGTTTCAGAAGGCCAGGAATTAGAGCAGGGCCCCATGGGGATGGAAAAGCAAGGAAAGAATGTGTTTGAAAATAACATCTTGACTGTTCAGGAGCCAGTCACCATATTGAGCAGTACGTGGTGGGTTTTTTCTCTTTTAATGAAATGATGGAAACCCTTCTAGGGGCAGGAAGGAGACTGGTGAAGTCATATTCTCTTCTTCATTATGGGATTTTCAACAACAGGACATTCGTGGGTCAGTCCCTGCGACTGCCTTTACAATGAGTGACATGTGAGATATTAAATCGAACCACCTTAACATAAACCTCCCTACCCTCTATGCCTAGAACATATCAAGTTAGCCCTTTCATGGTCTGGTTGTACTTAAATGTCCACTTAATTTTATCCTGTGAAAATGACTAAGAAAATCTGGCAATAAACTCACACGAGGAAGGATGTAGATTATTATTTTCACCTGAATAGTGACTTGCATTTGTTTAGTGGGTAGATAAATCATATCTGAATGACATTTTAAAGCTTTCAAGTTTTTAAAATATGCATTATTTTATTTCATTTCCTTAACAGTGCCAAGAAGTAGGTGTATTATTTTCTGTACACAGTTGAAGAAATGCAGGCTCATTAGCCTGCTTGCTGCCTAGGTAAGGTCACATGACTAATAAATGACAAATGCAAGATTCAAGTCTAGGGCACCTGATTCCAGATTCAGGTTGCATTACCAGACACCACGGTAGTGCAAGGGCAGTAATGTTTCACCAAGGTCACCCAGTGCTGAGCAGCAGAAGCTAGAGAGTAGGGGATGCGATAGGTCAAACTTTGCCTAACTACTTAGACAATAATGAAATGAATCAGAGCTCAACCAAACACACAGACACCTATGTTTCCACTCATCTGATTTATGTCCAAGGTCAGTCCACCTGAGGTCTGATAAGCTTTTAGAAAGAAGGGCAAAACAGTCACTAGTGACCATTTTCTCCCTCCTTCCCACACACTGGCCCTCCACTCCACCCCAGCAAACTCACAGATATTATTCTATTTTTTAGAGAGACTATAATAAATCATTGCTCCTCATGTATTACCATCAATTATAATTTATCCCGCGCTGAGTGTTAGAACAGCAATTAGTTGTGAGGCTGGCTAATGGAATTTATGCCTATAAATCCCAGATACTGTAAGATCCTCTCTCATTTCTACAGCATGTGTAAGGAGCTTCCAAGATGTTAGTAAAAGGACAAAATGATAGCGATGGTGAGCTGGTGGGCCTTCCACAACTGGGTCGTCTTCTATCTGGACCCCTCTAACTGGGGAAGAACAGACCATTTCTTCTTGACTGATGGCCAAGCTGCTGCCTCAGAGCCCTACAGCCCAATAAAGAGGCCCCAGATTTGAGTCATTCTTTATTTTATTTTATTTTATTTTATTTTATTTATGTATGTCACCCAGGCGGGAGTTCAGTGGCATGATCTTGGCTCACCACAACCTCTGCCTCCTGGGTTCAAACGATTCTCATGCCTCAGCCTCCAGAGTAGCTGGGATTACAGGTGTGCACCACCACGCCCAGCTACATTTTTGAATTTTTAGTAGAGATGGGGCTCTTGCCATGTTGCCCAGGCTGGTCTCAAACTCCTGACCTCAAGTGATCTGCCCACCTCGGCCTCCCACAGTGCTGGGATTACAGGTGTGAGCCACCACACCCAGCCTCATTCTATTTTTAGAAAAATAACATGATGGTGTTGTAGAAAGGCTTCTTTCCTAAGTGCTTGTAATGAAAGAAGAAGGGGTAACCTTACAGACAAAATAAAATGCCCAGTGTTTAGGAATAAAATGTAACTGTGCATATCCCTGGATTAACTGAAGCTATTTTGATTTGAAAAAATCTGAACTTTGGCAAAACCTTAAACTCCTCCTTTACAGGTGGCAGGCTACATTCCTACTGTCTCAGAGGTAAACTTTGTCTCATGATTTACAATTTTGAGATGGGATGTGTGTGAGCTGCAAAATTAGAAACGCTCAAGACGAAGTCATGTTCTCTTCCCCATCAACAGTGTGAGATGCTGTGTTTTGCTATTTCTCCTGCCTGGAGGAATTTTTATTTCTCAGCTCTTTTCCTTTTTGCAAACTGATTTAGGATAATTATTTTTCCCTTGAAGTTGGCCTGAGGTGGCATGGTGTTGCAGACAGAATTCAAAACGTACAGGCTTCAGAAACTTTCATTTGAGTCCCGGATTCATGACTTATTAGCTGTGTGGCTACAGGATTTAACTGTCCTTATCAATTTTTGCATCAAGAAAATGGGTATAACAATACCTATCCTGGTGGGGGGAGGGGGG
Organism: Homo sapiens; assembly: GCF_000001405.40. NCBI lineage: Eukaryota > Metazoa > Chordata > Mammalia > Primates > Hominidae > Homo > Homo sapiens. Next base: position 122,356,875 of record NC_000011.10, on the reverse strand, counting down.
AGGGATAGCATTGGGAGATATACCTAATGCTAGATGACGAGTTAGTGGGTGCAGCGCACCAGCATGTCACATGTATACATATGTAACTAACCTGCACATTGTGCACATGTACCCTAAAACTTAAAGTATAATAAAAAAAAATACCTATCCTAATGGTATTGTTATGAGGACCTCAGGAGATAATGGATGTGAAAGTGTTGTATAAACTCTAAAGCACTGTGCCTATGGGGAGAACTTATGCTGTATCATTTGAGTTTTTGAAATGCATGTACAATTATTGTCATCTCAATTATCTATGCTGTCATAATGATCAACCTTCCAGATTGTCTCTATTTAACACTGGAATTTATGTCAAGCTATGACTTGGACCAATGAACCCACCACTAAACATCAAACAAACCTTATCCCTGCTCCATTCTATCTCTCTCCTTACTTCTGAAATATTCTGCAGCTTTGCTCTGAGAGTTTGCTTAATCCTCATATCCACTCCTGTCCCTCTTTGGAGGTTTGTCTGGGAACTTATTTAATTCAAGCTCCTCATCTGCAGGACTCCATCTCACTGCTCCTGGAATTTCCTCAATTACTGGAGCAAAGTAGAGTGAGTGGGGCTGGGCAATGTGCAGTGAGTCCCTCAGATTTTCAGATCTCTTCACTCTGAAAATGGAACATGTTTCGAGCTCAGATCCTGGGCAGCGAATGGAAAGGGAAGGGATCCAGTCCTGGTCTTGCCATTTACCAGCTGTGACACTGAATGGCTACTTCAGCTCACTACTGCAGTCTTCTCATCTTCAAAAGAAAGATAATAATAATAGTACTAATTTCCTTGGGTTGTTGTTAGAAATGCTTTGTAGAATATAACAGATTTTACAAAGAGAGTCATTATGTTGACTTGATGCAATATTAAAACAGCTTTCCATTTTTTTGAACAATGACTGGCGTCTGAGTGAAGACCCTTAAGAGTATGTTAATTGATGGCAGGGAGTTCAGTGAGTACTGAAAATCGAAAGTTACCACACATAAGTTACATATGGATAAGAAAGAGTTGACTAAATGGTGATATATACATACAATGGAATATTATTCAGCCATGAAAAGGAATAAAGTACTGATACATGCTACAGCATGAATGAACCTTGAAAACATCAGACTAAGTGAAAGGACCCAGACACAAAACAGTACATACTGTGTGATTCCACCTTTATGAAATCTCCAGAATAGGTGAATCTATAGAAACAAAGCAGATTAGTGGTTTCCAGGGGTTATGGAAGAGGAAAATAGGGAGCTTAATGGGTATGGGGTTTTCTTCGGGGATGATAAAAATGTTTTGGAACTAGTTAGAGGTGGTGGTTGCACAATATTGTAAATTTACTAAATCCTACCAACTTATTTCCTTCAAAATAGCTAATTTTATGTGATGGGCATTTCACCTCAATTAAAAAAAAATACTGTCAAAACAAAACAAATCACCAGGCCAGGTGTAGTGCCTCCTGCTTGTAATCTCAGCACTTTGGAAGGCCAAGGTGAGAGGGTTGCTTGAACCCAGCATCTTGAGACCAGCCTGGGCAACACAGGGAGACCCCGTCTCTACAAAAAAATGAATAAATAAATTAGCCAGTCATGGAGGTGCACAACTGTAGTCCTAGTTGCTTAGGAGCCTGAGTGGGAGGACTGCTTGAGCTTGGAAGGTCAAGGCTGCAGGGAGCTATGATCGCGCCACTGCACTCCAGCCTGAGTGACAGAGTGACAGTCTCAAAAAATACAAAATAAAATAAAAATAAATTTATAAAAAAAAACACTGAAGAAGTTGACTGTATAGGAAGCCTTCCTGGCTCTTTATATCGTCTTGGTCATTTGTGAGTTTGATGAAGAAAGTCTCCTATACTTCTTTATGTTTTTTTCCTACCTTCTGTAGGCCCATCTTAACACCTTGGTATTATATACCTCCAAGACTACTCAAGTTCTGTTTAAGTCATTTCTTTTTCTTCCTTTCATTCATTTATCCACTTGTTCACTCACCGGGTGCTAAGGCGAGTGATAACGTGTGATCCAGACAGAGGACAGGGAAGCAGCCCTGCTGTGTAACTTTGGTGGGTACCTTACCCTTCTGGTTTCAGAGGGACATTAAGTAGATCATTTCTTGGGATTCTTTCAGTTATAAACTTCTAAGAAGAAATGAGAAATGCATTATTAGGTTTCCTTTAAATATTTGGCCAGCTAATTTCTCAGATTATTTTACTTTGAATTCATTTATCAAATCTAGCTAGACAGACAGAAAAAATAAATTACACTTTGAATTAGCCTCCTCTTTTTTTTTTTTATTGGACCTCAGTAATGAGGAGAAAATTCATCTCTCTGCCTGTGGTGAAACTTCTTTGACCACAGGAAACCTTTCTTCATGTTTTTCAAGATGAAAAAATATCCAAAGCATGAGACTGATATGCTTCTAGTTTGAAAAGCACCAAAAAAGATTTTATCTTTAATTATAATATGTTAAAGAAAATAGACACTGGAATAACTTAATAGTCCATTAAAACACTATATTCAAGGATCATTTAGCATTTCCATGATAAATTACTATTTTTAGAAGCTTATGTAACCAAACAAAGAATGCGTTCTTGGCTATGACCATGAAGACAAGTTATTATGGTGGGAGGGACAAAGAAATCTGAGTGGCTCATGAGAGACAGAGCCAATTGCCGAGGACATTTTATAGAGCGCCCTTTCTCTTTAGTCTCCATTTTCTGCAATCAGGATAATGCAGTGCATTTTAGAGCCATTTTCATTTTTGAAGTGCCCTTTCATCATTAGCTAATAAATACTCATCAATGAATTTTCCTCCCTGTCTTGGAAGTTGGAGGAAAAAGAAATGTAATTGCTTTCTATTTCGTAAGTATTATCCCCCTCTGGGTTTTGCCTCTTGTGCTTCTGATAGAAACATATGAAATAAATTATACTTGTCCATTTGAAAGGACCAAAGACTACCATCCTTTCCGTAAAGAACACCTGGAAATTTGCATCAGATATTAGTGACCTTCAGTAACTATCCATCCATAGTAGCAGAAGGAGTGTCTGTCTCTCATTACCAAGCTCAGTACTTTTTAGTGTCTCCTGAGGATAGTTAATGGGAGGATAGTTAATGGGAGGAGTGACCTGATGGGTCTTCATCAGGGAGCTGGATAGGAAGGATTTGAGGTGGGAGGAGGTAGTGTCTCAGTATGTGTCTCCAGTAGAGGACTGCATACGCTATTTTCTAGGATCAAAAAGTTACGGTTTTGGAATTTTCCGTTCTTTTGTATTTTCATTGTTTCTTCCTCCCCTTAGTTCCATTTAAATTTGGCTACAAGTTTTACGGTTTCTGCTGTGGTGAATTTCACTATATATCCTTAAAGCTGATCCCAGACTGTCTTACCTGCACTAGATTTTGAGGAAAGCAGTGTGAATCGTAGCATAAGCCATGTTTTACGGGGTTTCTGCTGCAATGTCATCTCTAGTAGTATTGCCGAATAGAAATAAAATGCAGGTCACATATACAGTTTAAAATTTTATGGTAACTACATCAAAAAAGTAAAAATAAACAGTTAAAATTAATTTTAATAATATATTTTATTTAAGCCCTTATATCTAAAGTATATCATAAAATTCATATAAAAACTATTAATGATATATTTTACATGGTTTTACTAAGTCTACGCATTTTGAAGTGTATTTTATACTTCCCACACATCTCCATTTGGACTAGCACATTTCAGGCATTCAATAGCCATGTTTTGTATGACTAATGGTTAGTGTCTTGGGCAGTGCAGGTGTATAGTTGTGAATAGACAATTTTTTTTTATTATACTCTAAGTTCTAGGGTACATGTGCACAATATGCAGGTTTGATACATAGGTATACATGTGCCATGTTGGTGTGCTGCACCCATCAACTCATCATTTACATTAGGTATTTCTCCTAATGCTATCCCTCCTCCAGCCCCCCACCCCCTAACAGGCCCCAGTGTGTGATGTTCCCTACCCTGTGTCTAAGTGATCTCATTGTTCAATTCTCACCTATGAATGAGAACACGCGGTGTTTGGTTTTCTGTCCTTGTGATAGTTTGCTAAGAATGATGGTTTCCAGCTTCAACCATGTCCCTGCAAAGGACATGAACTCATCCTTTTTTATGGTTGCATAATATTCTATGGTGTATATGTGCCACATTTCCTTAATCCAGTCTATCATTGATGGACATTTGGGTTGGTTCCAAGTCTTTGCTATTGTGAATAGTGCCTCAATAAACATACGTGTGCATGTGTCTTTATAGTAGCATGATTTATAATCCTTTGGGTATATACCCAGTAATGGGATTGCTGGGTCAAATGGTAATTCTAGTTCTAGATCCTCGAGGAATCGCCACACGGCCTTCCACAATGGTTGAACTAATTTACCCTCCCACCAACAGTGTAAAAGTCATCCTATTTCTCCACATCCTCTCCAACATCTGTTGTTTCCTGACTTTTCAATGATTGCCATTCTAACTGGCATGAGATGGTATCTCATTGTGGTTTTGATTTGCATTTCCCTGATGACCAGTGATGATGAGCATTTTTTCATGTGTCTGTTGGCTGCATAGATGTTTTCTTTTGAGAAGTATCTGTTCATATCCTTTGCCTACTTTTTGATGGGATTGTTTGTTTTTTTTCTTGTAAATTTGTTTGAGTTCTTTGTAGATTCTGGATATTAGCCTTTTGTCAGATGGGTAGATTGCAAAAATTTTCTCCTGTTGTGTAGGTTGCCTGTTCACTCTGATGGTAGTTTCTTTTGCTGTGAAGAAGCTGTTTAGTTTAATTCGATCCTGTTTGTCTATTTTGGCTTTTGTTGCCATTGCTTTTGGTGTTTTAGTCATGAAGTCCTTGCCCATGCCAATGTCCTGAATGGTATTGCCTAGGTTTTCTTCTAGGGTTTTTATAGTTTTAAGGTCTAACATTTAAGTGTTTAATCCATCTTGAATTAATTTTTGTATACAGTGTAAGGAAGGGACACAGTTTCAGCTTTCTGCATATGGCTAGCCAGTTTTCCCAGCACCATTTATTAAATAGGGAATCTTTTCCCCATTTCTTGTTTTTGTCAGGTTTGTCAAAGATCAGATGGTTGTAGATTTGTGGTGTTATTTCTGAAGCCTCTGTTCTGTTCCATTGGTCTATATATCTGTTTTGGTAGTAGTACCATGCTGTTTTGGTTACTGTAGCCTTGTAGTATAGTTTCAAGTCAGGTGGCATGATGCCTCCAGCTTTGTTCTTTTTGCTTAGGATTGTCTTGGCAATGTAGGCTCTTTTTTGGTTCCATATGAACTTTAAAGTAGTTTTCTCCAATTCTGTGAAGAAAGTCATTGGTAGCTTGATAGGGATAGCGTTGAATCTACAAATTACTTAGGGCAGTATGGCCATTTTCACGATATTGATTCTTCCTATCCATGAGCATGGAATATTATTCCATTTGTTTGTGTTCTCTTTTGTTTCCTTGAGCAGTGATTTGTGGTTCTCTTGAAGAGGTCCTTCACATCCCTTGTAAGTTGGATTCCTAGGTATTTTATTGTCTTTGTAGCGATTGTGAATAGGAGTTTACTCATGATTTGGCTTTCTGTTTGGTGCATAGACAAAGTTTTAACAAATATTCTTAAAAGTATTTCTGAATTATTTATCACAAAGTCACAATCTGATATAAATTACCATTCATTTTCTCTTCAAGGCTTTCTCTTTATCAAGGAAATTGTCCCCTACTTTTTTAGGAATGGGGGAATGTTAGAGGATTCTAATATTTACCAGCAGGGAAGGGGTTAATATATGTTTTGTCAAACTTACCATTCACTTTGGTGGTTACCAGTTAGTAGTAAAATTAACTATAGCATAAGTGAATTTTAACTTTCATTTTGCTCCATGCTTTGCTATAACTTGAGCTCATAGTTACCTAAGAACCAAGAAATGACAAGACTGTTGATCTCAGATAGTGGTTGGAATTTGACCATGTGGATTTGAACCCGATACTAATAGTTATTGCACTTTACATGGCTTCCACACATTCCTAATTTTTGATGCCATCATCCTTCATATTAATGTTTTGTGCTTATTTTTACGTGGTTGTGCTCTCATGAAGAAAAAGGATGCCTTTTATACTTGCAGTTTCTCATCTCCGCTCAACCAAAGGAGGTCTTATGGGCAGGGACTATGACTAAAAGGGCAGTCAAGTGGCATGAATTCCTGCAAAATTAGAGGCAGTCATGTGGCATGAATACCTGCAAAGGCTTGGCATCCTATTCTTGGACTAAAGACCTAATTCTGCTTGGGAACAATATCACAAATATCTATCTGGGACTTTAGTTATTGGAAGTTACATACCTCTACAGGGGAATGATAATTACTGGTGATAATTATTTATCTTTGAACACCAACCATGAGCAAAGCATGGTGGTAGGTGCTGTGAGAGTTCCAGAAAGAAATGCCATCCTTCCGCCCCCAAGAAGCTTAGTTTGATGGTAAAGATAAACACAAGACATAGAGTCCTAGCTAAGACACTAAAGTGCTAACACAAAGGTATCAGCAGATACTCAGATGACCCCATGGTACTGTAAGATGCAGAAAACAAATCCTACCAGAGACTGCTACATGCCAGATTTAGCAGGTACTAAAGACAATTATAATGAAGGCATAGTTTATCTTCCTGAGGATCTCCTAGCCTACTGTGAGAAGTGGGTAAAAAAAAAAAACAACCAACTGATTACAATGCCATGTGAGATATGGCAGAATGGAGACATTGACAAAACTCCAGAAACACAGATTAAGGAGACACTCCATCCTCCAGTCCAAGTAGGAAACAGATCTTCAGAGGCAAAGACGATGGGGCTAGTTTTCAAAATAGGATTCACTTGCAGAAAAATGGGAGGAAGGCAGCTTGGAGAGAAATAGGAGTAGGAGTGAAGGCAAAGGTGGTTCTGGAGCTGGTGAACCCTGAGGAAAACCATCCCTCTGTAAGTTGCATTCTTCCAGGATCATCTGCTTCTGTCTTAGGATATTTGATTTAAATTATCTGGCCATGTTGTTTTTTCTCCTGTTTGTGGACGTTCATGATGAAGAATGGAAATTAAAATTTTCACTATTTTTTTTAAAGTGCCACATCAATGACAATTTTAGTTTAGTCACTATTATAGAGAGGGCCAGGTTGTGGTGGCGAGAAAGTTATTAAGTGGCTGAGGAAAGAAGGTGGAACTGAGAGCATCTCCCTGGCCTGGGATGCTTAAAATCCTTTTTGAAATAGAGTTTTTCAACATAAATGAAGAAAGAATTTGATACATTTTAGCTGTGATGGAGGTGGTATTGGGAGCACACGTGTGTGCATTGAGGGGCTCAGAAGGTTGTACAGGAGATGAGTTTAGGAAGAGGCTTGAGATTCCCTTGAACAAGTGATAGGAGCCTCTGACTCCTGACTGTAATATAGCCATGAAAGTTTCTCATGAATGGGTAGACATGAGAAATTGCTGTAGAAGGAAGAGCGTGGCTGCCTCCAGGCCAGTCCAAGGACGGTGCGGCAGGGTCCTGCTTATGGCCGTTCTTTACTGTGTCAGAATGCATCAGACAACTGAGAGTGCTACGGCTTTTATAGCCCAGTTGGAAAGGTGCCTAGTGATTAGAGACAGGAGATTCTGAGGTCTGTCCTCTATCCCTAACACCCTCTCTGTTAGTGACATACTGTCTGATATTCCATCCCTTGGTGAGGAGAAACTGTGTTGGGACTCTACAAATATGCCAAGCCTGGATAACATTGGCGAAATCGTTAATATCTCCAAGGAAGCTGCATTTTAAAGAAAGCACGCATACAAAAATACCCCTACAATTTCTCCCTGAGTTCTTTGCTTTAGATATCTTTTTCCTCTTAATTTAGAAAGAGTTCCTGAAGGCAGTGAGTTCATGGGGAAAAAAGAAGAAAGTTTTGTGTTCAGGAACGTGTGTTTTGGAGACAGCATGTTCTGAACACCAGCTGGGGACAAGAAAATGTGGCAAGAAGATTATGGAGGAAGGCTGTGGACTGAGACTTAAAGAGACCCAGATGTATCCCAGGCTCTTCACTTAGTAGCTATTTTAACTGGAGCAAGTCATTAAACTTAATTGAGATAAATTTTGTTACCTGTAAAATGGGCATAATAGTACCTTTTAATATGATTTTAACAAAGGTAAAATAATAGATGATACTTTTGAAACTTTCCAGATTTTGCAGTGCAAAATTACAGATAGATAGGAAAGGAGTATGATAGATACTTACAGATAGATAGGAAAGGAGTATGATTATTGCTGCCATTAGGAAGAGAAAATCTGTCTGAATTCTTTGGAATAACAAATAGTTATGAGAGTGCTGTGTGGATTGGACAACAGTCAGCCAAGGTCTTTGGAACCTAGAATGGAGAATGGTTTGATCATTTATTTGTTTTATTTCCCAAATAAAGAATGATCAGAATGCTGAAGAATTATTTTAAAATAATGTAACTTAATCTCTATCAGTAGAAAGAATAATACTAACTTTCCAGACATTGAATTAGGCCAAGTGCAGTGGCAATGTTAATGAGAAGAGTTTTGCTTCTATAGAAAATGGTGTCATAAGGCTGGGTGCAGGGGCTCACGCCTGTGATCCCAGCACTTTGGGAGGCCAAGGTGGGTGGATCACTTGAGGTTAGGAATTTGAGACCAGCCTGGCCAACATAGTGAAACGCCGTATCTACCAAAAAATACAAAAATTAGCTGGGTGTGGTGGTGTGTGCCTGTAATCTCAGCTACTTGGGAGGCTGAGACATGAGAATCACTTGAACCTGGGAGGCGGAGGTTGCAGTGAGCTGAGATCACACCACTGCACTCCAGCCTGGGAAGACAGAGTGAGACTCTGTCTCAAAAAAAAAAAAATGGTGTTGTAATAATGGAAAATTGGCTTTTTGAATATATGTATGAATTGGATACATTACTGGCTGTTTTCTAAAGTAGAGAGGGCAGTGAACTTGTGGCTACACAGCATATTGATTATTTGCATAGAAATCATGACTCAATCGCTAGTGAGAGAGAAAGGGGGAGATTAGGCTATTTGACCCTCAAGCAAGTGGGAATTGGAAAATGTCAGGAGTGTGTGACAGGAAGATAGATTCTAGAACCAGAGGAAGGTGAAAAGGAATAAATACAATAATCAGATCTCCTGTGATGCCTTAAAACTGAACTGGCAACCAATTTTGTTTTAGCATTTTGTGTGCTCAGTTGATGACATATTACATACAATACATGGTGGCTTATATTGATGCCAACTCCCTTCTATGTCCTAGGCATTCCTGGGTGTTTGTTAAGTGAACAAAGCATGTGCTGATGTGCTCAGCTGAGCACTTTTGGAATCTCCAATAGAAAGCCATTGAATTACCTTCCATGAAGGTGGAGGGTAAAGGAGTATTGAATATGTAGAGTGATAAAATTCACAAGGAAAAGGATTGCTTATAAAATCGCATGTAATATTCATTTATTTTAATAGTGTTAACTGTACTATGAAAACTAAATGATAATTAAAAAATTGAATGTATTGGCCGGGCACAATGGCTCATGCCTGTAATCCCAGCACTTTGGGAGGCTGAGACAGGCAGATCACAAGGTCAGGAGCCCGAGACCAACCTGACCAACATGGTGAAGCCCCGTCTGTGCTAAAAAAATACAAAAATTAGCCGGGCGTGGTGGCACATGCCTGTAATCCCAGCTACTCAGGAGGCTGAGGCAGGAGAATTGCTTAAACCTGGGAGGCGGAGGTTGCAGTGAGCCAAGATCGTGCCACAGCACTCCAGCCTGGCCAACAGAGCAAGACTCCGTCTCAAAAAAAAAAAAAAATTGAATGTATTATGACTATGTTGCATCTCTATGATACAGATTTCTATTTTTTTAGTATTACCTATTTTTTAATCATACATCATATTAATTGAGTATGTACTATGTGGAGTCCTGGGTGTATATATAAGAATAATCTTCATTAGCAAATGTCAGAGTGAGGTCAAGCAACTTCATAACTGAACAGTAACTAGAGGCTTGGTAATTACTAAAGCATTGGGACAAGGGTAGCTTCAAATGAATAGGAAGAATCACCCCAGTAGTTTTTGTTGTGTCTCTTTTCTGGCAGTGTGGTATCACAGATATCCTCGGACCTTGCAAGGATTCCAAGTTGTAAGTGTTGAGGTTATCTAGAGAATTAGAGATGCGAATGAGTTAGCTGCTCCCTGCCATGTCTCTAGGACTTGGGCACTCTCTTTAGATCTCATTGACACATGTGTAACAAGTTGTCCTAAAGATGTGTTTAAGACTTTCTTGATAGAATAAAATCTAAATGTGGGCAGGAGTTGGTCTATCCTGGTCACAACTGCATCTCCAGTTTCTCACTTTGTATCTGAAACAGACTGGGAATTTCATAAATTAAAAAAACTATATTTGTTGGAAAAAAGTCTTCCCTAAAGTAGAAAGATCCTTTGAAGTTTAAATGTACATCGTACAACTCTGAGGCCACTAGGTGAAATTGGGAAAAGACTTGGAAATGAACACTTTTAGAATCACTGCATTTCTTCCAATAAACAATGCATCCCATGATCACAGGAGCACTTGTGCACGTGTGTTCACAAACACATGCATATCCACATAGACTTATTTCTGTCCACTTTTTGGCCCACTGATCTTTGCTATCTAATTTAGAAATAGAAGCTTGGAAAGGTGACATGAATGGAAAGTTGTACTTCACAGGTTACAGGCCTTAAAGATAGTGTATCATTAAAGGAAGAAACCCTTTCTTATGAAACTGCCTGCATTTTTCTTTTTTGGCAAGTTTTTCCTCTCTTTTTGCAACTTTCCTTCTTCCTTAGAGGATTCTTTAAGTCCTATCCGTCATCTCGTTTACTGAAATGTACCTCATTTGGGAATGAAGCATTTTTGGCATAGCTGGGAGCTTTTAATGGAAATATGAAAGAAGATATCTCTGACATATATAATACCTTCAATATGTTTCCATAGATTGAATGATCTCTGATGCGTTACTCGAGATTCATAACGACAGATGGGCTGAGGGGAAGGAGGCACACTCCTTAAGTGGGGATTTCTTTAGAAACCAGCACTCCTTCCAAGGTGCTTTCAGCTATTCTTAGCAATTGGGGTTCAGCAATTCACCCCAACAGAAGTAGATTTCTGCCAAAAGGCTGCCCATGGGAGCTTTGTTGCCTAGCATTTTACTCCAAACAAGAGGCGAGCGAGGCAGTGTAGTCTAAGACTTAGAGAAACCTGCAGCCCGGACGATTACGTTCCTGTTTTCAGCTGTGTGGCCTTGGTCAAGTTACTTGACTTCTTTGAACCTATGTATGTTCAGTCATGTAATGGGAGAAGTAGTTTCTGTGTACTTTCAAATTCTGAAATAAGTTATGAGCAAATTTTTAGATAATGGTGGAGATTATGAAGGTTTTGGTGTTCTTCGAAACTATCTTTAAAATTTTTTATTTTTTTATTTTTTTATTTTTGAGACGGAGTCTCGCTCTGTTGCCCAGGCTGCAGTGACGCGATCTCAGCTCACTGCAAGCTCCGCCTCCTGGGTTCACGCCATTCTCCTGCCTCAGCCTCCCGAGTAGCTGGGACTACGGGCGCCCGCCACCACGCCCAGCTAATATTTTGTATTTTTAGTAGAGACGTGGTTTTACCGTGTTAGCCAGGATGGTCTCAATCTCCTGACCTCGTGATCCGCCCGCCTCGGCCTCCCAAAGTGCTGGGATTACAAGCCTGAGCCACGGCGCCCAGCCTTAAATTTTACTTTAAGTTCCGGGATACATGTGCATAATGTGCAGGTTTGTTACATAGGAAGCAACTATCCTCTTTTTAAGAAAAATATTTAGAGTGGAAATAATTAGAAGGGATGTTTCTTTTCCATTTTTGTTTTCCTCAAACCCATGTTTGAAAAACTCAAAATTTTCTCAAATGCAAATCACACATTTCAGGATAATGCAGAATTTCATTTTGGGGTGAGAGGGGTGAGCGATGGTGTGATTTGACTACAAATTCTGGGGCTAAGAAAGTTTAAAAACCACCTAAATGAAAATGTAGGCTTAGTATCAATAACTGAACAGTATTTAGCGATGTTTCACTGTATTGTCACTCTAAAAGCATCTTTTCCCTTCTCTTGTTTTATTTTGTTTTTACTACCCTCTCTGACTTGTGACATTCTAAATCAATGGACTATTTTATATGCTGTCTTTCTTAGCTACATTCCATGAGCTTGAGCTGTTTATCAGAATCTGCCTTTTTCTAATCATGTTTTTGACTCACACACAATCTAGTTGCCTGTCTTCACCACACCCATGCATTATGCTGACAGAGCCTTGGGTTTTTTCCAGCATAGTTTTCCCATCTGGGGCATGTGGTTGTTATTGTAGCAAGATAGATAAAATATCTACGTAAAGATGTACTCGGGCCAAACCCAGAATATATTCCGAGATTTATGGCTTGTTAGAGTAGAAGAGAATGGAGAGGTCTTTGAAACTGATGCCTTAATTTTGCAGATGATGCAAGAGGGACTTGGAGAGGTAAAGTGATTGGGCATCACAGAGCTTGTGGTTCATCAGGGCCACCACTACCTTTGGAAGGAAATACAATGAAAGAAACCCTACAGTATCTTCCTGGATTAATTTAGAATTCTTTGCTGGAAATTACTAGGGCCATTGAAGGTATAGAATCAAACATATTATTTTCTTTCTCTGAACTAATAAGAATATTCATCAAATTGGGAAAACATTATCCGATTGTAGATTACAAAGGAAAAGGCATCTATCCATAGCAGTTAGCCTAATGGATGTTCAAATATCTTTTGAAAATATAGAGTAGAATGATTATAAATAGGCCAGGCATGGTGGCTCACGCCTATAATCCCAGCACTTTGTGAGGTCGAGGTGGGTGGATCACCTGAGGAGTTTGAGAGGTGATCTCGAACCTGAGGGTAGATCAGGAGTTCGAGACCAGCTTGACCAACAAGGTGAAACCCCGTCTCTACTAAAAATACAAAAATTAGCCAGGCATGGTGGCAGGCGACTGTAGTCCCAGCTACTCAGGAGGCTGAGACAGGAGAATTGCTTAAACCCAGGAGGCAGAGGTTGCAGTGAGCCAAGATCGTGCCCCTGCACTCCAGCCCGGGTGACAGAGCGAGACACCTTCTCAAAAACAACAACAACAAAAAGAGTGATTATAAATAAAAATTTTCTCTTTTTGTGTCTTTCGCATGCCAATCATGCCAGCTATACTCAGCCAGCCACTGCATACCTTCCCCTCCTCTGTCCCCTGATTCTAGCCTAAACACTCACTGCAAAGATATCCTCATTAATTTTTTTCAGTGGCTTTTTTCCTTGTCTAATCTCAGCCCATCTCCAAATGCCTGGCTTGGCAACCTTAAACTCCATTCTGCCTGTGGTTCTTAGATTTAGTGTTTGGTCTTGGTCTCACTGGTGTTTGGCTATTAATCTTTTCAGTAGATAAAGAGACGAGGGCTAAATGAAAACCGTGGCAAGCCTGAAACTGCAAGTGGAAGCAGGAGCTCTTCAAGTTGGGATTTGATGCAGGGATCATGCATTCATCACAGAATCACAGTGATGAGATGTGAACACAAATGGAGGTTCCTTTATGTCAGGGACAAATGAGTATGTTCTGGCCAGATTGCCTCCTTTAGGAAATCCTGTTCTCCACCAATACCAGTGAGATGCACGGAACTTTCATTACGTGAACATTCTATCTCATGTCCAGAGTTTTAGGATTCGTGACCCCTCTACATTTCCCAGCCATTGTTTAAGTCCTCTTCTCCACTGAGTTTACTGGCCATAGTTGTGGTACACAACCTTGTTCTTCTGAGTGAACACTCTATTTACTTTCTATGACCAGGGCTTCCTTTCTGGCTGTACCTTTGTTTCTTCTCTTTAGTTTAATTACAAAGCTTTCAGAGAATAGTCCCCTTTTTTGCTACTAGAAACTTCTTCCACTACACTTTCCATTCAGACTGTACTTCACTCCTTCTGGGTGGACTCAGGAATGTGTACAAATTGTTCCTTATCAAGCAAATTGTAGATAGTTGATATAGTTTAGCTCTGTGTCCCCACCCAAATCTCATGTAAAATTGTTAATTCCCAGTGTTAAGGAAGGCAATTAGTGGAAGGTGATTGATTATAGAGGCGGATATCCCCCTTGCTGTTCTCATGGTAATGAATGAGTTCTAACAAGACCTGATGGTTTAAAAGTGTCTGGCACTTCCTCATTCACTCTCAGTCTTCTGCTCTGACATGTGAAGACATGCTCACTTCCCCTTTGCCTTCCGCCATGATTGTAAGTTTCCTGAGGTCTCCCAGCCATGCTACCTGTACAGCCTGTGAAACTGTGAGTTAATTAAACCTCTTTTCTTCATAAATTACCCAGTCGCAGGTAGTTCTTTATAGCAGTGTGAGAACAGAGTAATACAATGCTTTAACACAGCTTCAGAACAGTGAGTTACTCTTGACTCATGGGAAGTAGGCTTTGAAGACTTGAGATGGGGCAGTTGACAGAGCCTGGGGCAAGGGTCAGGAGACCTGCATTCTATACTTAACTCGATGAATAACCTGTTTATGAATAACCTCTATGAATAACCCCCTGTTATGTAACAGGGGACAAATAATCTTAGCTGCAAAATGACTTGAGTCATTTGACCACTAGAGTCTTTTACACATTATGCCTATATGAGATAGATCAATTTAGCATGGATTCAGGGTACCATGTGGGTATTTATTGTAAAATATATTAGGTAAGACCTTTTATCTATCAACTGCAGTGATTTTGGAGTACCTACAGATTAGCTCAATTTGAAGGAATTGTACAGGCTTCTAGCCAGTGAGTAAAGGGAGAAAGAGAACCCCCAGATAAAACATTAATACATTATTAACTATTATTTAAGATATTCTGCTTCCATGTGTCTGATATTGTCAATGTGGTTTTCTGAGAAAATAATCTTCCCTAGCGTTTGACTGGCATGGGCTATATTTTTGTTTAAGATATTTTACTCTTCTCACATAAACCAATTAACTGTCATATTTTATCCTTCCAGGAGTATCCAAATATAAGGTTGGCTGACAGCCAGTTCGCTAAGTCCTAGAGGATAATAGCTTATTGCCTATAAACAGCCTTGTTTTAAAGTCTCTCTATTCAATTCTGGCACCACTTGTGATGTGAAAGATATTAATAAGGCTGTGAAGAAAGGTCATATGTTGGGTATTAGCTTCACTGAGTAGCCCAAGTAATTTTATTTTTCCATTCAACAGCTCTTTGTTTCTTTAGATGACCAAAACATTTAATGTCCTTTCACTATTTGCTGGAAAACGTCTGAAGGTTTTCATAGCTGACTTGCTGAGTAGTTTTGAATGGCCCACTGCAATCTTAGGTACATCTTGAAAATGTAGAAACATAATAGGAAAATGTATTTAGTCAATTTTGGTACTTCAAATGGTACAAATTAGGAGGCAACAGTATCTTGGTATATTTCGGTTTCTCTTCTGTAAAAAATGACCTCCATATTTAACAGAAAAAGCTGCTTTAAACAACTATGAAAGGGTGATTTTTTTTCATCTTTAAAAGCTCATTCAAACCATCATATTAATGATTTATAAACAAATGAAGGAATAACATAAGGGATTGCATTTCTTTTGAACCGAACAAAGTTGTAAAAAGCTTAGAAAAAAAGGACTTGGTTCAAGATAAATATTTGTTGAACTGACTTATTGAACCTTTCTAAATGCTCTCAGATGAAAAATATTCAGATCTAAACAATTTTTTTTTTTTCGTGTTGCTAAGCTTTCTGGAAGATGGCTTTGAAATGTGAATGAGCACAGGTTTAAGTATAATTTCTAGCGCTTGTTAATTCTAGTTGAGAGTGTGGATGCTACATCTTCAGTGCAAGAAAGAATGACAATCAGTTCAGCATCACAGTACCTTAGGAGAAAAAGGAAGAATCACATGACTGGTCTCCTGGAATCCACTTTTACTTTTTCATGGTTCAATGAATATTACTGAATTCCTTCCATGTGTTGGCACTGGGCTACATGTCACAACTACAATGGTAAGGAGGAGACATATTCTCTACCTTTGAGGAGTTTGTGGTCCAGTGTCAGGGTCTGGACAAGAGCACTGAATATTGCAAGGCAGTGTTATGACCAGAGACAACTAGGGCAGTGTGAGATACATGGAAGTCAGTCAAGAAAGGCAGAGAAGACTGTCTGGGAGAAGGGCTGAGCCCTGAATGAAGAGTATGTGATTTTAAGTGAAGGGTGGCAAGAGAAGAAGATTGCTCAAGGCAGAGGGAATAGTACATGTGAAAGCCTTTAGATGGCAGAGAACAGATGTGTCTACAGCAGACAGTGCAAAGAGTAGGGAGTTTTACCTCCATGGGTCTCCATCATCATAGAAAGAAAACACTCACTCAGGGCCAGCTACGCATGGCTCTGTGTGAGTGATCACAGAATAATTGCTTAGCAATCATAACCTCATTTAAAAAATTCTTGTGCACATGTTATCTAACTTAATTATCACATTAAACCCATGAAATAGATAATATTCCCCAATCTTATAGATGAGGCCCAGAGACATGATGACTTCCCCAAGATTATTTAATGAGTAATTGCTAAAGTTGAGTCTTGAAGAAGTCTCCATCCTCCTCCTCCTTCTCTTTGTCATCTTCTTTTTGATCTTCATCTTCATCATAATGACCACTATGTGTTGAGCCCCTACCATGGGTTAGAGCCTACCAGGCGCTTACAAATATGGTGTCATTTAATCCTTACCACAATCAGGATTATCTGTAGAGGAAGGAGCCCATAATCTGCCCACTCCATCTTGTCTCCCTTTTTGTGCAGGATGAAGCTCATCTGTCTTCTGCCTTTTATCAATTGGAAATTTCTTTGTGGGGAGCTGGAATATCATTTAGTAACATTTCCTTTTATGTGAACACAACAGACATATTTTATCTCCCAGACACTGAGTAATGTAACTGATTAGGTTTTCTTCTTTGATTGGCTGCCAGCCAGTTTAGAGCTAAATTTTTACCCCCTCAACACCTCCTGCAAATGTTTAGGTCTTGGTGGCCTGTATTTCTGTATTGGCTCCATTCCTGTCTCCATTCTTTAGTGTTATCCATATTTTTCTCCTTTCTTTTTCTCTTCTACATCTAGTTTATCTTATCGTTTCTGGAATAAAGCAAGATATAAATAATTAAAATGTAATTAAATTGCCTTAGCATAGCATGGAATTTGAGAGTTTTGCCTTGCTCTCTGCTGCTGAGGGGTGTATTTTCATGTCAGCCCACATACTTTCACTCACTCTTTCCTAGGACCCCAGCTCTTGTTTGTGAGTTGGCAGTCCAGGCTTTGTGAAGCTCAGGGAGCAGAGGACATGCTCAGATTCTAGTCCTCACAAATCTTTGCCAATAACCTTGGTCTAATCAGCCTTGTGTGTCTTTACTCTTGAGTTTGTTCTTCAGTCACACTGCAGGTTTGCCTTATCTTGCCTTCATAAATTACAACAACTTTTTTGTTTAAATGCAGAAACTTAAGAATGCTCAAAGTTATGGAATACTGGGTACTTTCTGCCCTGAAAGACACACATGCAATTTAGTGTAATTTAGAGCAAAGTGATCGGATTAAATTTAGTAAATCTCTCTAGAAGTGGAACATCAAAAATATGTTCTATCTTTTAGAAAATAAGGTATTCTTTATATTTCTTGGAGATATTTATTTAAATCTGTTGAATATCAATATCGGGCTTGGGGCTAAGGGCAGTTTAGTGTCAAGAGCCTGGGGCCTGGAGTCACATTCAACTCTGCCACTAGGTTTGTGACATCAGGCCAATAACTTCATTGTGCTGTTTCCTTATTTGTATTGGTTAAAAGAGAACACTACCTCCTCCCTAGAGGATTCATGAGATAACACATGGGATTTATGGGATATTGTGATGATTCATGGGATAACATATGGAATTGCTTGTCTGAGTGCCTGTTGATCAATATATTATCATTAGCCTAATTATCGTTAGTCCAATTTCTGCCTATTCTTATATATCAGCTTAGTTGGTACATTTTCTAGAAAGATTATTAATATATAATAATAATTATTACTATTATAACCATCGTAGGGTGAACATATGCATAGAAGTTCAGTGTCTTTGTTATGTTTTTCTGTAATCTTGACGTTTACAAGACCTGACTCCCCTCTGTTCTCTAGAAGCTTCTTCCCTACTTTTTTTCTCTAAGCACTTCTCGCTATCAGATTTACTATATTTCCCTTCTTTGTTTACTGTTTGTCCCTCCGATGCTAGAATGTATAGTACAAGAGAGCAGGTGTGTGTGGGGGGGGTAGCGAGTGGGAGATGCTTTGTTCATACTACTAATACTAATAAGCATCAGCATCTAGAACACTGTCTGGCATGTGGTAGTTATGCAAACCTCTATTAAGTCAATGAACAATCTTCAAACATCGTCAAAATTTCATTAATATAAATTATGATGATACTTGTAAAAGAAAGGGTACTCGTTTGGCTGAGGGCAAAAGCTCTTCCCCATGGAAGTGGGTGCTTGAAAGGCCAAGGGAATGAACATGTGGTTTTCATGACTCTTTAAAGTATTGGTTGCTAAGAATTCTATAATAAATTAGTACCAGTCTTTTTGTCACCAGTGAATGGAATGCTCACTGTGATCTAGGGAGGGACTTAAATAGGAAACCTCTGACATGCCTTCAGAATACTAACCTTTCTTTCTACTTAGAGATAAGGGTATTTTGACAGAACCAGGAAACATGAATATCTTAGTTGGCATTCACAGATGTCAAGTGTTTTTCTTGTGCAGTCTCTGATCTGCTGACCCATCAGGGGTCATGAAAGTTGACTGTTTTGTATCCAAATACCATATGAGTTAAAAACAATCTGTCTTGATGGACAGAAGAATTTTGAGATAAATTTGGCTCAACAAATATTCACATCGCACATACTCCATGTGAGGATTCTGCAAGGCTTGGCAGGGGACGCCAAGATAAGTCCCTGTGCCTGCGCTTTAGGAGACAACAGTCAAGTTGTTGGGAGTGGCGGGAGTGAAACCAATATCAACAGCCAGGGCTGAAAACAGTCAAGAAACTTGTTTTCTTGTCTCTGTGTTTTATGGATATTTGAAATTCTTCTGATTATATTAATGGAAAACCTTCGGAAAATGACTTTCTCTTTATAAAAAGCCTTAAGTGAGAATCGTTGTCTGTCTATCACAGGTAAAGATGAATATTTTTGCATTCCTTGGGCTAACGAATGTCTGTATGAAAGGGAAGTACCAAGTATTTACAAATACTTCCTCTGTGGCAGATAACGGGCGAGGCACTATCTCATCCCTTATCTCATGTAGCCATTCAGTTTCATGATGAATTAGGAATAATTATGCCCACTTCATGAGTAAAGAAGCTGAAGCATAGAGAGATTAGGTAACTTACCCAAAGCCACATAGTTAACAAATTCAGTTAAGTAAATAGCAATTAGATTCTAAAATCATTTTTGTGACTTAAATCCCATACTGTGTTTTCCTCCCTTTTTTTCTTATTTACGTCATAATTCATTAGATGTTGAGGCTCTCCTCTCTGAGAGATAACAATAATATTATGGTATTAATTTTCAAGTGAGAATATCACCATATACTACTATATACACAGGATACTTTGACTTCAAGGTCTCATTTGAATTAGTCATATAACCTGAGCTGGGTTATGAAGAAGTTTTTTAGTAAACTACAAGTTGGTTATGAAATAGCAAAGAAACAGATACTAAGCAGCACGGACTGCTATTCCATCGCTGTTTAGTTCCATGATCATTAGGCTCCAAAAGGCAGAGACTGCTACAGAAATGAACGAGATGAGAAGCAAGTGCATCATCACCATCGTCATCCATCGTCATTGTTTGGTTTGCTGTTCTGTTTGTGCTCACAGCAGCACTGAAGATAAATATATTCCTTTGGTCAACATATATTTCAGATTGTAGCCTGAAAGATGTGTGTTGTGCAAAAAAATCTTGTTCATTTGAATTCATTTGTGGATGGATCAGTTTAAACTTATAAAGAAATTTGAACTAAAGAGGAGATCTAAAAGAAAAACACACGGTATTTACATGAAAGTTATAACAGAGACCTAAAAGCTGGAGGGCTCAAGAAAGCCTCTGGTCCTTTGGTGACGTGTTATTAAAATAACTGTCCTTTTATAGAGAAGCCACGGAGACCCAGGGAGATCAGGTGGTTTTCCCCAAGCTCCCACAGCTAGAAAACGGCCTGGAAAATGCAGAAATCAGGTCTTTCCAGGGAAAAACTGACTGCTCCCTTCTGTGCTGTGTCAGAATTAACAAAGTGTTGCCATTTAGAATTTTCATGTAACTTTTCATGTATGTATAAAAATTATAATATTATATTTATTTGTATGTAAGTTGATGTTTGTAAAGTGCTAAAACTATTTTTCTGTCTTTTCCTGTTGGCACTGAGTTTTTAAAGAGACCTGGCAGTAACTTACAAAAGTAAGTTTAGCTGTCTGGTTTGAATTATCCTGAATTCTGAAATAGTGTGACTCAAATTAATGAGATTTTGTGTTGATTCTTTTCAAAGAGAGATTAGTATCACCATGAAGGAGATATTCTGTTGGATATTATACTAAATTTAAGAAAGCTTTCAAATAATGCTTTGACAATCAATTTCCCATGCCTTTATTCTGTTTCTTAAAACATTTTTCTCTTCTTTATTACTTACATATCCCATGACCTTCTAAAGAACATTCTCTTAGTATTTTCTTACAGAATTGGGGATTCATTTATAGCAAACATCTTTTCATTTTTATTTTATTTTATTTTATTTTATTTTATTTTATTTTATTTTATTTTATTTATCTTTTAAAGCCATTCTGTTTGGGTACCTGCTTGCCCTGTTCTGTTTGATATCAAGAAAAAAGATTTAATAGCCATAAATGGAACTTTGTAACAAGGCTGGTTCTGTGGGGTTGAACAATCCCAGTTGTGTGAACTTTTCCAAGCTATGCTTATCTAAGAAAAGATACACACTGTGCCTAAGAGTAGAGCAAAGAAAGTGAATTTCTCTTACCTTCACTCTGCAAAAGACTGTTACAATTAGACCAATACTCATCTCTTGGGCAACACTTAGACACTATTTTTGCAAATGCTGGTGCTGACCCGGATCATTTCTTAAAGACCATACCAGCTCTAGAATTCTGTTTCTATGATTTTTTTGCTCCTTGGTTTCAAAGATTCCACCACTTCAGCTGGCAAAGTTGTTTGCACTTTGAACCATCTGTTGTAGGGATGTCATTTTTGGGATTTGGACTGATGGAGACCCTGTGCCAATGAAAGCACACAAAATTACCATCATTTTGAATGTAAGGAGTGCCTAAAACTCTCAGGTATTCCTACCTGAGTTGGTGGTCAAATTGTGGCTCAAGAAAATCTGATTAACTTTCCCTGGACCCTTCTAAGGCAGATGTCAGTATACAGTCTGGGTCCCTCGGTCTCTGTGAACACACACTTTCTCCTGATACGGAGTACAGTGATGAAAAGCAGTCCTCTGGAGGTGATCATTTTCTCCGTCTGTGTTTTCCTTGGCATGGGAATGGAACATGGAGGTCCCTGGGCCCTCAGAAGATGGGCCCTCTGCACGTACTGCTCGGCTCCCAGGCCTGCGTTTATGGAAAAAAGTTCCTAAAGAAACAAATTGAAATTGAGCAAGATCAAGTACTCACTTGCGGGTTTCTGCAAAAGTTGCTTTTTTAAAAATTTCCTCTATCACTAGCTTGTGGAAATGTTTTAGGGCTGCCTCATCTGGAGAGATATGTGCATTAAGTATAAACAGTTTTATAATTTATATCTTTTTCTGTTCTCCTGGGGCTTCAACACACAGGCAGTCTTATTTGCGTTCTCTCCCTGTTTTTTTTTTTTTTTTTTTTTTTGCCTGTTTCAGGCTGTCTCGGGGAATACAATTCTCCTTCTCTTCAGCTTTGCAGCCTGTGTCTTTTGTAAGTTAATGGTATTTGATTGTGGTCAGAGTGTGAGGAAACTGCCCTGCTTCACAAGGAAGGTTTTTCTGTACACCCACTAGCCTCTTCCACCGCGTTTCAAATTCTGGAACTGACAGCTAGAAGCAGTGGTAGGAGGTTGAAGGATTCAATGGCAAAACCTTAATCAAGGACCAAGTACCATCCTCTTTGCTTTCTTCTCTGGGAGTTTTAATGAGCTTGATGGTTTGTCATAAACATTGGCCCAAGTGTGGGGACAGATTCCCCCACTGTTAAAATTGTTCTTCTAGAGAAAGTTAGCTTCCTTTAGATGCAATGCTATTTTTTTTCAGACTACAGAGAGTACTTAACCATTCTTAAACTTCATAACTTATAAGTGGAAACCTGTTACTCTGAATATTTTTAAAGCATGTAGAGATATTTGCAGGAAGAATTTATGTCTTAGGAGAGTCTAGATAATTAAATGTTTTGATAAGAACTGTTCCCCTTTGCCTCTTTGTCTCCAAATCAGCAAAGAGCCAAATATCAAGCCCTCCTCTGCTGTTGCCCCTAACAAGTCTCTTACTAAGTCTGACCAGGAAAATCGACCCAATGTCATTCAGTGTAGACTTCAGGGGCAGAAGGAAAGAGGCCGATGCAGTCAGTGCACTGGCCCTTCTGCCTCCAGGTTCCTGCTATGTTCTGGAGGAAGTATGCTATAGTACAATCCTGAATTTCATGCATTAATTCACTCACGCCAAATGTCTAGGTGCCCACACATAGTGTGTTGGGTGCTGAGCTAAGTCTTAATGTTCAGGAGCCAGTAGTTTAGCTGTTCAAGATAAACAAGTATGTAAATAAATGGATTGAAGTGTTGTGCATATTGTAATAGATATATGTAGAGACAATGGGGAGAAATAAAGGATCTCCGGCTGGATGAGGGTTACTGGAGACAGGAGGGTACTTAGCATTTCCTCTGGTTGGTCCCACCAAGGAATTAGGATAAACATGGAATGTCTGCACTTTTCCAGACATTCCTTTCCTACTTCTTAGTAACTGTCATGAAAAGTCCCACCTGACTGACTTCTCCGTGCTGGGCGGGAGCACCTGCCACTGGTGAGGCCCTCTGGTACAGAACTCTGGCATGCATGAAGTCTGACTCCCTGTAAGAACCTGTAATGAATTTTACAGTGCAGAACTCAATATGAATAAATGAATGAATGAATAAACAAATGAGTGGCATGGCTCATTGTCCTGGCTTTGTTACTAACTCATTGCGTGACCTCCTTTTCAATAATTTTAGAAATGGCTGCTCTGCTTCATTTCATGGGGGCTGGTATGAAGGATCAAGTGAGACGACAAAGGAAATCGTTGAAATGGATAGAGGACAGTACTTAAAAAAACTATACAAATGTAAGGAAATGCTATTAATCATTGTCCTTTCAGGCAAGACATGATCGTTATGGCAGGCAGGTGGGAAAAAGAGAAGGAAGAAAGGAAGAAAGGGAGAGAAGGAGGGAGAGAAAAGAAGGTAGGAAGGAAGGAAAGGAGGGAGGGAGAAAGAAAGAAATGAAGAAGAAAAAAGTGAAAAACAGAATGAGGTGGGAAAGGAAAGAGAAGGGAAAGAAACAGAACAGAAGAGAAGAAAAGAATACAATGAAACACATCACATGGACACTCCACTCGAATCACACTACCTTCTCTGCATAGTGCAGAAGGGTGCAGGTGACACTGGGAATAATGAGGAATCTGATAAAGAGGGATTGTGTTACCCTAGAAGGCTGTAAATTACTGGATTGGGTTGGACATACTATTCAATGATCAGAACTTACCTTTGATGGTTCTACTGAATTTGTGGCAGCTGAGGGGAACTTTTTGGCTACACAAATGACATGGAACCAGCCCTGCCTGCTTTTAAGATTATTGTGTATGCCTCTTTTATAGCTTTAGACGGGAGGCAGTGTATTGTTTAATAGAACACTGCTAGCCAGAACATAGGGAAAATCAAATGCTGCACCCGGGAATAAGTCCATTGTTTTCATCACAGACACAAATATGACATTACAAATAGTCACACATATATAAAGATTCCTTATGATAAGCCTTCAAAGGACAAATGTTAAAATATTAAAGAAGGTCATTGCCATACTTGAGCACATGCTGTGCACTGAGAACTGTAGCACGTCTTTGGCAGGTGTGTGCGAGAGGATTTAGTATATGAACAGGGACACAGAAGAACTTCAAAGGTAAAGAAGACATACATGCATCCAGCAAGCATGTGAAGAAAAGCTCAATATCACTGATCATTAGAGAAATACAAATCAAAACCATAATGAGATGCCACCTCACATCAGTCAGAATGGATGTTATTAAAAAGTCAAAAAATAATAGATGCTGGCAAGGTTGCAGAGAAAAGGGAATATGTACACACTGTTGGTGGTAGTGTAAATTAGTTCAACCATTGTAGAAAGCAGTATGGAGATTCCTCAAAGACCTAAAAGCAGAACTACCGTTCAACCCAGCAATCCCATTACTGGGTGTATACCCAGAGGAATATAAATTATTTTACCATAAAGACACATGCATACAAATGTTCATTGCAGCACTATTCATAATAGCAAAGACATGGAATCAACCTAAATGCCTGTCAATGACAGATTGAATACAGAAAATGTGGTACATATACACCATGGAATACTATGCAGCCATAAAAAGAATAAGTTCTTGTCTTTTGTGGGAACACAGATGGAGCTGGAGGCTATTAGCAAACTCACACAGGAACAGAAAACCAAAGACTGCATGTTCTCACTTATAAGTGGGAGCTAAATGATAAGAACTTAAGAACATAAGGAAATAACAGGTCAGGCAAGGTGGCTCATGCCTGTAATGCCAGCACTTTGGGAGGCCGAGGCGGTGGATCACCTGAGGTCAGGAGTTCAAGACCAGCCTGACCAACACGGAGAAACCCCGTCTCTACTATACAAAAATTAGCTGGGAGTGGTGGTGTGCACCTATAATCCCAGCTACTAGGGAGGCTGAGGCACAAGAATCTCTTGAACCCAGGGGGTGGAGGCTACAGTATGCTGAGATGGTGCCACTGCACTTCAGTCTGGGTGACAGAGTGAGTGAGACTCTATCTCAAAAACAAACAAACAAAAACAACAACAAAAAAGGAAAGAACAGACACTGGGGTTTACTTGAGCAGGGAGGTTGGGAGGCAGGAGAGGAGCAGAAAAGATAACTATCGGGTACTGGGCTTAATACCTGGGTGATAAAATAATATGTACAACAAACCCTCATGACACATGTATATCTATGTATTAAACCTTTACATGTACCCCAAACCTACAATAAAAGTTACAAGTAAAGAAAGAAAGAGTTCTAGTTTGTATGCACTGTGCTGTTGAGAAGGGTTTGCACAGCACACAGAGGAGAAAAAAGACAAACTGTGCCATGCGATGTGATGTGGTGGGAAGAAGGTCTGGGAGTCAGCAGGACTGAGTTCTAGTTCTGACTCACCATATGGAAGTGCAGCCTTGCCAAGTCATGTCAACTTTCTATTAGACAGGTCCCTGTGCAAATGAAGAGATTGAAGTCAACAGTCTCTGAGGTTTCTGACAGTCTGGGCATTTTAGAAAATAAATACAAGTTCATTTAGTATGTGGACAATATTGAGTTATAATGACAATAATTATAATAATGCAATTTATTGATTGCTCTATGCTAAAATCTTTGACATGATCTCATTTCATCTTCATGTAAGCTTATAAAATAGGTATTTTCCATTCATATTTTAAATAAAGAAGCTGAAATTCAGAGAGGTCCAACACCCTGCTCTTAACCACTGCACTATAGCAATAATAATACTAGGAACATTTATAGCCAGTCATGTGCCTGGCACTATTCCAGGCATTTTGCATATGTTAACTCATTCAATTTTCACGACAAATCAATGAGGTGGATACTCTACTATTATGATCTACATTATACAGATGAGGAAACTGAATCACAGCAATTGTAAATAACTGGCTCAATGAAGGGCAGATCTAGGATTATCATCCAGGCCATCAGACTCCAGATGTCAAGCTTTTAACCATTAAGTAATCCTGTTCTTTATAACTGTGGGAGAGGTGTGGCTTTGATAATGCAACAGCATTACATTACACGTACGTGTGTGTGTGTTGACTGGGGATGTCTTAGAAGAAAGTCTTACCCAGAAAAATAAATCTTGAATATTAGCTTGGAAATAGGGGAAGGATGTGATATTACAGAGAGGAAGCTGGAGGGAAAATTCTAGCTGAGGTTAGCTAGCCCCATAGCAGGCCATGATCATGTGTGGTAAGCACAAGGAGACCAGAGGCTACTAGCAATATGATCAGGCTGCAAGGAGGTAGAGGGCTTTCATAGTCAGACCATTGTCAATGTGGAGCAGGACAGAGGGCACAGGGCATGGACTGTGAACACAGTTATTCTCATAGACTTAGGAAGAAAGGAAGGATTCGGGGTGAACGGGTAGGGAGACATCTAACTGGTTAGCAGCAGCTGTAATCTTCCAAGAAAGCTGTTGACAAGGAAGAATAAGGCTCTGAAGGAAAGATTCAATAGATGAGAATTATTCCTTATGGAAAAGAAATCTGAAGGAAGAAGAATTTTCAGAGATTAAGCTTTTCTTTTAACAATCAGGATTGTGAGGCCCTGGAATGCTTTTTATGACAAAACATGTGTTTCTTGTGTAGAGGTCCTTAAAAGAAACTTGAATTGTGTTAATGTATCTTGTTTTAGGTTAATCTTGCTCCAAAGGAGAGTGGATTGGCAGTCACTCTGTCAATCACCACTCCTCACTGACACACCCATGGCAAATGGTGTTAGTCAATGGCCATGGCCCCCTTTTCCTCTGAGGCCAGGTCTGGCTGCAGATAGTCAAGGCAATATTTTAGGAAATTCCAAGAAACTTTAGATGATTGAAGTGGGCAGACACGTTAAAAGGTGTTTGTCTTCCGTGGTTAGCAGATTTTGCAATGTTCCTTAAGGAGTGGATGATTCTTCCTCCTAAATATCACTCTTAGTCACTGCTTCTTCTGCAGCCCTACCTTCTCATTTGCTCTTGTCTGGATGATTGATAAATTTCCCCTAATAAGCTCCCTGCCTCCAGTCTTGATCTCCTGTTATCCATTCTTCACTCTCCTGTTGGAATTATCTTTCTGAGACATTTCTCTGAGCATGCCATTGCCCTGCTAAAGATCCTAAAATGGCCTCACTTCCTTTCCCAAAACAAGTCCCAACATTTTGGTGTGAACAATATGGCCTCTTCTCACTATCCTATTTGGCTTCTTCTCATTTCTTCAAATCCACCATTATTTCAGTCCTACCAAGTTACTTGGAATTCTTAAAATGCACTATGCCATTTTGTTTTGACATCTTTCCATGTTATCTCTTTCTCTTTCCCTGCATACCTCCACCCTCTTCCCTCTTTGCAAAGTATACTCACTCCTTATATTCTGCCTCAGAAACTTCCTACTTGTATTTGTCAGCTTGGGCTTCCACAACAAACACCATAGACTGGGCAGCTTAACAACAGAAAATTATTTCTCACAGTTCTGAAGGCTGGAAAGTCCAAGATCGAGAACTGTCAGGGTTGGTTTCTGGTTGAGGCCTCTCTTTCTGGTTTGTAGACTTCTGCCTTTTTGCTATGACTTCACATGGCCTTTCCTTGGTGTGTGTTCAGCGATCTCTCTTCTCCCACCCCCACTCTCTTCCTCTTCTTATAAGGCCCAATAATCCTATTGAATTAGGACCCCACCTTTATGGCTTTATTTAACCTTAATCATTCTCCTGAAAGCCCTATCTCCAAGTACAGTCACACTGGCAGTTAGGATTTCAACATATTATAGTAATTTTTAGGGACACCGTTTTATCCATAGCACTGCTCATGCCTCATGAATCACTTCAAGCATCTATCCTTCTATGAAGACCTCCCTGACTCTCCCAGGACATCTGGTTGCTCTTTCTTTCTCATTCTTGTGGTCCTTTCAAAGGCAAGGACTGATCTTCACCTTGGTATCTTGATGTTTAATATAGCATCTGGCATGTAGTGAATTATAATATTTGATTAGTTAAAATATGCATCGAAAAGTGGGTCAGCATTTGTTTTCCACTGTCCATTTGGAAATGGGTAAGGTAGAAGAGAATTGAAACCAGGTTTTCTGACACCAACTCCCTTTTATTTTTCTTCATTTCCATCACTAAGTCAGGATCTTGTTACTTAGACCCCTGAAATGGCTTCTTAACAAGTTTTCTTTGATTCAGAATAGTATCTCTCCACCAAACCACACTGCATCCAATGTATAAGCAGATTAGTCTTTCTAAAATTAACATTTGCCCCACTTTTCTATGTAAAAATTTAATCTCTTTTTTCTCTACCCAATAAAGTTCAACCTCCTTAGCTTGATATGTAAGGCTTCCCAGTCTCTCCATGACATTATTTTGCTGCTTTGTCTAACACCACTTCCCAAGCAAAACTTTATGCTGTAGCTATCTGATTGCCGACTATCCCAAAAGGCACCTGGTGATTGCCTACCTCTATGCTTTGCCGGTGACGGTCCCCTTGCTTAGAAATGTCTACCTTCTTCCTTTCTATCCTCCCCGCTACCACTCTTTCTCCGTGTTCTTTTGCCTGGCCTTACTCTTTTTTTCGCACCCACTTTGTAATTCCTTTTTGTACCACACCATTCAAAAGTAATCCTACCATTTCTAATCTGCAACACTTAGGTGATTTATCCTACTCACTTCAAACTTGTCATCTACTGCCTCATATCAAAGAAGACATAGCATTAGCTATGATGTAGCTCTAGTGTCACCATTTTTGGAATGATTTCTTCATTTTTGAAATGAGGGTGTGGATGCCTAGCTAACCTTTGTTAGAGTAGGATAAAGATCAAGTGTGAAAATGATATTTATGTGAAAGTGTTACACACTGCAAAGAGGCTCTTGTTATATGTTATCTTTTCTATTAGTTTGCAAGTCTTAGGAACCCCAGTGCTGCATTTTGCACACCAATACTTTTCCTTTGTGTCCTGAATAGTTTGAAGCATGATGCCTTGCCCATAACAAGAGCTCAGGAAATATCAAGTGAATGAATGTCGAATCATCTCCACAGGAAGGAGAGTGGGTTAGCAAATTGTTCTTGTAGGACTGTGTTTGTTTACAAACGAGACAAGGTATCCTTTAGAAATGTGAGATCATAGGGGTTCTCTGATACCCTCCCTTTAAACTTTTCCTCCCACCAGCCTCCCCAACATACTGATTCTCACACTTACCTATTCCCCGTTTGTCCCTGTTTTCATCATGTTTTAGGAAGTAAAGAGAACCACGAACTTCTGCCATTCATTTAATTTCAGCACTCATGCTTAGGTAAGCCACTGTCCCTTCGGCCAAGTCAAAAACCTAGAATATATTATGAATCTGAGTACAGTTATCTTGGTTATAATATAATTACAGGGGCCAGTAAACTATTCCACAGTATTATGGGAGGAGAGTAAGAGCTGGAGTGAGAAATTGGAGACAGTTTCATGGCTTTTGGGTTTTAGTGTCTTATTAAAATCACCCTCTAAAACATGTTTGCTAATGGACACCATTGAAAGGTTAAAGAATAATTCTGGACATTGTTAGGAAGTGTCTGGTCTTCAAAAGAAAGGGCCAGTAATGCATCTAGTACCACTGACGCACCTGATGCCACTGAAGAAGAGCTACTTAACCTTTACCTTAGTGAAAATCTGTGGCAGGTGCCTCAGTGTCATTTTAGTGCTGGACCAAGCCGTGTTGAAAACTAAGTCAAAAGGAAATAATTAGTTATATTGATTCTGTATTAAAAAAAGATATTGTATTCATCATGAATTTTTTGCATGAATCATGTTTTTTATAATACATATCGCATTAAATGTAATAACGTAATAATGTATTTTTACATGTTTTTATAAAGTAATAAAAATGTTTTAATGCAATACATTATTTACCTGGATTTACTGAGATTTTTGGTTCCACCTTTATTTGTACTTGATGCAAGTACCTCACTCATCTCACTAATCCTAGCCTTAATTCTTTCATATGTGTGTGTGTGTCTGTGTGTGCACCAGTGACAAGTGAATTCATTTAAAAATATTGTCTTAATTATTTTAAAAAGGCACGCTTCCTGAAGAAGCATAGATTAAGAAGATAGTGCATGATAGGCTAGATAGTACAGTCTAGCCTGCAAAATTATGACAGAATCATTATCCTCATAATATGAACATTTTGTGACTGATTGTTTTTGGAATTCTGCTAGGTGTTTTCTAGAATGCTCTGGTCATATGTGATGCCTTCCTTCTTGGAATTTACAATCCAGCAGGCTATGTAGAGGGAACATTTAGATTCAGTTGACATTTAGTGAGCACACACAATGTTCTAGATGCTCTGTGAGCAAGTTTACATGCATTTTGTAAAAAAATAGACTTTATTTTTTAGAGTACTTTTAAATTCACAGAAAAATTAAGTGGAAAGTATAGAGAGTTCTCACATACCCACTGTCGCCACACATACACAGACTCCCCCCATCAACAACCCCCTCTAAAACGGTACATTTGTTACAACCAATAAATCTACATTGACACATCGTTATCACCCAAAGTTCATAGTTTACATGAGGGTTCACTCCTGGTGTTGAACATTCTATGGGTTTTGACAAACATATAATGACAGGTACCCACCATTATAGTCTCATAAAGAATAGATTCACTGCCTTAAAAATCTTCCATGCTCTGCCTATTCATCCCTCCCTCCCCGCTAACCCCTGGCAACCACTGATCTTTTACTGTCTCTATAGTTTTGTCTATTCCAGAATGTCACATAGCTGGACTCATACAGTATGTAGCCTTTTCAGATTGACTTCTTTCACTTAGCATTATGCATTTACGATTGCATGCCTTTTTCTGGCTTGATAGATCATTTCTTTTTAGAGCTGAATATATTCCATTACATGGATGTTATTATATACATTTTCACATCAGGAAGATAAGGCTCAGTGAGATAAAGCACCTCCACCAAAGTTAAAATGAGCAGAGAGCGAGGTTTGAACTTCAAATCTCCTGATGCCAATTTGAGTGCTGGTTTCACAAATCTACAGCTGCTTCAAATAGGAAGTAGTAGGCATTGTCTAAATATGTATGGCTACAAAAGGAAACTGCATTGATGGGGCCTCGAATGAGTGGAGTAGTCTTTAGAACTTCATTATTAAATTAGGCATCATTGGAACAAAATGCCATTTTTCCTTGTTGATTCCAGGAATGTTTCATAGAATCGAGGAGTCAGTGGCATTAGGTCATATTTTAAAGGCTTCATAATGGATGAAGATAGACTAGCATTAGATGATGGAATTTGAGAAATGTGGAAGGACATCTGAACAAGGTACCTTCTTGAGAAATTCCTCATACAAAGCACCCGATAGTATTTTATACCAACTATCAAATTAGGAGAACTGACGGATAACAAAAACAGAGCTCTTTCAATAAAATTAGGTTTATATTTCTTTTATTTTAATGCTTTCTTTCCCCACTTAACAATGCGTCTAAAGTAAGTATTGACAACAGCTTGCATTTATTAAGCTCTTGCAATGTGTCAGGCCTGGTGCTAACTCCTTTACATCCATTAATTTAACTCTCATCGTATGTTTATAAAGTAGGTGCTATTATTCTGCCCATTCTACCGGTAAGAAAATTCCACAACTAAAGAGAAGTAACTTGCCCAAGACCAGACAGCTAGTATATACTGGAGTGAAATTTGAACCCATGTTGTTTTGATTTCAGAGCCCAGACTCTTATTCACTACCTGCAGTAGGATATGGCATGAAAGTGTATTAAGCTGGTGTTAATTTTTCTTCCCCACATTTGATCATTCTTTTTAGACTGCTGAGAGTCACGCAGGAGAACTTAGCATCACTAAACCACACACTAAATCTATCATTCAATAAGGGTGTTCTTGGCACTCATGTTGGCTGAATGTAGACTTGATACTTGTGACAAGAAAAAGGAGAAACATATTTAATGTCTTTGATGTGTCTACATTTTTATGTAGTTATACCAGACAAACATTGTCACTTCCTAAAAGTAGAAAAATGAAATTATATTGTGGCTTGGCAAATTGGCCAAGGCTCATGTATTACATCAACACACCTTAATGAATAGAAGAGAAGCCAAAAGGTACTGAACACAGGGGCAAATATTTTATTCCCTCAATAAAGGGGTATCATTTTGTTCATTTTAGAGATGAGGAAGTCAAGGCTCAGAAAAGTGGTTTGCTCAATTACCAAAGAGTCAGTAAGTGGTAGAGTTAGGATTTCCACCCACATCTTTTGGTTCAAAAGTCTTTACTCTTTCTATTACATCCTAATGCTTTTCATTAAACTCAATTTCCTGGACACATGTCGTTTCTGTTTTTTTATATGTTGGGGCTGTTGGATGTGGTACTAGTTGGATGCCTGGTAAGGACAGATGTGTTCATTCACAACGTCTGGGAGGAGAGACGTCAGGAACATGTATTGAGCTCAATGTTGGCTCTGAAACACTCAGGCGCTCTCTGACTTGGACACTCAGCTCTATCAGTCCCACTCTCTGAACCTCATATTCTATTTCTACTGGGGCAAATAGTGTGGTTTTTGACTAAGGAGTCCTGGGTTTCTACAGATTAGCTGTGCGGCTTCTGGGTGTAGCTTTTTCTCCATTGCAAAACGAGAAGGGTTTGGACACATTGAGTTCCTACGCCTATGATTTTACAATATATCCCTGATTTGGGGGCTTATTTCAGCTGAGTCATCTGAATTCAG